>NC_000010.11:99991580-100294610 GCF_000001405.40 Homo sapiens | reverse complement strand
TATCGACAATGCCAACCGCATCCTGGGCCCTGCCTACTTTGTCACCTATGTCTTCTTCGTCTTCTTCGTGCTCCTGGTGAGGGTCTCTCTGAGGGGTGGGGACATAGAGAGCCTGCAGGGTGGAGTTTTGGTCCTAGTATGTCCCTCACTCAGGATTGATAAGTTTCTCAAATCAAGGATGGAGAGTGAGTGGGGGGGCCGATGTCTGGATCTTCTGAGAGATGGTTAATGTAGTACAGCCAGCATGGTCAGTTTGCAGGTTTGCAGAGTATAAGGGAACCTGCAGACTCCCTCAGTAAAATCAAACCCTCATTCTCCAAGGATGGAAATGGGGAGAAAAGTGCCTTATGAGGAGCAGTAGCTGCACCTGGAAGCGTCTACGACCGTCCTCCAAGACTCCCCTTCCTCTGGGGATCTCATGCTGATTTCTACTGCCACTACTTGGTAGTTCTCTCTCCCTGCCAACCATGAAAAATCTGGGTTATTATTTATTTATTTTAGACAGGGTCTCACTCTGTCACCCAGGCTGGAGTGCAGTGGTGCAATCTCAGCTCACTGCAACCTCCACCTCCCGAGCTCAAACTATCCTCCCACTTTAGCTTCCTGAGTAGATAGGACCACTGGTATGGTCAGGAGCCACCACACCCCGCTAATTTTTGTATCTTTTGTAGAGACAGTGTTTTGCTATGTTGCCCAGGCTGGTCTCTAACTCCTGGACTCAAGCAATCTGCCTGCCTTGGCCTCCCAAAGTGCTGGATTACAGGTGTAGGCCAGTGTGCCCAGCTCTTGGATTTTATTTTTACTAACAAGGCCAGCAATTTTCTTTATTTGATCAATGGATGGGGATACAGATATGGATTGGGGGGTAGATGAAAAAGAGATCACAATTGTACTCTCACCCTGAAAAGCCTCTAGTTCCAATGATTGATGGGCCCTTATACAAAGGAGGTCTGTGGCATATGTTATTGTATCTCTGTGGTCAGAAAGGTTACTACAGCAACTGAGAGTGAGGACACCAGGTTGGTCAAGAAGCATGATCCATCTCTAACAGAACTGTGCTGAAAGGCTGGGCTCTGGGGACCCTGAGAGGCAGGGATTGATGGGCTGCCGAACTGGGGTTGAGAGCACTGACCCCTTTGGAACACGTGTCTTGGACATTAATGGGGTCAGTGGGCTCAATCCTTTCAGTGGGTCTGGGGGTGAGGACCCAGGTCCCCACTTCATTTTCCAGAACATGTTCCTGGCCATCATCAATGACACATATTCAGAGGTCAAGGAGGAGCTGGCTGGACAGAAGGATGAGCTGCAACTTTCTGACCTCCTGAAACAGGTGATTGCTCAATCTCCTTGAGCTACACATTTCCATCAGTGCCCCAGTCTAAGGCTCTGTGTCCTGGTCTGTTCCTGACTGATTGAGGTGCCTGTGCCCTTGTGTGCCTTTAAATTTATCCTTGGAAGCCTGGCATACTATGGGTGGGGCTGGGGGCCAGGGATGAGTGAGCAGCCTGTGAGAACTTGTGCCTATTTCCTTTCCCTTTCAGGGCTACAACAAGACCCTACTAAGACTGCGTCTGAGGAAGGAGAGGGTTTCGGATGTGCAGAAGGTCCTGCAGGGTGGGGAGCAGGAGATCCAGTTTGAGGATTTCACCAACACCTTAAGGGAGTGAGCAACCAGAGACCCAGCCTTCTCTAATAACAGTCTCTTAAGTCCTCAACCCTCAACCATACTTCATTTGCTTATAAGCCTTTGGTTTTAGTTTAGGGGCCTCTGATCTTGACTTGCAGGCTTCAGATCTTTGCCCGTAGGTCTCCGCTCCTGACCTTCAGAACTGTGCCCTTGGTTTAAAAATCTCTGACCGTGGTTTATAACATCCTGGATCTTGTTGAACAACTCTTAGGAAACAATGTAATAATTCCCTAATCATTGAATACACACCCCACTCCCACAAAACTCTGATTTTTGTTCTATGCTTCCCCACAAACACTCATCTATTCCTTTAGCCATTCACTCCCTGATTCCCAGTCAAACATATTAATACACATTGAACAAATACATTGTGAGCACCAGCTGCAGATCAGGCACTGAGTAATAGACAACATAATTTTTTTTTTTTTTTTGAGACAAAGTCCTGCTCTGTTGCCCAGGCTGGAGTGCAGTTGCACAATCTCGGCTCACTGCAACCTCAGCTTCCCCGGGGTCAAGCAATTCTCATGCCTCAGCCTCCTGAGTAGCTGGGACTACAGTCATGTGCCACCACGCCCGGCTAATTTTTGTATTTTTGGTAGAGATGGGATTTTGCCATGTTGGCCAGGCTGGTCTCAAACTCCTGGCCTCAAGTGATCCACCCACCTCAGCCTCCCAAAGTGCTGGGATTAGGAGACAACGTAATTAAATGGGACAAAGTCTTTGTTTTCTAAGAGCTCATAGACTTGCAAATAAACTGAATCACAGAATAAGTTCAACAGAAGTGACTAGGAGTAGAGGGTGATCAATTCTATCTCTGAGCTTAAGGGAAGGCTTCCTGGAAGAGGTAATGTCTAAATAGGATATTGGAGGATGAATAGCTCACAAGTGGACAAGCAGAGGAAGGCTCTTCCAAGAAGAGATGAAAGCACATACAAAAGCATAGAGGTCTGAAACCAAGCAACATACACAGGAGGAATAAGTAGTTGAGCATTGCTAAGTATTAAATAAAGGGGCGGGGACAGGTGGTGGTCATAGCAGGAGATGAGACCAGAGAAACAGGCAAGGACCACACTGAGAAAGGCCACACTACCACTCTGCCAAAAGAATAGGGTGCCAGAAGGGATTTCAAGAAGGCACATTTTTAGATCTGCATATTAGAAAGGTTAATTACTCTAGTTGTATTATGGAGGATGGATTTCAGGGGTAGGGAGTAAAGGGGAAGCTGGGGGATAGCAGGTTATTTAGAGGCAAACAGATTTTGCAATAATCCCTGTAGGAGGTCATGAGGCCCTGAACCTGGTGAGCAGGAGTCAGGAGAGGAAGAAGAAACTGAACTGAACTGAGTGTTTTCCTGGGGGTAAGATTGCTAGACTTTGGAGAACCTTCTTTACCAGAAGCAAAACTTTTGCCAGAGTCAAGCAAAAGAGTGAGGAAGTCCATAACTGAGAGGTCACAGCCACAGCTGGGCAGAAATCATTTCATCATCCTCTTCTCAGACTGGGACACGCAGAGCATGAAATCACTGAGCTCACGGCCACCTTCACCAAGTTTGACAGAGATGGGAATCGTATTCTGGATGAGAAGGAACAGGAAAAAATGCGACAGGACCTGGAGGAAGAGAGGGTGAGCTGGGCTGATGGGTGGAGAGGCAGTGTAAGGAAATAGCTCACCCTCTCCTTCCCCCAACATACCTAGAACACAAACCCACCTGAAAACTCTCCCATAGATAGTAAAGAACTCTCTAGAATAGTAGTTCCCAAACTGCTGCACATTAGAATACCCTGGGGGGCCTTTAAAAATCTTCATACTCAGGACACACACTCTAGACCAATTAAACCAGAATCTCTGGGTGTGGGGCCTAGACATCAGTACTTTTTATAACTCCTTAGGTGATTCCAATACATAGCCAAGGTTGAGAATCATGCTCTAAAACACAGGCTTAGGGAAAAATGACCAACTGCCCAAGAATCACTGATAATTCCCTCAGAGGACTTGCCTTCTCTTGGGAATTTTCAGACTTGGATTCTTGGCTGTCCCTACTGTGCCTGCTCCATCCCTATCCAGTGTGGACCAAAAAAAGTCAAAGGCAGGGTGACAGCAGCCTAGAAAGTGCCAAGAACACTGGTAGTGTCCCTCCTCTGCTAAAATGAGTTGGCCTCTAGTAAATACCTCATCCATCAAGCCTTCTAGGATCTTGTGTTTTCTTTGAGAGGTGACTCCTCCAGAGGTTGGTCCAGCACCACCACCCTGACCCTATTGTCTCCAGAGTCTGGGAGGGAAGGGGAATAGCAAGAACTAGGACCTGAGCCTTGGTCCTGAGATCCCAGTAGAGTAGGTGATAGAACAGGAGCTGATGGCTTCCCAGAGTTATCTCCTCCCCTCTAACCTCTGACTTCCTGAGCAGGTGGCCCTCAACACTGAGATTGAGAAACTAGGCCGATCTATTGTGAGCAGCCCACAAGGCAAATCGGGTCCAGAGGCTGCCAGAGCAGGAGGCTGGGTTTCAGGAGAAGAATTCTACATGTACGTGCAGCCAAGAAAGGCTGGTTCAGGGCTGGCAACACTTCTATTACGATACCCTGTCTTGTACTTTTCCCACAACTTTCCAATTCTCTGTCCTACCCCAGGGAGAACCTCCGCTCCCCTTTAATTCTGCCTACAAGGCTGGGTCTTCCCTTCCTTGTTCCATTCAGGACACATGCCCTTCTGTGAACCCTGGCTCTTTAGACATCCAGCCCCCAGACACAGATTTCTGCTCCATTCGTCTCTCTCAAATCCCACACAGGCTCACAAGGAGAGTTCTGCAGCTGGAGACTGTCCTGGAAGGAGTAGTGTCCCAGATTGATGCTGTAGGCTCAAAGCTGAAAATGCTGGAGAGGAAGGGGTGGCTGGCTCCCTCCCCAGGCGTGGTGAGTGGCCCTTCACCTGGTCCTCCTAGTTCCTCACAGCTGAACTCTGCCATCTTTTCCACTCAGTGGGTGGGGCAAGAACATTTTTGAAAGACCTATGTTTTCAGGCTCCTGGGGAAACATGTTCATAGCGGTTAGTGTATCAGCAGAGATGGGTCATGGAGATAAGGCCTGGAAGTTGCTTGCCCTGGCCTAAGGGCTGCCTTGGCCACATGAGATGGTCTGTGTCAGTCTGTTTGGGCTGATATAATAAATTATCATAGACTGGGTGGCTTATAAGCAACACAAATTTGTTCCTCACAGTTTGGGAGGCTGGGAAGTCTAAGATCAAGGTGCCAGTAGATTCAGTATCTGTTGAGGGCCCACTTCCTGATTCATAGAGAGCTGTCTTCTTGCTGTGCCCTTTCATGGTGGAAGGGGTAAGGGAAGTCTCCTTTATTTTATTTTTTTATTTTATTTATTATTATTATTATTTGAGATGGAATTTTACTCTTGTTGGCCAGGCTGGAGTGCAATGGCACGATCTCGGCTCACTGCAACCTCCGCCTCCTGAGTTCAAGTGATTCTCCTGCCTCAGCCTCCCAAGTAGCTGGGATTACAGGCATGTGCCACCATACCCAGCTAATTTTGTATTTTTAGTACAGATGGGGTTTCTCCATATTGGTCAGGCTGGTCTCGAACTCCTGACCTCAGGTGATCCACCCACCTCGTCCTCCCAAAGTGCTGGAATTACAGGCGTGAGCCCACTCATAAGGGCTACATACTCACTATCTAATCCCCTGCCAAAGGCCCCACCTCCTAATACTATCACATTGGGGGTTACAATTTTAACGGATGAATTTGGGAGGGACGCAAACAGTCTATAGCAGTCTGAGTTCTCTGGAATCAGATAGAGAGAAAAGAAAAGTGGTACACAAACTATTTCTTCAAATGATTTGTCCCTTTCTTCTTCCAACAGAAGGAACAAGCTATTTGGAAGCACCCGCAGCCAGCCCCAGCTGTGACCCCAGACCCCTGGGGAGTCCAGGGTGGGCAGGAGAGTGGTGAGGAAGGGGGCCTAAAGCATCAGACAGCAGGCTTCCCTCCCTCTGCCTCCGCACAGGCCCCCTCGCCACATCCCCTGCACTTCTAGGACAACAGGTCCCATCATGGCTGCTGCTGAGCCCCACCCTGCATCTGGCCTTTTGAGCCAATGTTTCTGTGTGTGGTGGGCATCATGCTTAGGCTTGTGAATCAGTGTTTCTGTGTGTTGCCACATAGCTCTGTGAAATAACGTCTTCCACTGGGCCTTTTACTCCCTGTGTACTTAGCTCTGTGTGTTAATTAAAAAAAAAAAAGTTAACAAACAGGATAAAGAGAGGGAGGGTAATGGCTCTTCCTAAGCACCTGGATAGCCATGGTCTGTGAAAAAGGTAGAAACCAAGAGAGTAGGCGGTATCTAGATGTCTTCCTACTTCCCAGTGAATCCTATTCTTATCCTTTGTGCATCCCAAGATTTGTTGCTAGCACCCATGGGTTTCTCGTTTTCCCCCACAGAGGTTCCCTATAAAAGAGAAGAGGAAGCCTTAGAGGAGAGGAGACTCTCCCGTGGTGAGATTCCAACGTTGCAGAGGAGTTAAGTGTGAGGCACTCCCGGAGCAAAGTCTATGAAGGATCTTCTGCAAGAGGCTGCCTCCTGGTCCACTGAACCTGGAAACTGAGTGGGCTTTAACCAGGAGATAAAAATGGAGCCTGAAGGGAATCAGGCAAGGAAATGAACTCAGGATTCAGAGATCTTTGAATTAATATGTGGTGGGTTCTGACATTATTCTTCCATAAGACCATGTGGGTTTCCATGGTGGCTATCAATAAAACTCCTTAGGAAAACTTGGACTTTGCATTTGCTTCTGGTATTATAGAGGGAAGAAAGGCTGAAATTGTGGGTCATCCATGTGCCTGGGCTGGAATAGGTTCATGCTCTCTAGGAGGTATAGAGTAGGTGCAGTGATGTGAAGGAGCTGGGCTATAAGAACTTCTAGGCCTAGCACAGTGACTCACGCTTGTAATCCCAGCACTTTGGGAGGCTATGTTGGGTGGATCACTTGAGGCCAGAAGTTCCAGACAAGCCTGGGCAAAATGCTGAAATCCTGTCTTTAATAAAAATACAAACAAATTAGCCAGGTGTGGTGGCGCGTGCCTGTTATCCCAGCTACTTGGGAGGCTGAGGCATGAGAATCGTTTGAACTCGGGAGGTGGAGGTTGCAGTGAGCTGAGCCGAGATCACGTTACTGTACTCCAGCCTGGGTGACAGAGCGAGACTCTGTTTCAAAAAAAAGAACTTCTGGCTCGCAGGAATGGCTTGAAATAGTGGCTACTATGGTTGCACCATAGGAAAAGTGGGGACAGGTGACAAGTGAGACTCAGTCCTCAGGGTGGAGACAGTCAGGGTAGGAGGGCTGGGGATAAGGGGTAGCTGGCGTGTGTGTGTATGTACTGGCATCGGGGTGGGGTGAGAGGGTGCAGAGGGAGGATAACCAGGGATAAGAAAAGAAACTACCAAGATTTTGGGTGTCCAGGAGCCTGCCTGAGGCCTGCTGAATATCTCCTATCCCTTCTTCTGTGGCCTTTATCCCTCCTCATTTTGCACCTTCAATTGCTCCCCAGTCACTTCTTCTCATCCATCTCTTTCACTCACTCCTGTTCTCCCATCCCATTAAGTACTCTGTACACCTAGGAGGCTTGTGAAACAGCTTAAATGCAATTAAGATAACCAGAGTGTATCCTCAGCCCTAAAAAAGTTACAGTCTAAGCTTTCTTCAAGGAAGGCTGTATCAACTGAAGAGAAGTAGATGCCTGCCTGCAGTTTAAGAAATAGGGGCCAGTGAGTTGGTGTTAACTCAGGACATTGGGAGGGACAGTATTTAGGACCAGGGATCAATGCCTGAAGGTTTCCCAAAGTGTGGACGAGACAACCTGTAAAACTTTGGATTCCCTGAGCAATCTTTTGATGACTAACTCCAGTGCGGAGTGTCAGGAGAGCGGGCAATCCGTCTTCAGTGGTTTTGGTCAGCAGGCCACAAACAGGGTTGACTATTCCCAGACGGGTCGTGAGTGGTACAAGATGAGTGATCCCTCCAGGGTGTGACTGTAGGGATGAGCTCGCCCTCAGTCCCAGACGTCGCGACTGTTGGCAGTGGATCAATTCACAACAGCCTGGCGTAGCTTCAATTTCGGCTCCGGAATCGCCCTTTGCTGTGTCATAGACCTGAGGCTGGACTGGACCGCTAGGCGCAGGACTGCAGGGCCGGCCGGGTGGGCGGGGCACACCCAGTGCGCATGCGCAGCACCCCGGCCCGGAAACAGCGCGGGGTCCGCTATGGCGGCGGCAGCCGAGGGCGTACTGGCGACCCGGAGTGATGAGCCCGCCCGAGGTACCCGGAATGGATGGGGAGGAAGCGTCCGGTGGGGGGCCTGGGGCTCCGTCTCGGGTGGGCGAGGTTGAGTGTGTGGTGGCTCACCTGGCAGGAACGGGCTGGTGAGAGGAGTGCACTTGTCGCTGCGCGCGAGTGTTTGTCCTGTCAGGGTGACTGGGATGGTGCCAGGATGAGCGGGGGTGCCGGGTATGGGCGAGGGGCGGTGCGAGGGAGGCGAGTTGATGTGTCAGATGGGCAGGGACGCAGTGAAGGACTTGAAATTATGGCAGATGGAGAATGGAGCCGACTTGATGGAATGAAGGCAAGTGGAGGGATGTCGGAACAGGCTGCTTTGGCTGGATTAGCACCGGGTGTAGGCGGGACACTTAGTCATTCTCCCTTGGCCCAGACGATGCCGCCGTGGAGACAGCTGAGGAAGCAAAGGAGCCTGCTGAAGCTGACATCACTGAGCTCTGCCGGGACATGTTCTCCAAAATGGCCACTTACCTGACTGGGGAACTGACGGGTGAGGCGGGGTCTGGGTTGATTCGGGTGCGGTTTGGCCCAGGAGGCCTGGGAGATGGTTAGCAGCATCAGTCTGCAGCTCCCTTCCTACCCTGCATGCCCTGAGACAGGCCTGTTGGAAGTTGGGGGAGGCCATGAATGGGAGAGAAAGAAAATACAACTCTGCAGGCCTCTGTAACATAGACTAATGAGAAAACAATAACAAAAAAGAGTTCATATCCAGCAACAGTAATCAAGAAGTGCTTCCTTGGGGAAAGTGTATTTTGAGCAGGGTTGTGAAGGGAATTATTGGTGGAAAAGGGGGAGATGATACAACTAGCGAATGAGGTGGTATGTGCAAGCAGTGTGTTTGGCTAAAGCAGAAGATGTGTTTACCGGGATAAAGAGAAATGAAATTGAGGAACGGGGAGTGACCTGCAGATTTAGGGACCTATTAGTTTGGTCTGAGGATTTGATAACCCATCCTTTGGGACATGACTAGTGTTTGATCGTTTCCAAGTGGACACATGACCTATGTGTGGAGGAGGATCAGAAAGTGAAGTATGGGCAGGGCGCGGTGGCTCATGCCTTTAATCCCAGAGGCCGAGGCTGGTGGATCACTTGAGGTCAGGAGTTTGAGACCAGCCTGGGCAAAATGGCGAAATCCTGTCTCCACTAAAAATACAAAAATTAGCCGGCCGTGGTGGCGGGCGCCTGTAATCCCAGCTACTGGGGAGACTGGGGCAGGAGAATCGCTTGAACCCAGGAGGTGGAGGTTGCAGGTTGCAGTGGACTGAGATCACACCACTTGCACTCCAGCCTGGGCGACAGAGTGTGACTCCATCTCAAAAAAAATGAGAAAGAAAAAAGAAAAAGAAAGAAAGTGAAGTCTGGTCCAGTACAGCATCTCAAAAACATTTATTAAATTGTTTCACTTCCCCAGGAAATTACTGTAAGCTAAATTTGTGAATCAGAATCTATGAGAAAAGGCTTGATACAGAATAGTAGGGGTTGTGAATCTGTAATTTTTTTTTTTCTTTTTCTGTTTTTAAGAGACAGGGTCTCACTATGTTGCCTGGGCTGGTCTTGAACTCCTGAGCTCAAGTGATCCTCTTTCCATCTATTTTGGTTGATGGCACCACCCAGGCTTAAAACCCCAGATACATCTTAGTCTGCTTCCATCCCTCAATATCTACTTGAACAAGTCCTATAAATTCCACTTCTGTAATGTTCTTGCACCCATGCTCTCCTTTCCATTCCTTTTACCACCACTCTGCCTGAGATCTTCATTACTTTTCTTTTATTATTATTATTATTTAAAAAAATATGGCCAGGCACGGTGGCTCATGCCTGTAATCCCAGCACTTCGGGAGGCCTAGGCAGGTGGATCACCTGAGGTCAGGAGTTCCAGACCAGCCTGCTCAACATGGCAAAACCCTGCTTCTACTAAAAATACAAAAATTAGCCAGGTGTGGTGGCACACGCCTATAATCCCAGCTACTCAGGAGGCTGACACGGGAGAATCGCTTGACCTGAGAGGTGGAGGTTATAGTGAGCTGTGATCGTGCCATTGCACTCCAGCCTGGGTGATGGAGGGAGACTCTGTCCTAAATAAATAAATAATAGAGATGAGGTCTGCTCCGTTGCCCAAGCTGGCCTCAAGTGATCCTAACACCTCAGCTTCCCAAAATGCTGGGATTACAGGTGTGAGCCACTGCACCCAGCTGTGACTCTGTAAGTTATCAGCCTGATTATTTGTTTGTTTATTTTTGAGCAAGAGAAACCAAGTAACAAAATGTAGGTGTTTGGCTTCTCTTTAACAATTCCAAAGATTTGGCGCTACTAGCCCCTGCATTCTTTCAAGGCTATAATTGACTAGAGCTGAGCAGCTGCCTCTTAAAAGGACTAGTGCTATCTAATTTGTCCTTACCACTTTCTGTTTTCTCCCTTTACTGGGAACTAGTGTCAAGTGCCATTGATCACTGTTCTCTACTGTTATTTTTATTAGTAGCAGTACAGAAATGGTTTTCTATACCAATGGCTCTATCAAAACTGGTAAAGTAAATGATGGGCTAAGAGGATTGCATATTGCAAGAAGTAAGGGGAAGCACATTTCTTCATGGAAGTGAATAATTTTCTTATGCATTTAATGTGCAAGCACTTGGCTTACTTTACTCATTTACGTTATCTTGCTGGCTTCTAGGTGTTTGAATATGTCACCCTTGTTTTATTTTATTTTATTTAGACGGAGTTTTCGCTTTTGTTGCCCAGGCTGGAATGCAGTGGTGCAATCTCGGCTCACTGCAACCTCCGTCTCCCAGGTTCAAGCAATTTTCCTGCCCCAGCCTCCAAAGTAGCTGGGATTACAAGCACACGCCACCACGCCTGGCTAATTTTTATTTTTATTTTTAGTAGAGATGAGGTTTTGCCATGTCAGCCAGGCTGGACTTGAACTCCTGACCTCAAGTGATCTGCCCACCTTGGCCTCCCAAAGTGCTGGGATTACAGGCATGAGGCGCAATGCCTAGCTGTGACCTTTGTTTTAGAGAGACTAATTTGATAGCAGTATAAATATGAGAGTGTAGATATGGGGGAGAGAGAACAGAGAGAGATGAGCAATAATTCAGATGAAAAGTAATAGAGGACCAGGCACCGTGGCTCATGCCTGTAATCCTAGCACTTTGGGAGGCAGGAGAATTGCTTGAGGCCAGTAGTTTAAGACCAGCCTGGGCAACATAGCACGACTCCATCCTTGTAGTCTTGTCTTTTCCCCTACCATCCAGAGGTTACATGCTCCAAGTAATCTAATAATAATAAAAGAAAAGAAAAGTAATGAAGATCTGAGGCAGAGTGGTGGTAAAAGGAATGGAAAGGAGAACATGGGTGCAACAGCATTACAGAAGTGGACTTTATAGGACTTGTTTAAGTAGATATTGAGGGATGGAAGCAGACCAAGATGTATCTGAGGTTTTAAGCCTGGGTGGTGCCATCAGCCAAAATAGCTGGAAAGAGGAACCATGTTTAGTGTGAAAATGTTTTCAGTTTTGGGTTGGCTGCTTGTTGATGTAACTAGGGAACTCAGGTGACTTGTACATTGGATTCCAGAGCTCAGAGATTGATCAGAGCACAAGAAACAGATTTCGGAGTCACTTTCGTAGTGGTGTGATTGGACGCTGTGCAGGATGAGATTGCCAAGGAAGAGCTTAGAAGTAGGTAAGAGAGCCTAGGCTAAAATGTCAGGGAATGCCTGTATGGTGCACTTAATTTGTTTTTAGTAACACTTAAAGTACCTAGGTTTCCAAATGATTTATTATATAATTAATTTTAAGCAAATTGTTATTTTCCTGTGATTGTTATTCTTACTCGCACAAATGCTTTATTGAATTTAAGAGTAAATTGATATTTCCTCTTAAACTATGCTAGTTTCTAGCATAAGCCTGGGAATGCCCATAGGTATGTGCTACCCATGTAAACATCAGTTATGTGTTACAGCTGAGAAACAGTTGAGAACTGATAGTTAAGGGGGTCTGATAAGAAAGCATCTGGCATAGACATCTAAGAAGAGCAGTTAGAGATTAGAAAATCATCGGTGTAGTACAATGCCATAGCAGCCAAAGGAAATGAGCATTTCCCAAAGAGAAGGAGATCAGTAGTGTCCAAGACAATGGAGAGGTTTAGGAGGATAAGAACTGAGCAAATGCCATGGATTTGGTGGTTAGCAGAGCAGGATGACTTTGGAGCATGTAATCTCTGGATGGTAGGGCCAAAAACCAGACTACAAGGGTATATGCAAGTAAATGGTAAGGAAGAGGATGTAGTGAGTGTCAGCTACTTTTTCAAATTGTTTAGCAGTGAAGCTCCTTTGCTTTACTGAGCAAATGATATAGATGTAGCAGAATAGAGAGAGTGCTTTTGAGCTGGAAGAAATCTGAATATATTGATACATAGAGAGGAAGGTGCCAGGAGAGAGGGAGAATTTGGAAATGCAAGTGAAAGGAGATGATTGAAGAGAGGCCCTGAAGAAGTAGAAGTGTTTGGGTTCAAGGCCACAAGAGGAGGGGGTTGTCTTGGCAAGAATAGGAACACTTCTGCCTCTTGGGAAGATATTAAGATCCAGAGAAGTTTAGAAGTGAGGCAGAGAGAAAAACAAAAAACAAAAGAAGTAAGGCAGAGAGGTTGAAGCAGCTTATGTTAATGGACTTGGCCTTTAGGAAAATTGGAGTAGAGACCATTTGCTTTGAATGGGGATAGGGAAAGAACTGAGGATATGAGAAGCAGACAGATGGTTTGGAAATGTCACTGCATAAAATGCAATATAGAATTATACATGGTAATAAACGAGTTACTAAGAAGTAGTGAGGTCCTAGCTGATAGTGTGTGTGTGTGTGTGTGTGTGTGTGTGTGTGTATGTGTATATATATATATTTTTTTTTTTTGAGATGGAGTCTCACTCTGTCACCCAGGCTGGAATGCAGTGGCACAATCTCGGCTCACTGCAACCTCCGCCTCCTGGATTCAAGCAATTCTCTGCCTCAGCCTCCCGAGTAGCTGAGATTACAGGTGCCTGCCACCACGCCCGCTAATTGTTTTGTATTTTTAGTAGAGATGGGGTTTCACTATCTTGGCCAGGTTGGTCTTGAACTCCTGACCTCGTGATCACCCGCCTCGGCTTCCCAAAGTGCTGGGATTACACGCATGAGCCACCGCGCCCAGCCTGATAGTATATATATTATATGTATATAAGTTAAATGTTTTCATGCTGTAGAAGTACCAAGACTATTTTACCTCCCTTTTCTTAGGACATGAGTTTATCATTTCCCTTTGTAACCATGATCCTGAACCTTCTGGATCTTGTTTGGTTTAAATAGTTTTCTGATTGTTGCCTGAATTTCTACCTAGACTTTCAGAGTACATAGGCTGAGTTATAAATGTCATAGATCAAAAGTGGCCCACTCCTTTGACACTTCCTTGGTCCTGCCTTGAACTACCACTTAGCTTATACTCCCACATTCTAATGATTTAAGACAAATCTTAAAGACATTACATCTTCTGTTTAATTTTCAAGCCACCAGTGAAGACTATAAGCTCCTGGAAAATATGAATAAACTCACCAGCTTGAAGTATCTTGAAATGAAAGATATTGCTATAAACATTAGTAGGAACTTAAAGGACTTAAACCAGAAATGTAAGTAATAATATTTGTAATTAAACATGTTTGTATTTAATGTTCTTTTGTGCTTGGGGCCATGGAGAAGAGGAGGGAACATGACATCCTTGTCTTGTGGGAGCTTGTTTTCTAAAAATGAATTCCAAATTTAAGATGAATTTCTTCCATTCTGAGGATTAGCATGTTTTGTTTGTATGGGTATTTTTGCTTCTAAATCTTGATTTTATCAGTTTATTCCTGGAATGGGAGGGGGCAAAGGAAGGGTGGCCAGATTCTAATGAATTGATTTACAAATCCATAAAGGATTACTCTATAAGCAGAAAACCAAAAACTCTATAATGGAAAACACTAATTTAGAGTAGTCGAATATATTTTTTCCATTGACTTATTATTTTTGTGTTTCTTTTCTCTAGGGTGCTCTTTCTTGGTATGGGAGTACCCAAGAAACAGAATCAGTAATGGAAAGATTGCTCAAGGAGCAAGAAATTAAAAAGAATGGAAAATTAGTAGATGAGAGACACTAAGTCTGGGCCACAGTCGTGCCTGATCAACTAGCTACTGTCTTCTAAAGCATCTGCCCTGCTAGTGCTCAGAATCATGTCACGCCACCTAATCTGTCTTAGCATAGCTGGAGAGACACTAGCATTATTACTTTTCCACTCTTTTCCTATATTCTTTGTTAATAAAGCCATATAAACATGAAGTTTTTCTTTGTTTTTAAAGATGCTGGACTGCAGCCTTATCTGGATCAGATCAATGTCATTGAAGAGCAGGTAGCAGCTCTTGAGCAGGCAGCTTACAAGTTGGATGCATATTCAAAAAAACTGGGTAACCGTTTTTACTTCTGTTTTGATGTAATAAAGACTGCTTCTTGCCAGCATATTCTTAGTAAACATAATAGTTAACATTTATGGTGTGCCTACAGTGATCTATTAATCTTCACAAAACCTTAGTAATTTATTATTATATTAATAAAAATAACATTTCCTGATTACTTAATGATATATCAGGCACTGTTCTTAGTGCTTTACATGTATTATGTTTGGTTTTTGTTTTTGGTTTGTTTTTTTTGAGACAAGTTTCACTCTTGTTGCCCAAGCTGGAGTGCAATGGTGCGATCTCGGCTCACCGCAACCTCCGCCTCCTGGGTCTGGGTTCAAGCGATTCTCCTGCCTCAGCCCCCCGAGTAGCTGGGATTACAGGCGCGCCACCACGCCTGGCTAATTTTGTATTTTTAGTAGAGACAGGGTCTCTCATGTTGGTCAGGCTGGTCTCGATCTCCCAACCTCAAGTGATCTGCCCACCTCGGCCTGGCCTGTATTATGTTTTTTATCTTCCCAATAATCTGTGAGGTAAGTACATGATTTTTTTTTGTACTTTTAGTAGAGACGAGGTTTCACCATGTTGGCCAGGCTGGTCTTGAACTCCTGACCTCGTGATCCGCCCGCCTCAGCCTCCCAAAGTGCTGGGATTATAGGTGTGAGCCACCACATCTGGTTCAAGTACATGATTTTTATCCTCATTTTGTAGGCAAGGAAACTGGTTTAAGGGGATAAGTAAGTTGCTTAAGGACACTAAGCCAGTACAGGGAAGAGCCATATTTCTAAGCAGGTCTGTTTGCTTACAAAGCTCAAGTTCTTATTTGTAGTTGAGAAAGCAGAAGCACCTTTAATAATGTAGATAAATATGTCTTAAATGAATAGTCAGTTGAGGATTTTCTTGAAAGATCACTTTTCCTTTGAGGAAGAAACTAGTATTTTTAGTACTAGTGGTTTGCTAACTGGCTCTGGCTCTTACATACATGGTTAAAAGTAAAGAATTTAGTGGGTTTTTTGTTGTTGTTGTTTTGTTTTTTTTTTCTATAAGAGATGAGGTCTTGCTGTGTCACCCAGGCTAGGGTGCAATGACGTGATCATAGCTCGCTGTAGCCTTGAACTCCTGGGCTCTAGTGATCCTCCTTCCTCAGCCTCCTGAGTACCTGGGACTACAGGTGTGCACCATCACATCCAGCTACTTTAAAAAAATTGTTTTTGAAACAAGGCCTTGCTGTGTTGCCCAGGCTGGTCTCGAACTCATGGCCTTAAGCAATCCTCCCACCTCAGCCTCTCAAGTAGCTGGAATCACAGGCCTTTTTTTTTTTTTATTGATCATTCTTGGGTGTTTCTCACAGAGGGGGATTTGGCAGGGTCATAGGACACTAGTGGAGGGAAGGTCAGCAGACAAACAAGTGAACAAAGGTCTCTGGTTTTCCTAGGCAGAGTGTTTGTGTCCCTGGGTACTTGAGATTAGGGAGTGGTAATGACTCTTAACGAGCATGCTGCCTTCAAGCATCTGTTTAACAAAGCACATCTTGCACCGCCCTTAATCCATTTAACCCTGAGTGGACACAGCACATGTTTCAGAGAGCACAGGGTTGGGGGTAAGGTCATAGATCAACAGGATCCCAAGGCAGAAGAATTTTTCTTAGTACAGAACAAAATGAAAAGTCTCCCATGTCTACTTCTTTCTACACAGACACGGCAACCATCCGATTTCTCAATCTTTTCCCCACCTTGCCCCCTTTTCTATTCCAGAAAACCGCCATCGTCATCATGGCCCATTCTCAATGAGCTGTTGGGTACACCTCCCAGACGGGGTGGTGGCCGGGCAGAGGGGCTCCTCACTTCCCAGTAGGGGCGGCCGGGCAGAGGCGCCCCTCAGCTCCTGGACCGGGTGGCTGGCCAGGCGGGGGGCTGACCCCCCCACCTCCCTCCCGGACGGGGCGGCTGGCCGGGTAGGGGGCTGACCCCCCCACCTCCCTCCCAGACGGGGTGGCTGGCCGGGAGGGGGCGCTGACCGCCCCCCCACCTCCCTCCCGGACGGAGCGGCTGGCCCGGCGGGGGGCTGAGCCCCCCACCTCCCTCCCGGACGGGGCGGCTGGCCGGGCGGGGGGCTGATTCCCTCACCTCCCTCCCGGACAGGGCGGCTGGCCGGGCAGAGGGGCTCCTCACTTCCCAGTAGGGGCGGCCGGGCAGAGGCGCCCCTCACCTCCCGGACGGGGCGGCTGGCCAGGCGGGGGGCTGACCCCCCCACCTCCCTCCCGGACGGGGCGGCTGGCCGGGCGGGGGGCTGACTCCCCCACCTCCCTCCCGGACGGGGCGGCTGGCCGGGCAGAGGGGCTCCTCACTTCCCAGTAGGGGCGGCCAGGCAGAGGCGCCCCTCACCTCCCGGACGGGGCGGCTGGCCGGGCGGGGGGCTGAGCCCCCCACCTCCCTCCCGGACGGGGCGGCTGGCCGGGCGGGGGGGCTGAGCCCCCCACCTCCCTCCTGGACGGGGTGGCTGGCTGGGCAGGGGGGCTGACCCCCTCCCACCTCCCTCCCGGACGGAGCGGCTGGCCGGGCGGGGGGCTGACCCCCCCACCTCCCTCCCGGACGGGACAGCTGGCCAGGCGGGGGGCTGACCCCCCCACCTCCCTCCCGGACGGGACGGCTGGCCGGGCGGGGGGCTGACCCCCCCACCTCCCTCCCGGACGGGGTGGCTGGCTGGGCAGAGGGGCTCCTCACTTCCCAGTAGGGGCGGCCGGGCAGAGGCGCCCCTCACCTCCCGGACGGGGCGGCTGGCCGGGCGGGGGGCTGACCCCCACCTCCCTCCCGGCCGGGGTGGCTGCCGGGCGGAGACGCTCCTCACTTCCCAGACGGGGTGGCAGCCAGGCGGAGGGGCTCCTCACTTCTCAGACGGGGCGGTTACCAGGCGGAGGGTCTCCTCACTTCTCAGACGGGGCGGCCGGGCAGAGACGCTCCTCACCTCCCAGATGGGGCGGCGGGGCACAGGCGCTCCCCACATCTCAGACGGTGGGCTGCCGGGCAGAGACGCTCCTCACTTCCTAGATGGGATGGCGGCCGGGAGGAGGCGCTCCTCACTTCCCAGGTGGGATGGCGGCCGGGCAGAGACGCTCCTCACTTTCCAGACTGGGCAGCCAGGCAGAGGGGCTCCTCACATCCCAGACGATGGGCAGCCAGGCAGAGACACTCCTCACTTCCCAGACGGGGTGGCGGCCAGGCAGAGGCTGCAATCTCCGCACTTTGGGGGGGCCAAGGCAGGCGGCTGGGAGGTGGAGGCCATAGCGAGCCGAGATCACGCCACTGCACTCCAGCCTGGGCACCATTGAGCACTGAGTGAATGAGACTCCGTCTGCAATCCCGGCACCTCGGGAGGCCGAGGCTGGCGGATCACTCGCGGCTAGGAGCTGGAGACCAGTCCGGCCAACACAGCGAAACCCCGTCCCCACCAAAAAAACACGAAAACCAGTCAGGCGTGGCGGCGCGCGCCTGCAATCGCAGGCACTCGGCAGGCTGAGGCAGGAGAATCAGGCAGGGAGGCTGCAGCGAGCCGAGATGGCAGCAGTACAGTCCAGCTTTGGCCCGGCTTGAGAGGGAGACCGTGGAAAGGAGAGGGAGAGGGAGACGGGAGAGGGAGAGGGAGAGGGAGACGGGAGAGGGAGAGGGAGACGGGAGAGGGAGAGGGAGACGGGAGAGGGAGAGGGAGACGGGAGAGGGAGAGGGAGACGGGAGAGGGAGAGGGAGACGGGAGAGGGAGACGGGAGAGGGAGACGGGAGAGGGAGACGGGAGAGGGAGACGGGAGAGAGAGAGGGAGACGGGAGAGGGAGATGGAGAGGGAGACGGGCCTGAGTTTGTTTTTGTCCTTATAACATTTACAGATTATTTTATTTTCATCATTTAACAAGGGCTGACTACTTCAAGAAAGTAGTTTGTAGTAGGCTGGGATTTGATATGGGTGGCGATTAACAATCAGTTTTATTTTCTACAGTTACATTTAGCCAGTGATTACCGTGAACCTTACCGCGTAGAAGGCAGGGGTAACCTTACCATGTAGAAAGTATCTTGGTTCACAGTAACCATTTGTGACAGAGTCCCTTTTTCTGTTAAAATTGTGAAACCAGGTGCTTTCATGGTTTTAATAGAAAAACGGAATGTCAGAGTAAGAGGCTTATTTGATGGCCTTTTAAATATCTGTATCTTTCAAAATTGCTTTCCTGGAGTAAGGTGTAAGGATAAGAACATACAGGAGGAAACATACATTTATACTTCCTGAGGGTTCCAGTCTGGTTCCAGAGGGCACCTGGGACAGTGCTGAGAGAGGCAGTTTTTTAGTAAGGCTCCCGATAGGTCAAGTGACAGATGTGCCCCATCCTGGTGGAGCTGTCTAAGTAGGTGCTGTTGACAGGGTGAGGACTTCGTGAACCTGTGTTAGGCTCTCAGTTCTGAGTGTCTGTGCTTGAATTCTTATTCCAAGTTTTACAGATCAGTGATCCGTATATTTGGACAGATGATGAGATTGAAGCTAATAGATTTTTAGTAATATTATACATATTTTTTAAACTTGACTGGAAATGCTAACTAAAAACTGTCTTTGTAAGAGCCAGTTTTAAAAGATGTAACTCTCCCTCATCCCTCACAGAAGCCAAGTACAAGAAGCTGGAGAAGCGATGAGAAACTTATTTCTATGGGACAGAGTCTTTTTTTTTTAATGTGGAAGAATGTCTTATAAAACCTGAATCCTGAGGCTGATGAATTGTGAAAATTCCTCAAAAGGAAATTATGCTGGTCATCACAGGAACATCTCAACGTTCGAGTAAACTGGAGGACTGTGGCTATTCCTGAACCTTCTTTGAGACAGAATCCCTCAGAATCTCACACTTATAACTTCCTACCTTTTACTTGAATGCTTTGCCATATTCAGGACAGAGACTCTCACAAAGTTCAGAAAACAGCTGGACTTACCAGTAAAATCAAATGAGAGGACCTATTTTCTCTGGTAGTGGTTGATTACTACATTATTTTCTTAAGTGGCTGGTTTTTTAGTTACTATGTAAATGGTCGTTTTTCTGTTAATGATGCTAATGTGTTGTAAACAAGATTCTAAATTTAAAAAGGAAAACAAAACAAACTTGTTCTTTGCAGCTTATCACCTTGTGAATGTCGGTAACTTACTTTTCCATAATATTGCAAATAACATAAAATCTTAAAATAATTCCAAGCTGAGTCTTCTAGATTGAGCAGAAATGGTGAAAGGAGTATTGATAACTTGGCGTATGTGATGGGCCCCTCTTGTTTATTTTCTATGTGAGTCACATTGACATGCGATCAGTTTGGGAAATGTGATGAAAACAAAGACTAGATGGGTATGTGTGTTTATGTGTTGGGTAGGGAGGTGACGATTGCCACTCATAAAATAAAGGATTTTATAAAATACCTTCCTACTGTGTATGTAGGATTTGGGGGGATCTTAGGGACCTAATCGACTTCTTTGCACACTAAAAACATCAGACAATGGGACATACTGACTGACCAGTCTAGGTTGAAAGATAGGCAGCCTTACCCAGAACACAACATTAGCAGCTGGGAAGGTGTCTGAGGTCCCCAATTACATATCCCAAAGAGTTTCTTACTTCTGTTTCTGTCATTTCCCCTCTGTTCCAGACAGTCATCATTTATCCTCTGTTCTTCCTGGACTGTTGCTGTGGTCTCTTCTCATCTTAACTGTCCCTTCCAACCACCCTCCACACTGCTGCCAGAGCAATCTTAAAAATGTAAACTGGCCCTATTACTCCTGCTTAGAACCCTGTAGTGACTTATCATGGCCTCTGAAAAATCTAGACTTTCATTATGCATACAAGTCCCTTGTGTTTTTTTGTTTGTTTATAGACAGGGTCTCTATTGTCACCCAGGCTGGAGTGTGGTGGTGTGATAATAGCTCACCTTGACCTCCTAGGCTCAACTGATCTTCCCACCTCAGCCTCCTGAATAGCTGGGACTACCAGCACGCTCCACCATGCCTTGCTAATTATTTTTTATACAGATGGAGTCTCACTATGTTGTCCAGGCTGGTCTTGAACTGGCCTCAAGTGATTCTCTTACCACAGCCTGCCAGAGTGCTGAGATTGTAGGCATGAACCACCGTGCCTAACATAAGGCCCCTATTTAAACATTTTTCTTAAATAAAAAACAAAAGAATTAAACTGTAACTCTACTATCTTAACATAGAATCAGTCTTACCCCTTCTTCCAACCCTTTTCCTTTTCCGTGCATGTATTGATCTATTTTTTTTTTTTTTTTGAGATGAAGTCTTGCTCTGTCGCCTGGGCTGGAGTGCAGTGGTGCGATCTTAGCTCACTGCAACCTCTGTTTCCTGGGTTCAAGCGATTCTCCTGCCTCAGCCTCCCGAGTAGTTGAGATTTACAGGTGCCCACCACCATGCCAGGCTAATTTTTGTATTTTTAGTAGAGACGGGGTTTCACCATGTTGGCCAGGCTGGTCTCGAACTCCTGACCCCAAATGATCCACCCACCTCGGCCTCCCAAAGTGCTGGGATTACAGGTGTGAGCCACCGCACCCAGCCATGTTGATCTATTTTTAAAAAGTTTTTATTTCCTGTTACACTGTGTTCAGCTATCTTCAGCCACCTTAAATTCCCATGGATGAGTTTTCATAAACTTTTTGAAAATAGATTTAGATTTACGGGAAAGTTGCAAAGATAATACAGAATTTAATGGATGAGTTTTTTTATTGATGTGTAATAGATGTATGTATTTTCAGAGTACAAGTGATAATTTAATACATGTATATAATGTGTAAATATTAAATCAAGAGTTATTGGGATGTCCTTCACCTTAATATTTATCTTGTCTTTATGCTAGGAACATTATTTGAATTATTCTCTTTTACCTATTTTGAAATGTACAATAGATTAACATTAGCTATAGTTACTCTACTGATCTATCATAGGTCTTATTTCTTCTGTATTTGTGTCCACTAATCAAACTCTTCATCCTCACGTCCCCACCACCTTTCCTGGCCTCTGGTAACCACCAATCTACCTCCATCTCCATGAGATCCACTTTTTTAGCTCCCACATGTGAGTGAGAACATGTAATATTTGTCTTTTCTGTGCTTGGCTTAGTTCAGTTAACACAATCACCTCCAGTTTCATCCATGTTGCTGAGAATGACAGAATTTCATTCCTTTTATGGCTGAACAATATTCCATTGTGTATATATACCACATTTTCTTTACCCATTCATCCATTGATGGACACTTAGGTTGATTCCATATTTTAGCTATTGTGAATAGTGCTGCAATAAACATGAGAGTGCATATATCTCTTTGATATATTGATTTCCTTTCTTTTGGATACATACCCAGTAGTGGAATTTGCTGGATCATATTGTAGTTCTATTTTTAGTTTTTGGAGGAAACTATACAATTTTCCATAGTGGCTGTACTAATTTACATTCCCACCAACTGTGTACAAGAGTTCCTCTTTCTCTGCATCCTTGCCAGCATCTGTTAATTCCTGTCGTCTTGATAGGAAATTTTAAGTGGGATGAGGTGATATCTTGTTGTGGCTTTGATTTGCATTTCTCTGATGATTGGTGATGTTGAGCATTTTTTCTTATAGCTGTTGGCCATTTGTATGTCTTGAGAAATGTCTATTTTGATCTTTTGCTCCCCCCGCTTTGTTTTTTTAAGAGATGAGTTCTCATTATGTTGCCCATGCTGGAATCAAACTGGGCTCAAACAGTCCTCCTGGGACTGGGCATAGTGGCTGAGGCCTGTAATCCCAGCACTTTGGGAGGCTGAGTAGGTGGACCATCTGAGGTCAGGAGTTCAAGGCCAGCCTGGCCAACATAGTGAAACCCTATCTCTACTAAAACTACAAAAAATTAGCCAGGCATGGTGGTGAGCACCTGTAATCCCAGCTACTTGGGAGGCTGAGGCAGGAGAATCACCTGGACCCCAGAGGTGGAAGTTGCAGTGAGCTGAGACTGTGCCACTGCACTCCAACCTGGGTGACAGAGTGAGACTCCATCTCCCCACCCCCTCCCCCTCCCCCAAAAAAACCCTCCTGCTTCAGCCTCCTGAGTAGCTGGGACTACAGGCAAGCACCACCACATATGGCTTTGCCCATTTTTAGACAGGATTTTTTGTGGGTTTTTTTCGCTATTGAGTTGTTTGAGCTCCTTGTTATATTTATTCTGGTTATTAATCTCTTGTCAGATGGATAGTTTGCAAATATTTTCTTCCATTCTGTGGGTTGCCTCTTCACTTTGTTGATTGTTTCCTTTGCTGTGCAGAGCTTTTTAGTTTGATATAATCCTATTAGTCTATTTTTGCTTTTGTTGCCTGTGCTTTTGAAGTCTTATACAAAAAATTTTTGCCCAGATCAATATCTTGGAACATTTCTCCAGTATTTTCTTCTGGTAGCTTCATAGTTTCATGTGTTAGGTTTAAGTCTTTATCCATTTTGATGCGATTTTTGTATATGGTGAGAGATAGAGTTGAGTTTCATTCTTCAGTATAGGGCTATCCAGTTCTCCAAGAATCATTTATTGAAGAGACTGTCCTTTCCTCATTGAATGTTCTTGGCACCTTTGTACTTTTGGTATTGACATAAAATGAGTTGGCTGTAAATGCATGGATTTATATATGTTCCATTGGTCTATGTGTCTATTTTTATGTCAGTACCATACTGATTGGGTTACCATAGCTTTGTAGTAGATTTTGAGGTTGGGCAGTATGATGCCTTCAGCTTTGTGCTTTTTGCTCAGGATTGCTTTGGCTCTTTGGGGTCTTTTGTGGTTCCATATAGATTTTAGGATTGTTTTTTCTATTTCTATTTCTGTAGAGCAGCAGTCCCTAATCTTTTTGGCACCAGGGACCGCTTTTATGGAAGACAATTTTTCCGTGGACGCGGGGGGATTTTTTTTTTTAATGGTATGAACCATATTTATTGAAAACATTATTTCTGGCCTTTCTCAAATTGAAGACTGCAAAAAATAAAAGCAGTGCTTTATTGAGTTGTCATTAACCTTGAGAGCAGTGGCGCTGCCTCTCCACGCTCTGGGGACGGTGGAAACCGTGGCTGGTGCGTGCCACATCTATCACACCTCGGTCTACAAAACAGTCCTGACGTCAAATAAAACTATTGTGGCCGGGCGCGGTGGCTCACGTCTGTAATCCCAGCACTTTGGGATGCCGAGGCGGGCGGATCACGAGGTCAAGGAAATCGAGACCATCCTGGCTAACACGGTGAAAACTCGTCTCTACTAAAAATACAAAAACAAAATTAGCCAGGCATGGTGGCGGGTGCCTGTAGTCCCAGCTACTCTGGAGGCTGAGGCAGGAGAATGGCGTGAACCCGGGAGGCGGAGCTTGCAGTGAGCGTAGATCGCGCCACTGCACTGCAGCCTGGGCGACAGAGCGAGACTCAGTCTCAAACAAAAACAAAAACAAAACAAAACAAAACAAAAAAAACAAACGCTCGTACATGACATTTACATTAGAAAAAGAGAGCTGAAAGTAGGGATGGGGGGATGGTTTGGGGATGAAACTGTTCCACCTCAGATCATCAGGCATCAGATTCTTGTAAGGTACGCAGCGCCGTAGAACCCTCGCATGTGCAGTTCACAATAGGGTTCCAGCCTCTGTAAGAATCTGATGCCACCACTAATCTGATAGGAAGTGAGCTCAGGCGGTTATTCTCACTTGCCCACCGCTCGCCTCCTGCTGTGCGTCCTGGTTTCTGATGGGTACTGGTCCATAGCCCGGGGGTTGGGGATCCTTGCTCTATCTAGAGAATGCCATTTGTATTTTGATGGGGATTGGACTGAATCTGTAAATTGCTTTAGGTAGTGTTGTCTTTTTTCTTTCTTTCTTTTTTTTTTTTTTGAGACGGAGTCTCGCTCTGTTGCCCAGGCTAGAGGCTGGAGTGCAGTGGCTGGATCTCCGCTCACTGCAAGCTCTGCCTCGCGGGTTCATGCCATTCTGCTGCCTCAGCCTTCCGAGTACCTGGGACTACAGGCGCCCGCTACCACGCCTGGCTAATTTTTTTGTATTTTTAGGAGAGACGGGGTTTCACCGTGTTAGCCAGGAAGGTCTCGATCTCCTGACCTCGTGATCTGCCCGCCTAATTCTTCTAATCCATAAGCGTGGAATATCTTTCCTTTTTGTGTGTGTGTCCTCTTTCATCAGTATTGTATAGTTTTCCTTGTATAGATCTTTCATTTCTTTAGTTAAATTGATTCCTACGTAGTTTATATTCTTTGTAGCTGTTGTAAATGAGATTGCTTTTTTGATTTCTTTTTCAGATTGTTTACTGTTGGTGCATATAAATGCTACTGATTTTTGTATGTTGATTTGGTATCCTGAAACTTTTACTGAATTCGTTTATTATTTCTAACAGTCTTTTTCGTGGAGTCTTTTGATTTTTCAATACGATGAGTTTTTATGTCTTACTTTTGTATCCTCTTCTGGGAATTATTACCTGCTCATGTTTGGCAAACTTCTACTCTTCTTCAAGATTCAGTCTTGAGTGCTACTCCTGGGCAGTGCTGTATTATCCAAAGAGTAGGAAAAAATGCATGCTTATGTGCCAGCAAAGCAGAGCCACCAGTTATGAGGCAAGAAACAAACAAAAAAGAAGGCTTGTAGGCTGTGGGAAAAGCCAGAACTTTGTAGTTTTGTTTGGTTATTGAGACAGGGCTTGCTGTGTCACCCAGGCTGGAGTGCAGTGGCAAGGTAATAGCTCGCTGAAGCCTCCATCTCCTGGGCTCAAGTGATCTCCCCACCTCAGCCTCTGGAGTACCTGGGAGTACAGGCATACGGCCACCATGCCCAGCTAACTTTTTTTTTTTTCTTTTTAAATTTGTAGTAGAGACGAGGTCTGGCTATGTTGCCCAGGTTGGCCTTGAACTCCTGTTCTCAAGTGAACCTCCCGCCTCAGCCTCCCAAAGTGCTGGGATTACAGGCATGAGCCACTGTGCCTGGCCTGTAGTTCTTCTTTAATCTTATGTTTTATTAATTTTGAATTATTTAGATGCCCTTGATGAGTCTTCCTTTCCCCGCAGTCGTCAGGAACTCTCTCTTGTTTCCATTTCCTTACACACTTGTTTCCTACCACTTGGCCTGAACCCTTCAAAAAAGTCAATATTACAAAAACTAAAACCAAATAGGTAGGAGGGCTTTTGTAGATTAAAATAGAGACAGAACCAAATGCAAGTGTGAAACTTGATTGCATCTGAATCAAAACAAGCCCCAAATATAAAATCAGTTTGTAGGGAAATATGGAGAACTTTAAATATGGATGTATATTAGGTAATATTATTGAATAATTAATGTTAATTTTCTTAGCTGTGTTAATAGTATTACGGTTATGTAGGAGGATATCCTAATCTTAGGAGATAAATGGAGATGTATTCCTGTTGTCCGCACTTTATTTTATTTTATTTTTTGACACGGAGTCTCGCTCTGTCGCCCAGGCTGGAGTGAAGTGGCGCGATCTCGGCTCACTGCAACTTCCTCCTCCTGGGTTCAAGCGATTCCCCTGCCTCAGCCTCCCGAGTAACTGGGACTGCAGGTGCGTGCCACCACGCCCGGCTAATTTTTTGTATTTTTAGTAGAGAGGGGGTTTCACCGTGTTAGCCAGGATGGTCTGGATCTCCCAAAGTGCTGGGATTACAGGCGTGAGCCACTGCGCCCGGCCTGTACTTTACTTTCAAATGATTGAGTGAGAATGGAAGGGCTTGGGCACTTTGAGAGAAAGAGAACACAAGCAAATTTGCCAACATGCTGAGACTTACTGAATCAAGGTAATAGCCATTATTCTTTTAACTTTTTTTTTTTTAATTTGAGACGGAGTTTCGCTCTTGTTGTCCAGGCTGGAGTGCAATGGCGCGATCTTGACTCACTGCAACCCCCGCCTCCCTGGTTGAAGCAATTCTCCACCATGCCCGGCTAATTTTTGTATTTTTAGAAGAGACGGGGTTTCACCATGTTGCCCAGGCTGGTCTTGAACGCCCGACCTCAAGTGATCCGCCCGCCTCAGCCTTCCAAAGTGCTGGGATTATAGGCGTGAGCGTCCACGCCCGGCCTCTTAACTTTTTGATAGGTTAAAAACTTACAAAAAACGTGGATAGAGGGGGTCTGTCTTGCCCACTAGACCGATATGGTTAGGTTAGGTTAGGTTAGGTTAGGTTAGGTTAGAACCCGACATTGTGCTCTGTACTTCCTAGCCATTCATTCGCTTCAAGTGCTCTGAAATTTAATTTAAAAAATCATAGTTGGAATCCTTTCGGTCACTTTCTCTTTCTCCCTTCGTTCCTCCCTTTCCCTCTTGATTCTTCCTTGAGGCGCAAACACCTGAGAGAGGCTTCTGTCCCTCGGCGGTCTCCGTAAGTAAGTGAACCGTTATTGGCTGGAGGGCGCTGACGTCTGATTGTTGCGCGGTCGCATTTTTCCGGGGAGCGCGGATTCGCATTCCCAATTTTAGGTGGCAGTCGCAACCCATACTATTCGGACAGATGGCACAGAAACCGCTGCGCCTGTGAGTGACCGTGAATGGAAGCCTCTCTCCCTGTGTCTCTTTCGTGTGTGTAGGTGACGACACGGGCGGGAGTCTTTCCCATGACGGGAAGGGAGAAGGAAAAGGCGGAGAGACACGGGGCTGCTGGGGAGCTTAGGTGATGTCTTTGCCTGGCCGGGGCTGACCTCTTTTCCTGGCCCTTTTCGCTTCTGAGGGGGTTTCTCTTGGCGACGCTCGTTCGGAGAGGCGGAAGCTCCCAGAGTTAGGCCTCCTCCATCTTAGGGGGCAGTCCTGGCCTCTGACACATCCTTTCCCCTTCGTTTCTCCTGACCCCATTTATTTACTCGCCAAATAGCCATTGGGCCCACTGATGGGCCCTGGGCAGTGGTGGACAGAGTAGATAGGGACCCTTCCCTGGGGCATTTTTTTTTTTTTTTTTTTTTTGCGAGGAGGAGGGGTGGGGGTGGTGGTGAAGAGAGGGCTTCATGCAGCAAGTATTTATTGAAGAACTGCAGTGTGCCGGACGCTGTGCTAGGTGTTGCAACAGATGGAGTTCCTGCTTTAATGGAGCGTAGAGTCTAGAGGAACAGGTACTAAAGAATCCAGATAATGGGCCGGGCGCGGTGGCTGAGGCAGGAGAATCGCTTGAACCCGGGAGGCGGAGGTTGCTGTGAGCCGAGATCGCGCCACTGCACTCCAGCCTGGGCGACAGAACGAGACTCTCAAAACAAAACAAAACAAAACAAAACAAACAAAAAACAATACAAATAATGGCCGGGCGCGGTGGCTCACGCCTGTAATCCTAGCACTTTGGGAGGCTGAGGCGGGCGGATCACTTGCGGTCAGGAGTTCGAGACCAGCCTGGCCAACGTGGTGACACCCCGTCTCTACTAATACAAAAAAAAAAAATTAGCCAGGCGTGGTGGCGCGTGCCTGTAATCCCAGCTACTTGGGAGGCTGAGGCAGGAGAATCGCTTGAACCCGGAGGCGGAGGTTGCACAGTGAGCCGACACTGCACCTCTGCACTCCAGCCTAGGTAACAGAGTGAGACTCCGTCTAAAAAAAAAGGAATTCAGATAAATGTAAAGTTACCATAGTGATAGGGCCAGGCGCAGTGGCTCACGCCTATAATCCCAGCGACTCCGGAGGCCAAGGCAAGAGAATCACTTGAGTCCAGGAATTCAAGACCAGCCTGGGCAATATAGCAAGGCCCCGTTTCTACAAAAAATACAGAAAAAAAAAAAAATTAGCCGGGCGTGGTGGTCCCAGCTAATTGGGAGGCTGAAGCAGGTGGACCACCTGAGCCTGGGGAGGTCGATGCTGCAGTGAGCTGTGATCGTGCTGCTGATCTCCAGGCTGGGTGACAGATTGAAACCCTGTCTCAAAAAAAAAAAAAAAAAAATTGCAATAGTGGTAACTTTTGGGAAGAAAATATTCGTGAATCTGGGAGAGTGCATAAGAGGGGTATTTGGCTTAATGATAGGAGTCAAGAAGGCTTCCCGAGAATGTTAGGATTGAGCCTTGGGAAATAAGAGTAATCCATTGCTTAACAGCAGGGTTATGTTCTGAGAAATGAGTTGGTAGGCGATTTCGTCATTGTGCGAACATCTTTGAGTGTACTTCCAGAGACCTAGATGGTATGGCTTCCTGTACACCTAGGCTAAATGGTATAGCTGTACGTCAAGTTACTGTACTGAATACTGTAGGCAATTGTAACACAATGGTAAGCATTTTTGTATTTAAATATAGAAAGGGTACAGTGAAAACACCTGGCCGGGTGTGGTGGCTTATGCCTGTAATCCCAACACTTTGGGAGGCCGAGGTGGGTGGATCACCTGAGGTCAGAAGTTCAAGACCAGCCTGGCCAACATGGTGAAACCCTGTGTCTACTAAACATACAAAAATTAGCCGGGTGTGGTAGCGGGCGCCTGTAATCCCAGCTACTCAAGAGGTTGAGGCAGGAGAATGGCTTGAGCCTGGGAGGCAGAGGTTGCAGTGAGCCGAGATCGCACCACTGCACTCCAGCCTGGGCGACAGAGCGAGACTGTCTCAAAAAAAAAAAAAAAGAAAAAGAAAAAAAGAAAATACTGTATACAGGAAAAAAAAAAAGGGCACAACCTGTGTAGGACACTTATCATGAATGGAGTTTGCAGAACTGAAAGTTTCTCTGAGTGAGTTAGTAAGAGGTGAGTGAATGTATTACTTTACAGTATTGTAGACTTTATGAATACTGTACACTTCACCTATATTAAATTTATTAAAATATTATTTTCAACAGTAAACCTTAGTTTACTGTAACTTTTACTTTATAAACTTTAAGTTTTTTTACACTTTTTGACTCTTGTTATAACACAGCTAAGACATAAAACACATTGTACAGCTGTACAAAAATATTTTCTTTATATCCTTATTCTACAAGCTTTTTTCTATTACTTTTTTTTTCTTTTTACCTTTTAAACTTTTTTTTTTTTTGGAGACAGGGTCTCACTGTCGCCCAGGCTGGAGTGCAATTGTGCAATCACGGCTCACTGCAACCTCAACCTCCTGGGCTCAAGTGATTCTCCCACTTCAGCCTCCTGAGTAGCTGGGACTACAGGCGGAAGCTACCACACCTGGCTAATTTCTGTATTTTTTGTAGAGAGGGGGTTTTGCTATGTTACCCAGGCTGGTCTTGAACTCCTGGGCTCAAGTTACCCTCCTGCCTCAGCCTCCCAAAGTGCTGGGATTACAGACGTGAGCCACTGTGCCTGGCTTTAAACTTGTTTTGTTGCAAACTAAGACACACACACGAGTCTAGGCCTACACAGGGTCAGGATCATCAGTATCACTGCTGTTCACCTCCATATCTTGTCCCACTGGAAGGGCTTCAGTAGTAATAACATGCATGAAGCTGTCATCTCCTATGATAACAGTGCCCTCTGGAATACTTCCTGAAGGACCTGCCTGAGGCTTTTTTACAGTCAACTTTTTTTTTTTTTTTTTGAATACGTAGGAGTGTACTCTAAACAGTAAAGAGCATACCATACTGAATATATTTTTTTTTTTTTGAGATGGAGTCTTGCTCTGTTGCCCAGGCTGGAGTGCAGTGCCGCGATCTCAGCTCACTGCAAGCTCTGCCTCGTGGGTTCATGCTATTCTCCCGCCTCAGCCTCCTGAGTAGCTGGGACTACAGGCGCCCGCCACCACGCCCGGCTAATTTTTTGTATTTTTAGTAGAGATGAGGTTTCACTGTGTTAACCAGGATGGTCTCGAGCTCCTGACCTTGTGATCCGCTCGCCTTGGCCTCCCAAAGTGCTGGGATTACAGGCGTAAGCCACCGCACCTGGCCATAGCATGCTAAATATTATACATAAACCAGTAACATAGTTGTTTATTATCATTATCAAATATTGTATACTGTACATAACTGTATGTGCTACACTTTTTATAACCACCAGCCCAGTAGGTTTATACCAGCATTACCACAAACAAATGAGTAATATATTGCACTATGATGTTACAAATGGCTAGACATCACTAGGCGATAGGAATTTTTTAGTTCCATTATAATCTTATGGGACCACCATTACATATGTGGTCCCTTGTTGACCGAAACATTGTTATGTGGCACGTAACTGTATTCTTGTCTTTAACCTAAAAAGGTTATTGAAATGCTTAAGAACGCTTTGGCATGATCAAATTTTCATTTTGGAAAGCAGTTCTGTCTGCAATGTGGAGAACAAATCAGAGCCAAAGTAGAGAACAGCTGGGATTAGGTAGAGTGATGACAGAGGAATAGTTTAGGGATTCAGGGTTTATTAAGGAAGTAAAATCAACAAGGCTTGTGATGGTTTAATTGTGAGTGAAAAGGAGCTGGCCTTGTTGGGTCATAGATTTCTATCTTTATTCAGTGGGATAGAGAACAGTGGAAAAGGGCCCAGATGAGGAGATGAGGCACCTGGTGATGTATAAACTGGACAGTGGATCTCCCAGAGACAATGGTAATTCCGTGTGACAACTGCTGTGATGGAAGAAATGCAGGCTCCTATGGGAACACTAGAAATTGGTAACTGATAGGTACTAGAAGGCTTCCTAGAGGAGGTGGTGCTCAAAATATAAATAAAAGTCATATTAGTTTATGACAAAGCTTTCTCTGAAATGCTGTAATGTGGTTTTCTGAGTTTTTGAGAAGGTAATGACTTCTGAGCCAGCCAGGAAGGCTTCAGAAATGTGCTAAACCTTGAAGGATGGGAAAAACTTGGATTTAGGATGGGTAGGGTGGAACTACCCTAGGGAATGACAGAGGCAGAGAGTAATCAAATTGCCAGTTCAGTTAAGAAAACTTGGAGAAAGTACTAGAAAGGTGACAGGTCAGGGCCTGTGGAAAGCTGTGGTTCTATAGGCAGTGGGGAACCTCTTAATGTTTTGAGGAAAGAACATTAAACTGACTACTTTCTGTAGGATGGACAGGAGGAAGAGAAGGCATTAGAGGAAACATAAATGTATTCTCTACTTTGAATCTAACACTAGATGCATTGTATTTTTGTCTGATTCTTCCTCTGCCATAGGAAGGGGGTGAGGTGGGGTGGAGTGGAGTGGAGGTTGCAGTGAGCCAAGGTCGTGCCACTGCACTTTAGCCTGGGTGACAGAGTGAGACCCTGTCTCAGAAAAAGAAAAAAAAAAAGTTTGGCGAGGTGTACAATAAAAGCACGCCAGAAAGAGACACTCACAAAACAATAAAATTTTAATATTTCAAGATGAGTTAAAAGACATTAAGGAAATGATATAAGCCGTGGAAAAACCACATAAATCAGAATTAGAAAATCTCAGAAATGAGATGATAGTAAAAGTCACTTCACAACGTAGGGCCAGTTTACCTTACCAATGTCAGCTCTTGCCATTTTCTACTTCCTGCCCCATAACACTTCACACATACCTCTGTTGTAGCCCTTTTCTTATAAATTTATAATGATTAGAGTGTCTTCCTTTCCCTGATTATAAACTCTTTGAGGCTTAAACTGAGTCTTCCTCCACCTTGTACTGCTAACATGTTTTTAGCATAGTATACTTGGCATATTGTACTTAGCGTATGGTAGGTGTCCAGTACCTGTTTATCAAATGAATGACTGAAGCCCTGTACTAAGATAGGAGGAGTCGTACTAAGATAGGAGGAGTCAAAATAAGAAGGATAGAATGAATGTGAAAGATGTTTGGAAAAAGGGATTGATGGGACTTGGTGACTGGATGGGGGATTTTTGACTTTTGTTGACCATGTCAGCCATAGACATGTCCACAAAACTTAGGAATGAGGAGAAGAAGCTGGCTCAATTGTGGAGTAAATGATAAGCTAAATTTTAGATACGGCGAGTGGGAGGTGTTGGTGAGACCCTCAGTGGATCTGCCCAGTGGTTTACGTGCACTGAACCTTGCAAGGTAACTGCAGAGAGACTAGATCATGTATCTATCTAATCCAAAAGACCAGTATATACCAAACCCGGCAGGCCCATTTGTTTCCTGAATTGCTATAATGTTTATCTCTTTGTTTGCAGCTTGGCTTGTGGAGATGTTGAAGGAAAGTTTGATATTTTATTCAATAGAGTTCAAGCAATTCAGAAGAAAAGTGGAAACTTTGATGTAAGATGTTTGTTTTTACTGAATTTAATTTTACCTTTGTAGTCACACATAAAAATAAAGTTTGCACTCCTTTAAGTCTTGATTGAACACATACCATTTTTGTTAAATTGAGTTCCCTTCATGAGCATAGGAACTTAGTAGCTGCTGAGTGGCTGGGGGAGGGAGACCTATTTACTGTTTACTATTGATCTTTATATTTTTTGAATTTGAATATTGTTACTTTATCACTGTACAAAAAACTGAAAACAGACTAGCAACACTTCCCTAAGTGATTCTGACCTCTGGGTTTGGGAAGCACAGATCTATTTCATGAATGTGATGAGGATTAAGTCAGGTAACATACATACCAACCCATCACAAGCTTAAAAGCTCTATATGAATGTTGTGTATGGTTGCCAACTAGACTGTAAACTCCTAAGAGTACAGAAGAGAGTATTCCAGGTATGAGGATAATTTGTTCATTGGGTTAAAGGTTGGGTAAAGACAACAGGCAGGAAATGTGTTTTTTATACCTTGTATTTCTCAGATTCTAATATTTTAAGTTTTTTTGTTTCACACGGGGATTCTTTAAAGATCTATTTCTATGTGACTGTATATTCCAGGGAAGGATATGTGGAGAGAGCCATGAATGGCAGAGTGGGACTGGGAATTTGAGGAGCACTTGAATTCTAACTTACTTTAAAAGTTTAGTTCCTTGACTCTCTCTTACCCATCTCTAACTTGAATTTGACAGCCAAAGAGCCAAAACTTAATAATTCATAGAATCAGTAACTGTTAACAGTTGCTGCTAAAGAATTGTATATTGAAATCTGCAAATTGATTAAGAATTAAAAACTGATTTGAAACTATTAAATAACTAGTTGAATATTACTATCAATTATGTACTGTTTGATATTTTAAAATCTCATATATCTGTTTAAAAAACTCATTTTAGCTGCTGTTGTGTGTAGGAAATTTCTTTGGCTCCACCCAAGATGCTGAATGGGAGGAGTATAAGACTGGCATCAAGAAAGGTATAGAAATTATTTTTATTTAACATATGATTTCTAATAAAATTTCAAGGGCCAGAGTTCTTGCAGAGTTGTTTTTCATTATTTAAGAATTTAAGAGTTATTTTCAGTATTTAAGAATTTAAGTTGCTTTTCATTATTAAGACTATCCGGCGCAGTGGCTCACACCTGTAATCCCCGCACTTTGGGAGGCCGAGGCATGTGGATCACCTGAGGTCAGGGGTTCAAGACCAGCCTGGCCAACATGGTGAAACCGTGTGTCTACTAAAAATATAAAAATTAGCAGGGCATGGTGGCGCATGCCTGTAATCCCAGCTCCTCGGGAGACTGAGGCAGGAGAATTGCTTGAACCTGGGAGGCGGAGATTGCAGTGAGCCGAGATTGCACCACTGCACTTCACCCTGGGCGACAGAGCAAGGCTCTGTCTCAAAAAAAAAAAAATAAAATAAATAAAATAGCCAAGCTACAAGGTTGGGTGTAGTATATCCTTAGTGGATAGCTGTTCCACATTTAGGATTGCTAAATATGGGGAATGTGAATGCATGGACTATTTACTTTTAATATAAGTATTTTTTCTATAGAGAGGCATATCTTAAGTTCTAAAGCAGATCTGGTAACTATATGGTGTCATGTCTGTTTCCCTCACTAGCTCCTATTCAGACATATGTGCTTGGTGCTAATAACCAGGAAACAGTAAAATATTTCCAGGATGCTGATGGATGTGAATTAGCTGAAAACATTACTTATCTGGGTAAGCTGATACTTGTTGTATTTTTTTTTTGTTTTTTGTTTTTTGTTTTTGAGACGGAGTCTTGCTCTGTCACCCAGGCTGGAGTGCAGTGGCGCAATCTTGGCTCACTGTAACCTCCACCTCCCGGGTTCAAGTGATTCTCCTGCCTCAGCCTCCTGAGTAGCTTGGATTACAGGCGTGTGTGACCATACCCGGCTAATTTTTTTTATATTTTTAGTAGAGACAGGGTTTCACCGTGTTAGTCAGGATCATCTCGATCTCCTTACCTCGTGATCCGCCCACCTCGGCCTCCCAGAGTGCTGGGATTACAGGCGTGAGCCACCGCGCCTGGCCGATATTTGTTGTATTTGTAATGAACATAATATAGTGTTCTCAGGAATTAGTCTCCCAGGAAATTTTTGGCTAGATTTTTCAGTGATTGCAGCCTGAGATAATGGGGTTTGGAGGGTTTTTTCCCAGAGTCTGTATATGTGCTGCTGTGCCCTTAGGACAATGCCTTTAGGACAGTGGCATTTTTTCTTTATTATTTCTACCACTTAGCCCCAATATCGTTGCGTTCCCACAACCCGGTACACACTTGTTTAGCCAACTGGAGGGATAAACTCCTTGTCTATAGTATATGGGATACTTAAGGTATAAATTATGTTCACACAAAGGAAATTTCATGTATGTGGCTTTACCATACAATCTTGCTAGGTATATACAGCTTACTTGTTAATGAGCCTCCCAACTATTTATAGCTCTAGGTTTCACTCTAAGGTTTTGGCAACTCAGGTTTTTAGTGCTGTTCTTTGGGGGCTTTTTACTCTTTTTTTACTCTCCTTTTTCTGGTTCTAGGTACACTCTTCAGTTCCAGCTTAAAGTTGTTTCCTCCACAGCCCTCTGTATTGCTTTTAGTGGCTCTTTCAATGTCTGGCTGTTTTCAAAAGCACTGTCAAATTTTGCTTTTGTTTTCCCCCCACCTGCTGGCAGTCTGCTGCCTCTTAGATCATTCAACTCTTTTTTTTTTTTTTTTTTAAGACAGTGTCTTGCTCTGTTGCTCAGGCTGGAGTGCAGTGGCATGATCTCGGCTTACTGCAACATCCGACTCCCTGGTTCAAGTGATTCTCCTGCCTCAGCCTTCCGAGTAGCTGGGATTACAGGCACGCACTACCATACCCAGCTAATTTTTGTATTTTTAGTAGAGACGGGATTTCACCATGTTGGCCAGGATGGTCTCGATCTCCTGACCTGGTGACCCGCCTGCCTCAGCCTCCCAAAGTGCTGGGATTACAGGTGTGAGCCACTGTGCTCGGCTTTTTTTTTTTTTTTTAGTTGAATTTACTATTCTTCACATTTCCTCCTTGTTGGTCTTATTTCTCTAGAAAACTTCTTCATTTCCTTTGCTGTAAATGTCCTCTCTCTCCTTCCCCATCATAGTTCATCTTGGCCTTTAGTCTTTATTTGGCTATGGCCCTCCCGTTACCAGTCTTATTTTGCACTAATCCTGTGGGACTTCTTTAAGCAAAAATTGAAGGAAGGACTTTATTTGTTTTGTTGTTTTAATATGGAACTCTTCATGAATTTGCATGTCATCCTTGTGCAGGTGCCGTGCTAATATTCTCTTTATCTTTCCAGTTTTAGTATATGTGCTGCTGAAGTGAGCACTGTTTAGTTTTAACTACACATATCAGATACGCATTTTGAAATTCTGTTGTAGATTTTAACATGAGCCTGACTTATGCAGTTCTTGGTATAGTTTGTAGATTTGGATTAAGGGCATTACTGTAGATATTTGGCAGCCATTTTACTATATGAATTTAGTGCCAGGAAAGGAAAGAGCAGCTAAGGTACTTGGGTTATTTCTGTGAAATAGATTTTTTGGATCCAGTAGGAGGATCAAGCAGTGAACTTGGTAGTGAACATGTGATAGTGAGCTTGAAATACTGGTAGGACATCCAACATATAGTTGGAAGTGAGAGTTATTATTATTATTTTTTGAGATGGACTTTCGCTCTTGTTGCCCAGACTGAATTGCAATGGCATAGTCTTGGCTCACTGCAACCTCTGCCTCCCGGATTCAAGCGATTCTTCTGCCTCAGCCTCCTGAGTAGCTGGGGTTACGGGTGTGTGCCACCATGCCCGGCTAATTTTGTATTTTTTAGTAGAGACAGGGTTTCACCATGTTGGTCAGGCTGGTCTCGAAATCCTGACCTGAGGTGATCCAGCTGCCTCAGCCTCCCAAAGTTCTGGGATTACAGGCATTAGCCACTGTGCTGGTCCGAGAGTTCTTTCTAGAGTATCAGTGTTGAAGAGTATAGGCTTTGGAGAGTTGGTCCCATAATGATGAAAAATAGAGCTGAGAAGAGGATCAAATTATTAAGGAAGAAATACAATCAGAAGGGAAGCAGGTTGATGATAGTACCTTGGTGGGTGGGGATGGTATATCTTCATCTAGGGGGTAGGAACAAAGACATAAAAGTGCTTAGAGGACTGTTTGAGAGGTAAAGATATTGTCAACTTCATGGAATCTACTGAAGATAACATAGTTTCAGGAGAACATTGGCAAATATAGGGTGACCTTTAAGAGAGTGATGGGAGAGGGAAACTGATTGCAGGGGGTTAAGGAACTAATAAAGTAGGCTGGGCGTGGTGGCTCACACCTGTAATCCTAGCACCTTGGGAGGTCGAGGTGGGCAGTTCACGAGGTCAAGAGGTTGAGACCATCCTGGCCAACATGATGAAACCCCATCTCTACTAAAAATAGAAAAATTAACTGGGCATGGTGGCGGTCACCTGTAGTCCCAGCTACTTGGGAGGCTGAGGCAGGAGAATCACTTGAACCCGGGAGGCGGAGGTGGAGGTTGCAATGAGCCAAGATTGCGCCACTGCACTCCAGCCTGGCAACAGAGCGAGACTCCATCTCAAAAAAAAAAAAAAAAAAAAAAAAAGGTAAAGCACTTAGCATGGATGACTCTTCAGAAATTCAAAACTGAAGAGGAGGAAGTTTCTTAGTATGTGTGTTCATTTTGGATGGCGATGATTGAGCATATTTTTTTCTGAACAAAAAGCGCCAGCTGAGTAGACTCAGTAGATGAAAGGGAAGTGAAAATTGATGGAGCAAGGTCTTGAAGGCAACAGGAGGGAATGGAAACAAGGCCACAAGCCAGGAATAACCATAGAAGAGAGTGGCGTCTTAAATTTTTCCTAAACACTTGTTCTTTCCAAATGTTTTCCTTCACTTGGAAGTTGCTGCCTGCCTCCAAGTAGCTGGGACTACAGGCACACGCTGCCATGCCTGGCTAATTTTTTGTATTTTAGTAGGGATGGGGTTTCACTATGTGCATCTTTTCTAGACTGTAGCTTCCTTAGAACTGTATTTTTCTTCGCATTGCCTTTTCCTGTGTCCAGATGTCTGCATTTAAGTCCATGTAGAATCTTCTCTAGAACGCAGAAAGCCTTTTCCCTAATCTTCTCTTCCCAACTTTTTCCAGTAATATTTGTAAGGCACCTGGCATAAACATACTGGCCCGTGGGCTCCAGCAGCCTCCACGTAGGGCTGTTCATATTTACTGAGCAGGAATACTGTTGTAGCCATTCACCATTGATGCCTAGCAGCCAGAAGGGAGCTGCTGGAGAGTTTACACTTCAGACATGTAAAATGGCAGGGACATAGGAGAGTCATGGGAGATTCATCCCCCTATTGATGGCTTTTCATTCTGCAATTCTGACTAAAATTTGTTCATTTTTCTTTGAACCCAGGTCGTAAAGGTATCTTCACTGGAAGCTCGGGGCTGCAGATTGTGTACCTCAGTGGGACAGAATCCTTAAATGAGCCAGTACCAGGTTATAGTTTTAGTCCCAAGGATGTGTCTTCTCTGAGAATGATGCTGTGTACAACCTCCCAGTTTAAGGGTGTTGATATCTTGCTCACATCCCCATGGCCCAAGTGTGTGGGGAACTTTGGGAATTCTTCTGTGAGTAGTGTTTGTTTAGTTGGAATTTCTAAAAGCAAATTGCACTGGCTTGAGTTGGGACTTTTTTCTTTTCCTGTTTATATTGAGTATTTTAGCTCTTGGGTACCTTTTATTAGAAGTCTTCTGTGAAAATTTTCAGGATTCTAAAAGTTCTGTCAACTGATCAAAGCAAAAGTTAATTTCATGAAAGTGTGATTCATAGATGAGACTGCTGAAATCTTAATTATAAAGGAATGGTTTTTTATATTCTCTGCTTCAAGTGCCCTTTCCTAAGCCTCTTAATGTTTTGAGGCTTCACTGATTTTTTTGTTTTTTGTTTTTTGTTTTTTTTTGAGATGGAGTCTCACTCTGTCGCCCAGGTTGGAGTGCAGTGGTGCGATCTTGGCTCACTGCAACCTCCTCCTCCCGGGTTCAAATGATTCTCCTGCCTCAGCCTCCTGAGTAGCTAAGATTATAGGCATGCGCCACCACGCCTGGCTAATTTTTTTTTTTTTTTTTTGAGATGGAGTTTTGCTGTGTCACCCAGGCTGGAGGGCAGTGGCGCCATCTCTGCTCACCACAACCTCTGCCTCCTGGGTTCAAGCAATTCACCTGCCTCAGCCTCCCAAGTAGCTGGGACTATAGGCGCACACTGCCATGCCTGGCTAATTTTTTGTATTTTATTAGAGATGGGGTTTCAGCATGTTGCCCAGGCTAGTCATGAACTCCTGAGCTCAGACAATCTGCCTGCCTCGGCCTCCCAAAGTGCTGGGATTACAGGCGGATTTTTTTGTATTTTTAGTAGAGATGGGATTTCACCATGTTGGCCAGGCTGGTCTCAAACTCCTGACCTCAAGTAATTTGCCCACCTCAGCCTCCCAAAATGCTGGGATTACAGGCATGAGCCACCGTGCCCAGCCTAATTTTTGTATTTTTAGTAGAGACAGGGTTGCCCAGGCTGGTCTTGAACTCCTGCGCTCTAGTGATCCACCCGCCTTGGCCTCCCAAAGTGCTGGGATTACAGGCGTGAGCCACCATACCTGGCCAGATTTTAATATTTTATGAGTAATCTTGAAAAGGATGGTACACCAGGAGTGACAACTATCATGGGGAGTGAAACGCTACACTGGTGGAAGTAAGCCTAAGGAAGATTTTGAAAAGGTTATGTGTGAGGGCAGAAAACACTGGGTGAGCTTCATTGAAGGGAAATGTAAGAATGCATTTGGGAACAAATCTCCATGGTTGGATTCAGGATTATCAGTGATGATCCAGAAGTGGAGCCTGTATACCACCCCTTGCCAGTTTCAGCACCATGTGTCCATGACCAAAAAGGCCAACAGGATACCAGGCATTATCAAGGAGGATGCTCTCTTCCTTTTTGACAAACCCATGATTACTCTTTACGTAGAATACAAGGCATAGAGCTGGTTGGAGCACAAGGATATAGCAAAGCTAGGGAAGATCGAGAGAAGGGCTGCTAAAGTGATGAAGGAAGAGAGAAAGACACATATGATGCTCTGTAAGGAAGGATGAGAAAATGAGGCCCCTTTGTTTTGCGGGGAGCTAAAAATTGATTTTGATCAAGGCTTATAAATAACCATACAGTATATTTATGGAGGAGAAAAGTATAGTTCACCAGTCCCTAAGATGCTAGGACTGACCTCAAAGCTAATTCCCTGCCCTTCAGCAGAAACCTGAAGGAAACAAGCATAAGACAAAAGGAAATTCCTGCTTTACGTAGTGGAAAACAAACTTTGTTAGCTTATTTCCAAGTAATACCTTCTCTTAGAATAGAGTTCATAAATAATGCTGTGGGTGAGAGATCACTTAATTGGTTGTTAACAGAATCTGGGGATGTTCTGGGAGCAAGAATAACTTTGAGCAAACTTCATATTACTTAAGAAGGGTGTGGTTATGCCCTTCCTCAAACTGCCACTTCCTTGACTGAAGCAAAATAAAGGATTATATGCTGGTGATGAAGTCCTTGAATACTCTATACCAGATATTCTGTGGATCCTAGGAGCCCTGAAGCCTAGCTTTTCGCTTTGATTTTCTGAATTGACTATGACTGTCTGGACCCGTGAACTACAGATGCACTACGTAACAAACTAGAGGCTGGGCGCAGTGGCTCACGCGTGCACTTTGGGAGGCTGAGGCGGGCGGATCACGAGATCAGGAGTTTGAGACCAGCCTGGCCAACATGGTGAAACCCCGTCTCTACTAAAAATACAAAAATTAGCCAGGTGTGGTGGCACGTGCCTGTAATCCCAGCTACTAGGGAGGCTGAGGCAGGAGAATCACTTCTTGAACCCAGGATGCAGAGGTTGCAGTGAGCCGAGATTGTGCCACTGTACTCTAGCAGCCTGGGTGACAAAGCAAGACTCCATCTCAAAAAAAAAAAACAAACCAAAACTAGAAGCCCAGTCTGTGGGCTCCAGAGGGAGAGCTTACTTTCCAAAAAAGGTTTTAATAATTTGTGTTTTGGGTATTGATATGGAGGAGTTACCTTTTAATCTCTGGCTTCCAACAGTTGTTCCTATTTCTACATTCATAGTAGTTCAGCTCCCTTATTTGTTAAGATTTTTTCTCTGATTGCCATACTTATGAAATTCAATGTGCAGTTCCTTCTGTCCACATCTGTATTCATGTATAAATTTCAAAGACATTTCAAAATGTCTTATTATTTATTTGCATTTCTTGATAACTTTTGGTCTGTATGGATGACTAAGTTTTTGTTTACTAGGGAGAAGTGGATACCAAAAAATGTGGTTCTGCTTTGGTTTCCAGTCTTGCCACGGGCTTGAAACCAAGATACCATTTTGCTGCTTTGGAAAAGACCTATTATGAGAGGCTTCCATATCGGTGAGTAGCATTTCATTCTTCTTGGCTTTTTGAAGAATTTGCCATGGATCTTCTGTATAAACTTCTCTTGTTCGTTTTTAACCATATAACATCTTGGTTCCATTTGGTTACTCAGACACTGAAGTAAGTGACTCTCAAGTCATTCATCTTCTCTGAGTTTGTTCCCTAATTTGAAATCACTTTGGAAATCCTTCAGTTTCAGAATCAAGAACTTGTATCAGTTTTTTCCTTTTCAGGGCCAGGCATGATGGTGTGTGTCTGTGGTTCCAGCTACTTGGAAGGCTGAGGCAGGAGGCTCGCTCGAGCCCAGGAGTTCAAGACTATAGTGTGCAATGACTACGCCTGTGAATAGCCACTGCACTCTAGCCTGGGCAACATAGGGAGCCCCATTTCTTTAAAAAATTTTTTACCACAAATAAATATGAGATAATGTATATGTTAATTAGCTTGATTTAGCCATCCCACAGTATATACACATTTCAAAACAGCATGTTGTATACAATAAAAAATACAAATTTTAGTTATCAATTAAAAATAAATGAGAGGGAAAATTTAAAAAATTTTTTTTTGTCTTTTTTTTTTTTTTGAGACGGAGTCTCGCTCTGTCACCTGGCTGGAGTGCAGTGGCATGATCTCGGCTCACTGCAACCTCCGCCTCCTGGGTTCAAGTGATTCTCCTGCCTCAGCCTCCTGAGTAGCTAGGATTACAGGTGCGTGCCACCACGTCCGGCTAAGTTTTTTTGTATTTTTAATAGAGACGGGGTTTCACCATGTCAGTCAGGCTGGTCTTGAACTCTTGATCTCATGATCTGCCCACCTCAGCCTCCCAAAGTGCTGGGATTACAGGCGTGAGCCACCATGCCCAGCCAAGAAAATATTTTTTTTTATTTTTTTTCTTTTGCACTCAGAGGTGGAGTTTTTATTTTTTTAATTTTTGGGGGTACATAGTAGCATAGTAGGTATATAGAGGTCAAGTTCTTTTTTTTGAGACAGAGTCTTGCTCTGTCGCCCAGGCTGGAGTGCAATGGCATGATCTCGGCTCACTGCAACCTCCGTCTCCCAGGTTCATGCCATTCTCCTGCCTCAGCCTCCTGAGTAGCTGGGACTACAGGCGACCGCCACCACACCTGGCTAATTCTTTGTATTTTTAGTAGAGACAGGGTTTCACCGTGTTAGCCAGGATGGTCTCGATCTCCTGATATAGAGGTCAAGTTCTTAAAGAATATACTGCCAAGAAAACCAGTGTTTTACAAGTGAGAGAGTTAAGTAAAAGCTCAGAATTATCTTCACTGATAAAGGGCATGGATTATCCCTAAAATAACTTCTTTCCCTTCTTTTTTACAAAAGTAATATTTACGTGTTGCTAGTTAAAAAAATTTAAGTGAGCAAGAAGAGAATACCCCCCTTACCATAATCCCACAGCCTAATGCAGAATCATAGGTAATACAGGTTTTTCTGTTAAATCTCCATATACTCATTCTAGAAGAATGTCTTGTTCTCTAAAAATATACTGCGAAAACAGAAGTTTTGGGAACAAGCCACTCAAAACTTACACAGTTCTTAAGAATCGGAATACAGTTTTTCATAGAACATATAAAAATGGCCAATAGGGCTGGGTGTGGTGGCTCACGCCTGTAATCCCAGCACTTTGGGAGGCCGAGGCAGGCAGATCATGAGGTCAGGAGATCGAGACCATCCTGGCCAACACGGTGAAACCCTGTCTCTACTAAAAATACAAAAAATTAGCTGGGCATGGTGGCGGGCGCCTGTAGTCCCAGCTACTTGGAAGGCTAAGGCAGGAGAATGGCATGAACCCGGGAGGTGGAGCTTGCAGTGAGCAGAGATCGCGCCACTGCACTCCAGCCTGGGCAACAGAGTGAGACTCCGTCTCAAAAAAAAAAAAAAAAAAAAAAAAGGCCAATAGACATATAAAAAGATGCTCTTATCATTAGCCATTATGGTAATGTAAATCAAAAGCACAATGATACACCACTTCATACCCACTAGGATGGCAGTAGTCAAAAAGGCAAATACATAATAACAAGTGTTGACAAGGATGTGGAGGAATTGGAATCCTCACACATTGCTGGTGAGAGTGTAAAATGGTGCAGCCGCTTTGGAAAACTGTTTAGCAGTTCTTGAAAGGTTAAATGTAAGAGTCAGCAGCATGGTAACGGCAATTTTATTCCTGTCCCAAGATAAGGGAAAACATATGTCCACACAAAAACTTGTACACAGATGATCATAATAGCATTATTCATAATAGCTCAAAATGCAAACAACCCAAATGTCCATCACCTGGTGAATGGGTAAATTAAAAGTGGTAAATATATGATGAAATGTTATTTGGCAAGGAAAAGCAATGAAGTACTGACATGTGCTACAACATGGTTGAACCGTGAAAACTTTATGTTAAGTGAATGAAGCCAGACACAAAGGACTACATTTTTTTTTTTTTTAATTTTTTTTTTTTGAGACAAGATCTCATTCTGTCTTCCAGGCTGGAGTGCTGAGGTACTATCAAGGCTCACTGCAGCCTCAACCTCGTGGGCTCAAGTGATTCTCCTACCTTAGCCTCCTGAGTAGCTGGGACTGTAGGTATGCACCACCATGCCCAGTTAATTAAAAAATTTTTTTTGTAGAGACAGAGTCTCACTGTGTTGCCCAGGGTGTTCTCAAACTCCTGGGCTCAAGCAGTCCTCCTGTCTCAGCCTCCCAAAGTGCCTGGCCTATTTTAGCTTTTTATTACACAAAAGAAGAGGCAATAGTAAAGTGAAACCTCATGTGTCCATCACTTAGCTTGAACTATTGTCAACATTTTGCCAATTTTACAACTCTTTTAAAGCCAAAAGTTGGAGTTTTGATGGTTTCTGAAGACATAATCTCATCTCTTCCTAAAACAGCCTTGTGAGGTAGGGATTGTTGCCCTATTAGACGGATAGATAGTAACTTATCTGAAATCATTTGACTGGCGATGATGAACTGAGGACCTCTGCTCTTTTTATGGCCCCATAGAGTCCACATATTTTGTCATTGCAAATCAAAAGTAAAATTGTTTGCAATTTTTTGTCTCTCAAATATGTTGTAGAAACCATATCATTCTACAGGAAAATGCACAGCATGCCACCCGGTTTATAGCTCTGGCAAATGTTGGAAATCCAGAAAAGAAAAAGGTAAAGATTTACCTATTTGGTGGAAGGTTGATATTCATGGTCTGCCTGATAAATGTATCTCTTGTCCAGTTTAGCATTCAGATCTTCTCTTCTCCCTGACTGCAAGGTCTCAGCAGTTTCGGAGACTCCTTTGTAAAGGTATGGTAATGAAAGGTCAAGTCTCTTTGGGTCTTTTTGTAGGAGAGTTTAAAGAAGGGTTTGGGAAAATAGGCCCAGAGGAATAAAGGCAAAATATCAAATGAACAGTGTTCCTTTACTTCCACATCTATGTGGTTGTCTCTATGGGTATTTGTGAATTTGCCCTCAGATGCTTGCTTACTTCTTTAGCAACTTCATTTAGCTGAAATAAGAAAACCCCAAAGAGCTGGGCATGGTGGCCCACGCCTGTAATCCCAGCACTTTGAGAGGCTGAGGTGGGCGGATCACTTGAGGCCAGGAGTTTGAGACCAGCCTGGCCAACATGGTGAAACCCCATCTCTATAAAAAATAAAAAAAATTAGCCAGGTGTGGTGGGGGGCACCTGTAATCCCAGCTACTCAGGAAGCTGAGGCAGGAGAATTGCTTGAATGTGGGAGGTGGAGACTGCAGTGAGCTGAGATCGGGCCACTGCACTCCAGCCTGGGTGACAAAGTGAGACTCTGTCTCGGGAAACAAAAAAAAAGAAACCCAGAGGACTTACCTAAGCTCTCCTTAGGGCTAAGATTTCCTGAGGGAAATCTTAGTGATACCTGGAATCTATCTTTGTATTGGAAAACAGTGCAGTTGATGAAAAGAATATACCAGAAAAATAGGTTGTTTTTCTCACTTCTCTGAGAGTATTTCTGATTTCCCAGGGCCAAAACTAACCTATTGTGGATTGAGACAGCTAAAATAAGAACAGTTAGTGAAGTGGGAAAATAGGCAGATAAAGAGTCTGAAGATTATTCCACTATCACATGCCATAGACAATGCATACAAAAGATAAGCAAATCGATATTTTGTTTTTTTCATAATATTTCAAGCTTTTTTTGGGGGAGGGGGCGGATCTGAAGTGATTTTGCCTTTATTTCCTTCACTTTAAGCCAATCATGAAATTTCATAGTGATTTCTAGGGTTGGGGCAGAAGGAAGACAGTGTTAAGAATCATCAGGGCTGTGGCCCAGTTGGCCTGCGGAGGTGCAGGCAGGGTGGCCCCTCAGGGGCAGCTGGAGGAGCATGGACTGCCCCGCTGGCAGGGAGCTGATGTTCCCAGAGTATAAGAGCTGGAATGTGATGTCCTCCACAGCTTCCAGCTTGCGCAGCTCTATCAGGCTGTTCCCTGCGGTGGCCAGTGAGTTGGCGATCAGCTCTGCTGCCTTGGAATCGCCCTCAGCAGAGATGATGGCTGCCTTTTTCTGCTGCTCAGCCTTTTCTGCCACAAATCTGGTGCTCTCTGCTTCCCGCTGAGCCACCTGTTTGGCTTCCACTGCTTCTGTGAACTCCTTCCCGAAGGTCAGATGTGTCAAGGACACGTCATCCAGGATGAGCCCAAAGGTGGCTGCTTGCTCTGTAAGGTCGTTGCTCATCTGCCTGGAGACCAGCTCTCTTTAGGTGATTAGTTCTCCAGCATCAAAGTGAGCCACCACTGACTTGAGGATCTCAGTAGTGATGGACAGCAGCACACGCTTATCATAATCCTCTTCAATGCTGGTCAAGATGCGAGGAAGCTGGCTAGCGACAGGCCCCCATGTGCACCGTGATGTTGACATTCTGTAAATCTTTGCTATCAGTGATGACTGGCACATTACATGGTCAAGAACAGCAGTCAAAGATAATAGGTTTGTGTACCCATGGAATGAGAAAGTGAGTCCCTTCCCGTACCACAGTGTTCTGTACTCCATGGAATCGGTCAAAGATGACAGCTCTTTGCTCAGCATCCACATTATATAGGGCAGAGTTCACCACGTCTCCTGCAACAGCTAAGGCCAGGCCAAACTTGCCAACGGACTCAAAACACTTTGGCAGCCATGTTTTCTTCTGCTGGACCCTTTCATACCTGCTTCCACTCTGACCTCCACATAAATTCCCCAGCCTATTTTCAGCTTTTTTGCCCAATTCTTAGCAAATGTAGATTTGTAATTTTTCTTTTAATTGCCCTTTCAAACTGAATAACACTTAGTATTTTCAGTCTGTTTTATTCTCAGGGACATGTTAGCCTCAGCCATAAGCAACTTATACTTTCGTCAAAAGGTGTGCACATTATAAAATTTGGCAAGCATTGTTAAATTCATCTAAAAACTTTGTTCCAATTTATACCCCTACCCCAGCAGTGTTTTTTTTTTTCCCCCTCCATATTTCTCACTGGATCAAGTCAAAGTTTTTGTTTGTTTGTTTAAGATGGAGTCTCTGTCTATTGCCCAGGCTGGAGTGTAGTGGCACGATCTCGGCTTACTGCAACCTCCACCTCCCATGTTCAAGCGATTCTCCTGCCTCAGCCTCCTGAGTAGCTGGAACTATAGGTGTGTGCCACCATGCCTGGCTAATCTTTTGTATTTTTAGTAGAGATGGGATTTCTCCATGTTGGTCGGGCTGGTCTCTATCTCCTGACCTCAGGTGATTCGCCCGCCTCAGCCTCCCAAAGTGCTGGGATTGCAGGCATGAGCCGCCACCCCCAGCCCACGTCAAAGTTTTATTAAAGTTTTTGCCAATGTGATAAATGATATATAATTGTTACTTAGTTGCATTTCCCTAATCAGTAGTAAGTTTAAACATCTATTTATATCTTATCTAAAGTTTTCGATATCTGTGGCATTAGTGCAAGATTCCAAATATTTATATGAATATTTATTGCTTTACTGCTAGTCTCCTAAGAAAATTTTATTAGCATATATAGCAGAATTTGTATAATATCAGAGAGAGAAACACTAAGTTCGTTTGTAATTTTCATTAGGAAAAATAAATGGCAGTGCCACAATTCTGTGGACAGAGTACACAAAGATAAGGGACTCAGAGACAGAAGCAGTTTGTCTTCAAGGGTTATACAGCAAGTCCCTCTGGGCCTTGTAGTGACAGTTGTCACTATTCCATTATCCGAGTGAGAACTCCTGGTTTGTGAGGGTGGGGGCTTTGATTTCTTGTTCATTTCTTTGTCAACCCTTGGTGAGCCCCTGCAGAGGCCACTGAATTGGCATTTGATTTACTGTTTACTCTCTGAGCTATGGATGGGCTGGTTGCTGTTCTTTTAATTTTACTGAGTTTCACATGTTTTCTGTGAAATCTTCACAGTAAAATAGGTTGATTACAGTTGGGTAAATAGTATTTCCCCTAATGTCATTATGTTCTTTTTCTCTAAAGTATCTTTACGCGTTCAGTATTGTTCCCATGAAGCTAATGGATGCAGCAGAACTGGTAAAACAGCCTCCGGATGTCACTGAAAACCCTTACAGAAAATCTGGGCAGGAAGCATCCATAGGAAAGCAAATTCTTGCCCCTGTGGTATGTTCTGATTGAGGGTTGGCATTTTTATATGTGTTCTTTTCCTAGTTATAGTTTAGTACATAAGACAAGTTTAATCGTTAGAATCTAAATCTTTTTTTTCCCCTTGGGAAATCATGATGATGTTTAGAAAATCTTAGTAGATTTCAGCTAAGCTTAGTGTTTTTTATTGTAGTTTGGGGTTAACAGTTTGATACATTAGGTCTTTCTTTGTCCAAACTGGATTCAGACGTTTGGGGTTACAGTTTTATTTGTAAAGTCTTTGTCTAAAGTGATTATCTGTTCTTAGCTCTTTAGGCAAGGCTCTAGCAGCTTCATAGCAATGTAATTTGTGATTTTATGATGATTGCTAGTAGGAAAATAAGATTCACTCTGAAGAAATTTTCTTAATAGCAGAGTTTTCTCAAATTAATTTTTTCCCCACTAAAGCAAGGAATGTCAAGTTCCCTTACTAGCATGCACGGTCTGCTTTCTCAGACTTTTCTTTCTTTCCAAGCAGCCTTCTCATCTCTTAAGGCTGAATTAGGCTTGTTTGACCTGTGAAATTGTATGACTACACTATGTCCCTGTTGAGAGAAAAAAGAAAAGAGAATTTAGGTGGGTTCATGTTCTGCTTTAGGCAAGAATTACTTTATAACTTGCATTTTAACTCGTTTTTCCAAAGAGATGAATTTGGCAGTAGTTTGGATAAGTGTTGATGTATGACTGAGACTTCAGGCATCAGAACTGGGAAGATATTTTGCTTCCCTAGAGTGTGCAGAAAGGACTGAGAAGAAAGATAGGTATGGCATGGCAGGAATGTTCCCTTGTATGTGAGTGGTCGGCTACTTATCTAAAGGTTAGTTGAATAACATTTAATCTTCTGCTTTTGGCCATTCCAGGAAGAATCAGCCTGTCAGTTTTTCTTTGATTTAAATGAAAAGCAGGGAAGGAAGCGTTCATCCACAGGTAGAGATAGCAAATCTTCTCCTCATCCAAAGCAGCCTCGCAAACCTCGTAAGTACCTTTATTCCAGAGGTTTCTTCTATGAACAGTAACTGTTATTTTGGCTTTTCTTTGGAAAGCAGCATTGCTAAGAGAGCCTCTTCTGGCAGGGGAGAATTGTGCAATGAGTCATTAGGACCAACAGTAAAAATAAAATATAAACATGGCCTTGGCCAGGTGTGGTGACTGCACCATCTTATATTCCCACTGGCAATGTATGAAGGTTTCTGCTTTTCCACATCCCTGTCAACATTTGTTATAGCAATAGCCAGTTTTACAAGATAGCTCCCTCTTTTCCTGTCTCATAAATAGGTATGGTTCTCTAGGGGTGATGCTTTTATATACTTCTTGGACTCTGTATTTTTAGCCCATCTACTTGAGAGTGATGAGTTCCTTTTGCTAATTACCATTTAAAGCAATTTTCTTTGTCCTAAAAAGGCAGTCTTCTGTTGCTTATATACCCATATTGGGATAAAAGCGTTGATATTCTTGGCCAGGTGTGGGGGCTCATGCCTGTAATCCTGTACTTTGGGAGGCTGAGCCAGGCGGATCACAAGTTCAGAATTTTGAGACCAGTCTGGCCAACATAGTGAAACCCCTTCTCTACTAAAAATACAAAAATTAGCCAGGTGTGGTGGCACGGTCCTGTAGTCCCAGCCACTCAGGAGGCTGAGGTGGAAGAATTGCTTGAACCCAGGAGGCAGAGGTTGCAGTGAGCCGAGATGATGCCATTGCACTCCAGCCTGGGTGACAGAGTGAGACTCCATCTCAAAAAAAAAAAAAAAGTTGATATTCTTTTTATAGCTTCAGATTCAGAAACTAGAGCTTTATGAATTTTTATCTAGAATTATGTAATGCTGGAAACTGATTCACACTAACTGTAATCCCAGCACTTTGGGTGGCCGAAGCGGGTGGATCACTTAAGGCCAGGAGTTGGAGACCAGCCTGGCCAACATGGTGAAACCCTGTCTCTACTAAAAATACAAAAAATTAGCAAGGCATGGTGGCACCCACCTGTAGTCCCAGCTCCTCAGGAGGCTGAGGCATGAGAATCGCTTGAACCCAGGAGGCGGAGATTGCAGTGAGCCAAGATTGCACCACTGCACTCCAACCTGGGTGACAGAGCAAGGCCCTGTCTCAAAAAAATAAAATAACGGGCCAGGCGCGGTGGCTCACGCCTATAATCCCAGCACTTTGGGAGGCCGAGGTGGGCGGATCATGAGGTCAGGAGATCGAGACCATCCTGGCTAACACGGTGAAACCCCGTCTGTACTAAAAATAGAAAAAATTAACCAGGCGTGGTGGCAGACGCCCGTAGTCCCAGCTACTTAGGAGGCTGAGGCAGGAGAATGGCATGAACCTGGGAGGCGGAGCTTGCAGTGAGCCGAGATCGCGCCACTGTACTCCACCCTAGGCGACAGAGCGAGACTCCGTCTCAAAAAAAATAAAATAAGAATGGCCTGACTTCGAGGCTGTTCTGAGGCGCTTCCTGTACTATGGAAAAAGCACCTTTCCTTTGTGTCTGTAAAACATAATGAGGTGAAGAGCCTCCAAAACCAATATGGGTTCATAAAATAATAGAATGATCAAACTCGAAGGAAGGACTTTAAGAGTGTTTCATTGAGATTCTCTTTCTTCATCTTTTTGTTTCACACAAGAAGCTGACCTTGGGAGGGTAAATTTTCCAGGGTCATGGCTAATGGCATAGCTGGGGCTTTAATTGGGGCTCCTGACACCCAGTTCAGTGTTCTTTTGTTGTAGCCTATTGCCAGTTATGTGCTACTTTAGTCAGTGTGTGATTTTGCACTTGTGGGTTACCTACCTGTGGATTGGTTACAAATTCTAATGGAAGTTTAATTTCATTGAAAATGTTCATAGGGGGTCGTAGTGAGGAGCACAGGCTCAGCCCATTGTGGCAGTGTTGTATACCAGTCTTTTCAGGATATAAAAATCAGACAAAGCTGAGTTCTGTGGGGTGATTATATGCTGTAGTGCTTGGACCATAGTAACACCTGGCTTTCTTTTACATGAAGCTCAGCCTCCAGGACCCTGCTGGTTTTGCCTTGCTAGCCCTGAAGTGGAAAAACATTTGGTGGTCAACATCGGCACACATGTGAGTTACTTCCTTGGACTTTATAGAGAAGGAGATGCCTATTTGTTTTTTATTAACTTTATTGAGGCATAATCTACATATAACATTTACCCATGTTTAAGTGTATGATTCGGTGATTTTCGTAAGGTTACTGAGTTATGCCACCATCACGTGGTATAGTTTTAGAACATTTTTATCATTGCAGTAAGATCTCTTATGCCCATTTACAGTTAATCCCTGTTCCCAACTTTAGCCTCAGGCAGCAACTAGTCTACTTACTATCTCCATAGTTTGCCATTTTTGGACATTTCTTATAAATGGAATCATACAACATGTGGTCTTTTGTGTCTAGCTTCTTTTACTTAGCATAATATTCTTGAGGTTCATCCATGTTGCAGCATGTATCAGTATTTCATTCCTTTTTATTGCCAAATCATATTCCAGTGTATAGATGTACCACATTTCGTCTATATCTGTTCATCAGCTGATGGACGTTTGGGTTGTTTCTACTTTATGGCTATTAGAAATAATGCTCCCATAAAATATCTGCATGCAAGTCTTTGTGTGGATATAGACCTAGGAATGGTCTATATTTTGGATAGACCTAGGAATGGATTTGCTAGGTTATATAGTAAATTTATGTTTAACTTTTAAGAAACTGCTAAACTGTTTTCCAAAATGACTGCACCATCTTATATTCCCACCAGCAGTGTATGAAGGTTTCTGCTTTTCCACATCCCTGTCAACATTTGTTATAGCAATAGCCAGTTTTACAAGATAGCTCTCTTTTCCTCTCTCATAAATAGGTATGGTTCTCTAGGGGTGATGCTTTTATATACTTCTTGGACTCTCTGTATTTTTTAGCCCGTCTAATTGAGAGTGATGAGTTCCTTTTGCTAATTACCATTTAAAGTGATTTTCTTTGTCCTAAAAAGGCAGTCTTCTGTTGCTTATATACCTGTATTGGGTTAAAAATGTTGATATTCTTTTTATAGCTTCAGATTCAGAAACTAGAGCCTTATGAAATTTTTTTTTTTTTTTTTTTGAGATGGAGTCTCGCTCTGTTGCCCAGGTTGGAGTGCAATGGCGTGATCTCAGTTCACTGCAACCTCTGCCTCCCGGGTTCAAGTGATTCTCCTGCCTAAGCTTCCCAAGTAGCTGGGATTACAGGCACCTGCCATCACATCTGGCTAATTTTTATATTTTTAGTAGAGACAGGGTTTCACCCTGCTGGCCAGGCTGGTCTCAAACTCCCGACCTCAGGTGATCTGCCCGCCTCAGCCTCCCAAAGTGCTGGGATTACAGGCGTGAGCCACCACCCCCGGCCTATGAATTTTTATCTGGAATTATGTAATGCTGGAAGCTGATTCACACTAACTGATCACATCAAAGATAAAATTTCAGTTTTGCTTAGTAGTGGAGGGTGTAGCTTACTAATGACAGGAATACCCATATTCACACTCCTGGTGTGAGTATCTAGGAACCCAAGATGATGATGATATGGTTGTTTGGTAAGCATTGAATCAGACTATGAGAACGGGATGGTCTTGAGTATGATTTTATTCAGGTGGTGGAAAGCTTGAATGTGTGTGTCTCATGGGAAAGTCATTCTATTTCACATTTCCCCAGATACTTTTGCTTGGGTAGGGCTGGATTAGACATTAAATAATACCAGTGTTTGACTCTGATTTCCCTGGGTTTTCTGTAGACCATTGTTCTTTTTCATTCATTTAGAATGAAGAAAACTTAATTTTTAACACTATAGTCACCAGTGACTAGAATTGGATGTTCCCCAAGATTCCTGAGGAAAATATTTATAAGTCATTTTTGTTTTGTGACAGTTTTGGGAGGTGGGGCCTAATAAGAGGTGATTTGGTCATAAGGACTCTGCCTTCATGAATGGATTAATGTTATCACAGTAGTGGGTTATCATGAGAGTGGCTTTGTTAAAGTGAGTTCAGGTCCCCTTTTGCTTCTTTACTCTCACCCTCACTTGCCCTTCTGCCATGGGATGATGCAGCACGAAGGCCATTGCCAGGTGCCAGTGCTATGCACTTCGACTTCCCAGTCTACAGAACCACAAGCCAAATAGATTTCTATTCAAATAAATTATAGTCTGTGGTATTCTATTATAGCAACACAAGATGGACTAAGACAATTCCTTAAGTGTGTAGTGCTTCTGAAGACAGGTGCCTTCATCCATTTCTCATTGATTTGTTCTACTTTTGGTTTCTGGGGTTGATCCTTTCAACTTATCCTAACAATCTGAGGACCGTTTTTTGTGTCTTCCTTCCTGTAGACTGACTAGAGTCTCAATTTCATCTTACACTTTAAGGAGTTACACTTCTGCCTGTGTTGTTTCCACCTGAAGAGTCTCAGTCTTTTACATTTTAAAAAATGTCTTGGCCGGGTGCAGTGGCTCACGCCTGCTCACGGCTGTAATCCCAGCACTTTGGGAAGCTGAGGCAGGTGGATCACGAGGTCAGGAGTTCAAGACCAGCCTGGCCAAGAAGGTGAAACCCTGTCTCTACTGAAAATACAAAAATTAGCTGGGCGTGGTGGCGGGCGCCTGCAATCCCAGCTACTCAGGAGGCTGAGGCAGAGAATTGCTTGAACCTGGGAGGTGGAGGTTGCAGGCCAAGATCGCGCCACTGCACTCCAGCCTGGGGGACAGAGCAAGACTCTGTCACAAAAAAAAAAAAAAAAAAAAAAAAAAAAGGCTTAATTAGTGGCACACTCCTGTCTCTAGGGGGAGCACTAATGAAGTCAAGGCCGGTGACACAACTGAGCCATAGAACCTGTGGATGAAGTCTTCAGTGGAATAAGAGCAAACTTGAGAAGCTCTAGCTTTTATAGCAGTGCCCTTTTTGGATGATCTCTTTTGCATCTTTTTTCGTCTTTGGATTAGTTTATGCTATTTTTCTCTCCCACACAATTTGTATAGTAAGTTAGGCTTTGAATTGCCTTCTGTTTGGGAAGCTTCAATAGGTTCAAGATCACACGCAGGAGATAAGAGATTTGGAATGTGTGACATAGCTCAGTGCTGCTCTAGGCCTCAGTGAGAAGTGACTTTTCTTTTCCATTCATCTTTCTATTGTCCAGGTTACTCTAACTCAGGGTGTGGGCCTGGGCAACAATCAAGGAAACCTGTTTTCTTCTCATCTAGGCCTGAAACTAGAGGGGAAAAAGGTCTTGTTTGTGGCCCAACCCAACATCCCAAGTAGGCCACATGAGTATTTCAGCCTAGAGTCTACACTGTCCTTAGGTAGAAACCTCTTACAAACCTGTAATGACCTTTGGGTGTCTGTGGAAGAGTTTGGGATCTCCTCCCTGCAATTATTCTTTTTGATTGCCTTTTTTTGTTTTTTAAATTTTTTCCCTGGCTTTCTCTTTGTCGTGCCTTCCTCAAAGGTAGTACATAGAATTGTGCTGATGGTCCATAGCCACAGATTAGTAAAAAGGGGGAAGGGCTGCTGAGAGTGTAAAATAATTATTGCAAAATCAATGCATTTTACTTACGGGGAGAACCATTTATCCAGGTCCTATTTACACATGGTTAGAGATAATTCTAGTATAGAACAGATTAGAAGGTGAGAGTTTGAAAGAGAGAGGAGATTAGGCAAGCGTGAAACTATTCACAAAAATTGCAAGTACAGGATTAGAGATGGTGCAGAGGAGCTCTTTAGTTTAGACATCATTACCTAAAGAATGCACATCATAATAGAGAAGCTGATGTTTATGGCAGTGACCTTCTGACAAAAATAGCTAGACGACTCAGGCTTCTAGAGTAACCTTTTAAACAAATACAATATAAAGTGGTTATTATACAAATAAAAAAAAGTTTTTAGTGCCTGTGAGGTTTTCATCAACTTTAGTCATCTGGAAAATTAACTTTGTCAATATGCTCAGTCCTCTCTGCCAAACAAATCAAGGACAATCATGCTTTAGTATCTTTCCAATACATATCCTGTCATTCTGTTGGACTTTCTTATTATAGATGAGAAGTGATTCCTTCCTTCAGCCTTAACTTTGAGCCCACCACACTAAGAGCATAGTTGGAATAATTTTTTATTTTTTTTCCTGAGACAGTCTTGTTCTGTCGCCCAGGCTGGAGTGCAGTGGCACGATCTCGGCTCACTGTAACCTCCGCCTTCCAGGTTCAAGCAATTCACCTGCTTCAGTCTCCCAAGTAGCTGGGATTATAGGCACGTGCCACCATGCCCAGCTAATTTTTGTATTTTTAGTAGAGACGGGGTTTCACCTTGTTGGCCAGGCTGGTCTTGAACTCCTGACCTCGCGATCCATTTGCCTTGGCCTCCCAAAGTGCTGGGATTACAGTCATGAGCCAACGCACCCGGTCTGGATAATTGTTTTCTAACGTATCTATATTTGCCTGTACTGGTACTCATTGGGCCCTTCTGTGCTCACTCATGGCATCTTCCCATCAGAGAATATCTGAGTGGTAGACCATTCTTGCATGTTTTGGTTTTTACAGAAATATTTTTAGTTGCCATTAAAGGCTGACATCCATTGTTGGAAATCATTCTTTTCTGCCTCTTTGGATGCATCTGAGTTTGAGGTTTTACTTTCCTTCTACCCCATTAGGTTGTATGTTTGCTTTTGTTTTGTAGAATTTAGTCAGCAGCTTAAGGCTTAGGAACATTAGATGCTAATCATGCCATCTTAGCTTTTTTTGTGAGCCCAAGGAGTATATTCGGGGGTGGGGGTGGGAATGAAAGTTACTGGGGAGGCAGAAAGGGGTCATTTTTTTTTTTTTTTTTTTTTTGGAGACGGAGTCTCGCTCTGTCACCCAGGCTGGAGTGTAGTGGCGCGATCTCGGCTCACTGCAACCTCTGCCTCCCGGGTTCAAGCAATTCTCCTGTCTCAGCCTCCCGAGTAGCTGGGACTACAGGCACATGCCATCACAGGCCTGGCTAATTTTTGTATTTTTAGTAGAAATGAGGTTTCACCATATTGGTCAGCCTAGTCTGGAACTTCTGACCTCAGGCGGTCCACCTGCCTCGGCCTCTCAAAGTTTTGGGATTACAAGCGTGAGCCACTATCCCAGCCGAAAGTGGTCATTTTGAAATCAGAAGTTGTATCTTTTTGTGGTTGAGGGTGATAAAAACTGAAAAACTGTTTTCAAGTTTGGAGCATGGGAGGGAAAACCCAGCGATTTGTTCTGGTCTCCCTCAGCTCAGTGTGTTTGAAGCCAAAAGCCTGCTTGTGTGCCTCTCCCAATTCATTTGCTCCTAGTTCATTTGCTACTTGCATAGAAATTTTCATGCCGAATCTCACTCTTCAGCGGATACCTGAGAACATTGTTGCTACAATCTCTAAAATCAGATTTTTTCAAGAAAGAATTTTTATTAATAACCTCAAGTACTTTTCGCCTACACCCTCAGGCTCACTTTTTGTATAGGTTTTTCTCCCTGGAGAATCCTACATGCTGTATTGATGTCTCAATTCTGTGTGCTGCTTCTTCAGTGCTACCTTGCCCTGGCCAAAGGAGGCTTATCTGATGACCATGTCCTCATCCTGCCTATTGGACACTACCAGTCAGTGGTGGAGCTTTCAGCAGAGGTGGTAGAAGAGGTGGAGAAGTATAAGGCCACTCTGAGACGGTTCTTTAAGAGTCGAGGGAAATGGTGTGTTGTATTTGAGAGAAATTATAAGAGCCATCACCTCCAGCTACAGGTAGGTGGTCTGTTCATAGAAACTTGGAAGGGCGCTATGGGGACTTTGATATTGGTAAATAAGTATTTAAATAGGCTGGGCGAGGTGGCTCACGCCTGTAATCCTAGCACTTTGGGAGGCCGAAGCGGTTGGATTGCCTGAGCTCAGGAGTTCAAGACCAGCCTGGGCAACACGGTGAAACCCTGTCTCTACTAAAAGTACAAAAAAATTAGCTGGGCGTGGTGGTGCATGCCTGTAATCCCAGCTACTCGGGAGGCTGAGACAGGAGAATAGCTTGAACCTGGGAGGCAGAGGTTGCAGTGAGCCGAGATTGTGCCACTGCACTCCAGCCTGGGCAACAGAGCGAGACTCCATCTTTAAAAAAAAAATTATATAAAGTTTAGCTTTAATATGTAAAATATTTAATATTTTTATATTAATATTTAAATAACATTCATTTAAAAAGTTTTTAAAGAGTATCTGGTGGTAACCCCAGAGACTTCACAGGGAAGTGTGTGGTCAGTACATGTAAACAGCATAGATAGTAAGTTCCTTGTTTAGAAAAGGAATGGGTAGTTGAGGAAGTTCCAAGGAAGATGTGGGGCTTGCTGGATAAGAATTTGGAAGAAAGTGAGTATTTTGTGTGGAGGCCCAGCATGAGGGAAAGCTTAGTGGTAGGAAATAGTCTCAAAGCCTGCATGGGGCTAGCAGCTCAGAAAATCAGATTGTAAATCATTTGTAGTTGTGGTGGTTTTCTTTTTGGCACATTTGTTAAGTTTTCAAATGGGCCTAACTCTGCCACATATATAATATCGGAGATGGCAAAGGCTTGTGACGGAGATATCTCTCTTAAGCCTTTCCTGCATCAGAGAATGGCTCCCACATGTGTCAGGCTATCTCATAAGTTTAAGTCCTTACAGACAGGCTGACACAGGCTTGTCTGGCCTGAGGATATTCTGTGCTGAGGGGTGTTTCTCCACCCCTGTGATGGATTTGCTACTTCTCAGAGACTGTGCAGGCACAACTTCTCTGGGACCTGCACAAGGAATTTCTCCTGTCTCCCCAACCCCCAGGTCATTCCTGTCCCAATCAGCTGCTCTACTACTGATGACATTAAAGATGCCTTCATTACCCAGGCACAGGAGCAGCAGATAGAGCTGTTGGAAATCCCAGAGCACTCTGACATCAAGCAGGTGAAACAGGGGATGGTGATATTCAGGGAAGAGTAAATATCTGTTTTTTTTGTTGTTGTTTGTTGTTTGTTTGTTTGTTTGAGACAGAGTCTTGCTCTGTTGCCTAGGTTGGAGTGCAGTGGCATGATCTTGGCTCACTGCAACCTCCGCCTTCCGGGTTCAAGTGATTCTCCTGCCTCAGCCTCCCCAGTAGCTGGGACTACAGGCATGCGCCACCATACCTGGCTACTTTTTGTATTTTTAGTCGAGACGGGGTTTCACCATATTGGCCAGGCTGGTCTCGAACTCCTGACCTTGTGATCTGCCTGCCTTGGCCTCCCGAAGGTATTACAGGCATGAGCCACCCACGCCTGGCAAGATCTGGTTTTTGACATGTTGAGCCTAAGGTTTTTGACATGTTGAGCTATCAAGGCATTCCAAAAATGTTATTAAATAGGCAATGGGTTGGGCATGGTAGCTCACACCTGTAATCCAACACTTTGGGAGGCTGAGGCGGGAGGAGCACTTGAAGCCAGGAGTTTGATACCAGCCTGGGCAACAAAGTGAGACACCTTGTCTCTACAAAAAATAAAAAAATAAGCTTGGCATGGTGGCATGTGCCTGTAGTCTTAGCTACTCAGGAGGCTGAGAGTCAGGAGGATCACTTAAGCCTAGGAGTTTGAGGATGCAGTGAGGTATGATTGCACCACTGTACTTCAGCCTGGGCAACATCGCAAGACCCTGTCTCTAAAAAAAAAAAAAAAAAAAAGAGGCAGTGGACAATTTGGAACTAGAGCACTGGGTATTGACTAGACTGGAGATGAACAGGGCATTACTCCAAAGTTTAGTGCTTTCCTGGGAAGAGCAAGAAATTAGAATTTCCTAAGGTAGGAACTTAGAAGGATAGACGCCACTGGGAGGATATTGTTAGTATCTTCCAGTTAGACTTTTTAAGCCCTAGTTCCACTAAGTGGCTTGGGATCTATAGCAACATACATATCTTTTTTTCTTGTGCATTTAGACTGAATTATTTGCCTAGAGATGAACTCAGATTATAGATTTTTAAAGCATTATTGGACATCCTCATACAACTCTGTTTACTTTAGATTGCACAGCCAGGAGCAGCATATTTTTATGTTGAACTTGACACAGGAGAAAAGCTTTTCCACAGAATTAAAAAGAATTTTCCTTTGCAGTTTGGAAGGTATGTTTTTCTTCTTTTCAATGTATTTTCACTAGACCTGCTATGAACAGAGTGGTGGGCTACATGGGACAATTGATAAAAAGCTAAATTGTAAACAGTCCTTGCCCCAGAGGACCCATGGTCTTAGGGCAGATGTTTACATATATGACAGTAATGTAATGTAGAATGTGAAGAGTACCATGACAGAGTTTTGGAGAACAATGTGCTGTAGAAATTCAGAAAAGGGACAGCTCATTTCTAGTTGGTGAAAGCCTTCATGAAAGTGGCAAAGTTGAACCTGAGAGGCATATTTAGAGGGCAAAGATTGAGGTGAGGGCATTCTAGCCAGAAGTGCTAGGGAACTTTAATTGAGCACATACTCTGTGCCAAGAACTGTACCAAGAACTTTACACATACATGACTCATTTAATCTTCATAACTCTGTAAGGTAGGTACTGTCATCCCGATTTACCAGTGTGGAAAATGAGGCTCTAGAGCAGTGCCCGGTAGACTTTTCACAACGATGGAAATGCTCAAATATCTGCACTGTCCAATACAGTTGTGACTAGCCACTTGTGGCCACTGAGTGCTGAAATGTGGCTAATGTGACTGAGGAACTAAATTTTTGATTTTATTTAATTAATTAGAATTTAAATTTAAATAGCCATACCTGGCTAATGGTTACCCCACTGGATAGCAGGCTGTAGAGAGCTTAGGTAGCTTGTCCTAGTCACACAGTGGTAGGTTCAAACCCAGGCCTGTTGGACCTCAAAACTTGAGGTCTTAACCTCAGTGTTCTACAGTATGGTAAAGGCCTAGAGGAGGCTTCAGTTCTGTTCCTCGTATCAGGCAAAACATGACTGCAAAACCATAGAGGGAGTAACATAACTTAAGCAAAGATTGAAGATGGGAAGTTGCTGGCAAGAAGATACAGTTTGAAGGGGAGTGGAAAATGTGTAGAACAGAGTATCTGATGCTGGTGTCTGTGATTTGCAGCTGTTTTTTCTCCCCTAGTTAAAAATGGGCTTTGAGTGAGCCTTGAACCTGTCTTGGACTAATTCAGAAAGCCTCCAAGAGATTGCCCCCTTAGATAAGTCCAGTAAATGTAGTTGTCTACATTTTTCAAAAAGATAAATGGGAACAAGTGTGCTACGAGATTCAGACATCTGACGTGATGTTTTCGTTGTTGCCTCAGCAACAGATGCGGTTATGAACATTGACAACATAAGCACACGATTGCAGATACACATAGGCGTATAAAGCACACAAAAAGAAGATTCTCTGAATGGTTTTGTGCTTATGATGTATTTTCAATATTGAGTAATTATCAAGATACTAATTTATAGTTATATAGCATTTTATAGTTAACAAAATATTTGAAATGGCATATTTTTTTCAGCTGTACAAGAAAGGTAGTTCTATTTTCCTTTTATATTTGAAATAGGCTCAAAGTTTGCCCAGGGAGCTTAGGTTCTTTGACTTATAGAGAATTCATGATTTGTTTCTAACTCTTCTATTTACTGTAACTTCAAAGTGGAAAATGAACCATATAAATGTGTAATAGAATTATTTCTAATATATCAAAATAAGTAAAAATAAAAATATAAAGCAATGGCGATTAGAAGGCAGCTTGTGTGTGAGTGTGTCTGTATGTAGTTATTCTTTAGTCCTAAGAGCCAAGATAGTTGTTTTGTTGACATTGGGCTTGTGCTGCTGTTACGTGGGCCTGAGTCCCCTAGAAGGAGAGGCAGAGGAATTTTAAATCAGAGTGGGTATGACTAGGCTCCTGACTCTGCAAACTCATGTCTAGTTGAGGTGACAAAACTACAGTTTAAGGCAGGTTGTAATCACAGCTAATATGGCACTTTGACTGTGTTATCTCTGTACCTCACAAAAACCCTGTATGGTGGGTGTTCTTATTTGCATTTCATAGGTGAGGAAATCAAGACTCAGAGATGAAATCATCTGTCTAGATCATAGATAGCAAGTGGCAAAGCTGGAAATGGGATCCAGTCTCTGATCTTTCTCACACCAGGGCCTGCCCTTTTTCTATGTGGTGTTGCTTCTCTAAGTACCAATAATATAGTTCCAAGTTTTTTAAGAGAGGGAGAAGCAAGTGGGGTTTGAAGGATCAGGAAATATATAGTACCTGAGCTGGTCATTTAAAACGGGTATGATTTTGATCAATAGTATGGCAGAGATGGCACTCAGGGCAGGAGAGCAAAGTCAGAGAAATTTGCATACCTCCTTTGGGTGATGTTGAGGAGAGCTCAGGCTGATAGTTTCCATTTTGACTTCTTTGTGCTATTTCTGCAGGGAGGTCCTGGCCAGTGAAGCCATCCTTAATGTTCCTGATAAGTCTGACTGGAGGCAGTGTCAGATCAGCAAGGAAGACGAGGAGACCCTGGCTCGCCGCTTCCGGAAAGACTTTGAGCCCTATGACTTTACTCTGGATGACTAAAACAAAGGGAAGAACTTTTTATGAACTCCACAGGAAGTAGTAAAGCTTTTTTTTTTTTTTAATTAAAAGAATTTTTTTTGAGACAAAGTCTCGCTCTGTCACCCAAGCAGGATTGCAGTGGCATAACTGTGGCTCACTGTAGCCTCAACCTCCTGGGCTCTAGAGTTCCTCCCACCTCAGCCTCATGAGTAGCTGGGACCACAGGCGCATGCTACCATGCCTGGCAAACTTTTTTGATTTTTTATAGAGACAGGAGGGTCTCCCTGTGTTGCCCAGGCTGGTCTGTAATGCCTAGGCTCAAGGGATCCTCTGCCTTGGCTTCTTAACCTGCTGGGATTACAAGCATGAGACACCATTCCTGGCCTAGAAGCCTATTTTTAAAGAAACTACAATCTCCCATGGGGACTGTTTCCCTGCCTCTTTTGTGCAGTCCCATGGAACTTGCCTACAGCAAGAGGCCTAAGATTGAATCTTTTTGGGGAAAAGTCATTCTAGGATGAAAATCCTATGTTAAGGCCGGGCGCAGTGGCTCACGCCTGTAATCCCAGTACTTTGGGAAGCCGAGGCAGGTGGATCACCTGAGGTGAGGAGTTTGAGACCAGCCTGGCCAACATGGTGAAACCCCGTCTTTACTAAAGCTACAAAAATTAGCTGGGCGTGGTGCCAGGCACTTGTAATCCCAGCTACTCAGGAGGCTGAGGCAGGAGAATTGCTTGAGCCTGGGAGGTGGAGGTTGCAGTGAGCCAAGATCGCTCCATTGCACTCCAGCCTGGGTGACAGTGAAACTCCATCTCAAAAATAAAAGAATAAAAGTATGTCTGTCATCCAGCTCCTATGTCTGTTATCCAGCTCCAAGTACAGCTTGTGTATATCAACATTTTCAAAAACCTTTAAACTACCAAATGAAATCCAGATGTTTTTCCATGGTTGAGAAGTGTCTTGTGTTCATGTTGCCTGTGACCGTTGAAATGAAGTAGTATGTGTAATAGCAGGGGCTAGAGCTTTAGGCCCAGCTGTTACTCCAAAATCACACAGGGCAGTTTCTCCCTGAACAACCCAAAGTGGAAAAGGGATCCAAGGCTTTTGCTATTTTTCTCTTAAGCATTCATCTTATTCATAGATAAGAGCCCATTTAGTCCTTCGGATATTTAACTCCTATGTGCCAGGCATTTTTCTAAGCTCCAGGACCATAGTCATGTCCCAATATGGTCCCTGTTGTCCCAGAGATTACAGTTTAATGGGGAATAGAAGGGACAGATTTAAGAAAAAAAAGATAATTCTCCTTTGGATATTGTTTTAGGTGCTTGATATATCTAATATGTGTCTGTTGTGCTGCTGGGCAGTTCTAAACTCATCAGTACCTGGGTTGGTTACAGGGCTTTGGGGATCATCAGGGTATAGGCCATAGGTGAAATTAAGATAGGGTAAATACAGTCCTGAGCTGAAGATGATTACCTGAGAAATATCAGTATTTAAGGAGTGCTTGAAAATAGTGATCTAACATTTACATAGAGAAGGAGCAAAGAGAATGCTACATATTAGGCGCAAAAAGAAAAATATTTTTACCTTTATATTGGGCACTTATGGTCCAGACACTGTTTCATTTAATCTTCACAAAATCTCTGTGAGGTAGGTATTACCTCTATTTTACTCATGAAAAAAAAACTGAGACTCGGAAAATTGAAGATTGTGGAGCCTGGGGTCAACAGGCTTAGGCTTTTTAAAAAACAGGCCAGGTGGCTCATGCCTGTGATTGCAGCACTTTGGGAGGCTGAGGCAGGCAGATGACCTGAGATCAGGAGTTTGAGACCAGCCTAGCCAACACGGTGAAACCCCGTCTCTACTAAAAATGCAAAAAATTAGCTGGGCGTGGTTGCATGCGCCTGTAATGCCAGCTACTCGGGAGGCTGAGGCAGTAGAATTGCTTGAACCCTGGAGGTGGAGGTTGCAGTGAGCTGAGATCACACCATTGCACTCCAGCCTGGGTGACAAGAGTGAAACTCCATCTCAAACAATAACAACAACAACAACAAAAAACAACTCAAATTACTCATGGCCCTGGGAATGGGGGCATTTAAAAAGTTAACCAAGGGAACCAACCTGGTTTCCACAAAGATGGCCACTTCTGGGTCAGCCCAATCATCAGTATCCCTGGGTCCTCAGCATCCCTTCCTACCTCTTTTGACTGGGAATTACGAGATTACAGCCCCACCTACGGAAATTGAGCACATTAGCACTGGCCATGCTGTACATACAGCAAATGAGAGGGCTTCATACTGTTACAACAATCTGTACCACAATTCTCTGTGCGGTCTGCCCAGCTCTAAATGACATGTCCTCAGAGGCATCATCATCTCCAAGTCCATGGAAACCATGCACTTACAGAAACCAGAACCTCCCATACCACATGTTACTAATGACCTACAACATCGACTTCGTCTGTATCATGCAGTGCTCAACATTCTGGTTGCAGCATCACATTTATCAATAATTTGATTCCATGCTGATTCCTTTACTTGGAGTATTGAGATCCCCCAGGTACAGTGAAGGTATGACCCTCTTAAATGGAAGACCAGGAGTTGTTTCCCCTATGCTATGGCAATCCGCCACCCGGAAGCACTTGCTGCACCAACAGCATTCCCAAAGCTTGCCTCTGCAGCCCTGTAGCACCCATTAGAAACACTTCTCACAATGAACTACTGTGCTGGCAAACCCATAACTGGACTGCCGGACAGCAAGCTCTGTGAGGCATCTAGGAAAAAAGCTCGCGAAATCCCGAGAAACACTCTTCACTCCGGAATAGCGTCACATTCTTGAGTCATTTGGGATGACAGGGGATATCCTGGAGCAGGTGTATTGGGAAGTCAGTGAACAAGAAGGCTAATTCATTAGTGGGCCTGCTAGCGTAGTATTTTAACGATTTCGCAGCCTTTAAATCATTGGTGGTCTTTAGCGTGCCGGATCAGCTGGTGGTGGAGTTGGAGGATAGATGGCAGGGATCTGAAGAAAGGTGAAGTGTAGATAGGAGTAGAGACAATATGAAGTTTAGAAAAGACTAATTGCTGGACGCGGTGGCTCATGTCTATAATCCCAGCACTCTGGGATGCCAAGGTGGGAGGACTACTTGAGACCAGGAGTTCGGGACCAGCCTGGGCAACGTAGCAAGACCATGTCTCTACAAAAAATAAAAAATTAGCCAAGCGAGGTGGTGCGCGCCTGCAATCCCAGCTACTCGGGAGGTGAGAAGATCGCTTAATTCCGGGAGGTCGAGGCTGCAGTGAGCCGTGATCGTGCCATTGCACTCCAGCCTGGGCAACGGAGCGAGACCCCATCTTAATTAAAAAGAAAAAAATACAGGAGAGACTGGGCTGCTTTGAAAAGTGGATTTGACGGGAATGTGGGGTTTGGAGAGATCTTATGTTTTCCAAGACTAGAAAAACATTGTGGTTCCGTTCAGCCCTCCCGGAAAATACGTAGGGGACTTAAAGAGCGGACCGAGTACCTGTTTGTTTCCCCATCCCTTAGCCGGCAGGGCTCTGGCAGCGCCCTGGGAGAACTTAGGGAAGGGCCTTCTCGCAGCGGTTACCGGAAGTGACGCATTCATTCTCGCGAGAACAAAGACGCGCGAGCATCGGCGGCCCGGAACCGGCCTTGGAACAACTGTGGAACCTGAGGCCGCTTGCCCTCCCGCCCCATGGAGCGGCCCCCGGGGCTGCGGCCGGGCGCGGGCGGGCCCTGGGAGATGCGGGAGCGGCTGGGCACCGGCGGCTTCGGGAACGTCTGTCTGTACCAGCATCGGGTGAGGCGGGGCGTGAGAGGGAGCGGCGGTGGGTTGGAGCGGCGGTGGGTTTGAGCGTCTGTGGAACACAGGGCTGACAGTGTGGGATAGATGGTTGGTGGGACCTTGGGCAGTATTTGGGGGCCAGTGGGCTTGTGTGTGTGTATTAGAGAGAAAGATACTATGCCTGTGTGTCCAAAGTTGTATTTGAGGTACTGGGCATAGATAGAGCTGTTGCGGGGAACTTGGGTATGACTGTCAGGCTGTGACCAGGTGTTTAGTGAGTGTGACAGTGCGTGTGTGTCTCTGTGAATGTGGAGTGTCAGGGTGTGTGAGGCAGATGCACGTCACAGTGTGTATGTAGGAGCACGAATGTGTGAGAAGAGGGCTGAAGGGGACTGCCTTTGGGAATGTGTGCGTCCGTGTGTGTGTGTGTGTGTGTGTGTGTGTGTGTGCGCGCGCGCGCGCGCGCTTGGAGGCCATATGATATCAGTGGGGACTGGAGTAGACAAGGAAGGCTTCATGATGGGTCCAGAGTTAAGCCTTTGGAAGCATGGATGGGCTTTGGAATTGGGGATGTATTCCAGGTCGGGACAGTATGAGGGTGAGTTGGTGCAGAGCATGGCTTCAAACGAAAGGCTATATTAGTAGATGGAGATGGGGGGCGCTCTAGTAGGTGGAGGACAGTTAACATCAGACTCAAGAATTTTACTTTGATTTAATAGAGAATGTTTAACCATTGTAGTAGCAGTTAAAAAATCATATTTGGGTCTTGTTTGTTTGTTTTTGTTTTTGAGACGGAGTCTCACTCTGTCGCCCAGGCTGGAATGCAGGGCGCGATCTCGGCTCACTGCAGCCTCCTCCTCCCGAGTTCAAGCGATTCTCCTGCCACAGCCTCCTGAGTAGCTGGGATTACAGGCGCCCGCCACCGTGCCTGGCTAATTTTTTTGTATTTTTAGTAGAGACGGGGTTTCACCATGTTGGCCAGGCTGGTCTCGAACTCCTGACCTCAGGCGATCCACCTGTCTCAGGCTCCCAAAGTGCAGAGATTATAGGCGTGAGCCACGGCACCAGGCCTGGGACATGTATTTTTTGATATACCGATAAAAGCTGTGAACCCTTTCCCCAGAAAAATGCACAGATGCACATTCACACAACCATGCATTGCCATTTGAGAGGTTCGTGCCTTCCTAAAGGACATTTTAGGTAAATAGACCCTGGACTAATAATTCCTGTAATATAGGCTTTGTTTTGTTGCCTGTAAAGTAAGTATAGTATAATAATTACATGCATCATGGATTTGAGAGTTAAATAAAATAGTAATGTGTGTAAAGCTAAATACGGTACCTGACCCATGAAAGCCCTCAACTGTTAGCACCTGCTGCTACTTTGTTGTTGTTGCTGCTATGATCATAATGCTCCTCATTAATTGGCCTTAAGGAAATGTCAAGATAAAAAGTGTTGTTCTAGGAAAATGGTTTTGTAAAGGATAAATTTGAGTGGAACAACATATGGGACAAGATGAACAGGTAAGATCTTACTAAAATGCCTGGGCTTGGCTTGTGAATAGAGAAGTTAATTCAAGAGGAAAAGTAATAATTTGTTATCTAAAGGAACATGGGTGTAGTGAGAAAGCTCGTAATTTGGGGTGGGAGAAAGGGGAGATAGGAGTCTACCTTGGGAAAATAGGCATATTTAGGGTAATTAGAATGACAACTGAAACTGTTAGAACTGAGGAAGTTTTGTGAACCAGGTTTCTAGATAGGGCATAGGAGAAAATCTTGGAGAAAGAGAATGGAAGGTGAAGGACTAAGGCATTAAGTCCTGTGATAGCAGGATAAGTAGTAAATTTAATAATTCTCACCATCAGAGGGAACATAACACACTAAAAAAAAAAAAAAGTGGGAGCCAAGTGCTTCCAGTGGCATGTTGCCTGTGTTACCTAAGCCTGCCTATCCGCCTGGTCATAAGGAAAAAGGATGCATGCTGGCAGCTTTTGTGACTTCTTTTCTTGGTCCCTGGGTGGGGATGGATGAATTAATCACTTTTTGTTTTATTATGGTAAAGTATACATAACACAACATTTATCACTTTATTTTTAAGTGTACAGTTAGGTGGCATTAAGTACATTGACGTTGTTGTACAGCCATAACCCTATCTCCAGAATATTCCGACTTTTTTGTTGTTGTTGTACATCTATAAACTTCCCATAGAATATTCTTTGTGAAAAGGTAGAATTTCACAGAGTTGATGAAATATAAATTAAGGAGTTGAAGGATCTTACAAAGTGGGATTTTTGAAATAGATAACTTATTGCTCCATTAACATGAGCATTCAGGGCTCAGTGTTGTTCATGGTTGTGCCTGATTCTCATTTCCATGGTGGTAAAGGCCTGCATGGGACATAGATATAACTGGTCACCTGCTCATAACAAAAGGAAGATTGAAGGGAGTGAGAACTGTGGGTAGGCTAGCATGCAGTCTATCCTAGTTTCCTTCTTCTCTATGCACCAGGTATCATCTTATCTCTAGCTTCTTTTTTCCTCTCACCCTCCAATTCACACTACCCTATCCAAGCTATGTCTTGCTTCCCCACCTATAATATATTTTTTCTGTCCTGGCCCCTGGGCTCTTCTCTCTGTATTCATACACAGCCTTTATTACAACTCTGGTTTGTGTCAGAGATTACATATGTTGGAAATTCTTTTGAACTCTCCTTGTGATATCAGAAACATAGTGTAGCCTGTTTAGCCCTGACTGCTATTTCTGAGCTGCATTATTAATGTTGCCAGAATATGATGGGGTCTGGCTATTTCCTGTAATATGCATCAGAATGGGTTTAATTTCAGTCAGAATTGGCTAAATTACTAGTCACAGGCAAGAGATGTTAGGTTCATTATGTAGCTATGGAAGCAGAAGTACACTCATTGGTAGGATTTTTTTTCTTCATGTCATTTGAAATGCATACATTAGGATTGGAGTTTTTTGCTTTAGGCTTGGTTATATTAAAACTTTCTCTTGCTGTTTGGAGTCCAGGAAGCCCTGAATTACCTTCTTCATTTTAGTTATGCTAGAAGCTGGGGCACATATTAGTTGTCTTGATTAAGCTCTGAAAGGGGTTTGCTGAGGAGACAGGATCTTTTTTTTTCTAACATTATATATGAGAGAGAGTTCTGAAAAGACCTGTTATAAAATCAGTTTCAGGCACTTTTCCCTTGTATGCTGTTGTGTGTTTGAAGGTCAGTTTTAAAGCATTGGTGTAATAGTCTCATGGTTTATCTTTTTAAAAAGCATTGCCTCAAGAGAGCTGTGGATAAATATATTTAATTAGTAAAGCTAAAAAGTTTTGTTGTCTTAAGTTATTTCTTTGGTAGCAAATAAATCTTCACAAGAACCTAATTTTTTTTTTCTGTTGATTTTCTATTTTGGCAGGAACTTGATCTCAAAATAGCAATTAAGTCTTGTCGCCTAGAGCTAAGTACCAAAAACAGAGAACGATGGTGCCATGAAATCCAGATTATGAAGAAGTAAGTGTATTCCTTGACTTACATTTCCCTGGTTCTACAGCCCAACCAGATGTCATCATGGGGAAAGAGGCCAGGAATCCACTCTTCTCAGGATCTTTTTGGGAACATATATTTTTTTCTCTCATTAAATATATTCTATTTCAAATAATAATATCACATTAAGATTAAGAAGGTTTAGTTAAAATCAGCTAGGACACTTACACACTGTTGGTGGGAATGTAAAATTGTGCAACTGTTACGGAAAACAGTACGGTGATTCCTAAAAAATTAAAAATAGAATTACCATATGATCCAGCAATTCCATTTCTGGGTATATACAAAAATGAATTGAAAGCAGGGACTTAAAGAGTAATTTGTACACTCATATTCATAACATTATTATTCACAATAGCTGAAAGGTAAAAGCAACCCAGTATCTACCAGCAGAGACATGTATAAACAAAATGTGGTATATTCATGAAACGGAATATCATGCAGCCTTAAAAAGGAATGAAACTCTGACACATGCCACAGCATGGATGAATCTTGTGGACATTATGCTAAATGAAATAAGCCAGTCACAAAAAGACAAATACTGTGTCATTCCACTTATGTGTGGTACCTAGAGTAGTCAAACTCACAGTGAAAGAAAGTAGAATGGTGTTTGCCAGAGGGTGAAGGGACCAGCAAATAGAGAATAATTTTTAATAGGTGCGGAGTTTCAGCTTTGCAGAATTAAACAGTTTTGTGCAGTATAGTGATAGTAGCAAAACATTGTGAAAGTATTTGATGCCAGGCTGGGCATGTTGGCTCACACTGTAATTCCAACACTTTGAGAGGCTGAGGTGGGTGGATTGCTTGAGCTCAGGAGTTCGAGACCAGCCTGGGCAACATGGCAAAACCCCATCTCTACAAAAAATATAAAAACTAGCTATGTGTGGTGGTGCATGCCCGTAGTCCCAGTTACTTGGGAGGCTGAGGTGGGAAGATTGCTTGAGCCCAGGAGGTCAAGGCTACAGTGAGCTGAGATCATACCACTGTACTCCAGCCTGGGTGACAAGAGCAAGACCCTGTCTGAAAAAAAAGGAAAGCATCTTGATGCCACTAAACTGTACACTTAAAAATGGTTAAGGTGGTAAATTTTATGCTATGTGTGTTTTACCACAATCAAAAAACTATTTCATTTCAGTTAACAAAAGTCAGCTAGGGCCGGGCGTGGTGGCTCACACCTATAATCCCAGCACTTTGGGAGGCCAAGGCGGATGGATTACCTGAGGTCAGGAGTTTGAGACCAGCCCGGTCAACATGGCAAAACCCCATCTCTACTAAAAATACAAAAATTAGCCAGGTGTGGTGGCGGGTGCCTGTAATCCCAGCTACTTGGGAGGCCGAGGGAGGAGAATTGCTTGAACCCGGGAGGCGGAGGTTGCGGTAAGCTGAGATCATACCACTGCACTCCAGCCTGGGCGACTCCGTCTCTAAATAAATAAATAAATAATAAAAAATAAATTACCCCAACATTTAGTGGCTTAAAATAGCAAACATTTAGTATCTTATAGTTTCTGTGACTTAGGAATTTGGGAGTGGCTTAGCTGGGTGATTCTAGCTTAGAGTCTTTCCTGAGACATCTCAGGATATTGGTCGGAGCTGCAGTAATCCAAAGGCTTGACTGGGGCTGGAGTATCTGCTTCCATGCTCACTTATATGAATGTTGGCCAAAAGCATCAGTTCTTCGCCATGTGGGCCTCTTCATGGGGAAGCTTGAATGTTTTCATGACATGGAAGCTAGCTTTCCCCAGAAAGATCTTTTCCTCAGAAAGAGTGAGTGATCTGAGAGAGAGAGAGAGAGAGAGAGAGTGAACGAGCGAGCAAGATGAAAACCGACGTATCTTTTATGATCTTTACTTGGAAGTGAGACTCCATCCTTTTCCACCACATTCTGTTTGTTACAGTGAGTCACTAAGTACAGCCTACATTCAAGGGGAGGAGAGTTAAGCTCTTAAAAAGAGAAGTAGACATATTTTAAAACTTCCACAGGTAGTGTGCTAAGTACTTTACAGATCATTCTTCCAGTTATCACAGCAATCTTATATTTAGGTATTATTTTGCAAATGAGGAAGTTGAAGCTTATAGAATCACATAGCTGGTGGTTGGTAAAGTGTGGATTTGAAATAAATACTTTCTGACTCTAATATCTGTGCTTAATTCCATTTTGATTCTCAAACTTGGTTATGTGGCAGAATCACCAGGAAAGCTTAATAGTATAAATTATCAGGTCCTACATGTACATGGAAATTCTGTTTGCTTCTTTTTCTTTTTTTCTTTTTTTTTTTAAAAGAGATGTGGTCTTGCTATGTTACCCAGGCTTGACTTGAACTCCTGGGCTCAAGCAGTCCTCCCACCTCAGCCTCTGGAGTAGCTGGGACTATAGGCATGCGCCACCACACCCGGCTAATTTTTAATTTTTTGTAGAGATGAGGTCTCACTGTGTTACCCATGCTGATCTCGAACTCCTGGCCTCAAGCAATCCTCCCACCTCAGCCTCCCAAATTGTTGGGATTACAGTTACAACTACACCCAGCCTAGAACGCCAGATTTGACTTACTCACTGTGTGATCTTGTTACTTAGCCAATTTGTGCTTCAATTTTCTCCTGTGTGGTGAAAGTATTAATAAATCTACCTATAATAGGATTATTGTGACAAGTAACTGAGTTAATATATTTAAAATGTTTACTGCTTGGCACTTAGAAATGTAATAGTAGTAATAGTGATGGTATTTTTATGTGTGTTTTCTTTTAAAAAATTACTAATTTTTAATTATACAAATCAGAAATTAGAATATTATAAATAATACTGATCTTTCCCCCTCTGTTCATCCACCCACAATTAAGTAGCATTTCAAATCCAGTCCCTTTTTATTGGAAATAATTTTTTTTATTGTAATGTTTTTCTTTCTTATTAGGTTGAACCATGCCAATGTTGTAAAGGCCTGTGATGTTCCTGAAGAATTGAATATTTTGATTCATGATGTGCCTCTTCTAGCAATGGAATACTGTTCTGGAGGAGATCTCCGAAAGGTAGTGTGGATGTTTTGAGATGAGAGAGAGTAAATCACAAACTTTAGCAATGTTTGAATCATGTTAAATATAATAAACTAGAATAAGAATCGGAAAAACTATGGTCTGCTTCCTGTTTTGTAAATAAAGTTTTATTGGAACACAGCCACATTCATTTCTTTACACATTGTCTATGGCTGCTTTCTTATGGCTGCAGAAGTGAGTAGTTTTAACAGAGACTATGTGACTTGCAAAACCTAAAGTATTTACCATATGGTTCCTTACAGAAAATGTTGACTCCTGATTTAGAAAATGCATTTTTGTTGTTGCTGTTTGATGGGACTATAGCAATGGTGTTAGATGAAAATTTCAGTGGTTAAGGTGCTTATAAAAAGTTGTTTTCTGTATTGCAATCTTTTTTTTCTACCTAATTTTAAATGTGCCCATATGACCATTTTTATATATATCCATGAGATTTGTCAGCCTTTTCCAGTTTCAAATGCTTTTTGCCTCTTTTTACTTTTATGAGCCTTATCATGAAATTTACATGCCCTCAGTATGGATTTGGTAATTTTATTCCCTTGTATTTTATTATGACTTATTTTCTCATTTGAATATTCTTTTAGAGTATAGTAATTAATGTGTGGTCACTATTGCAGCCCAGCAATTTGCAGAACAGATTTTTAGATTTCTTTCTTTTTTTAGCTGCTCAACAAACCAGAAAATTGTTGTGGACTTAAAGAAAGCCAGATACTTTCTTTACTAAGTGATATAGGTACGTATCAGTATTAAAATACCATTGTAATGTAATGTCCCTTTGGCCCATAAAAGATCTTTTTGGGAATTCAGGAGAATTGTTGATACACTATACAAAGTCTATAGAATTTCAACATCTATAAGAAGTTATAAAAATCTATTACTATTGATGCTAAATTAAAACTAGGATATTTTGGCTAGGTGCGGTGGCTCACGCCTGTAATCCCAGCACTTTGGGAGGCCAAGGTAGGCGGATCACAAGGTCAGGAGTTCAAGACCAGCCTGGCCAACATAGTGAAACCCCATCTCTACTAAAAATACAAAAATTAGCTGGGCACAATGCCGCATGCCTGTAGTCCCAGCTACTCGGGAGGCTGAGGCAGGAGAATCGCTTGAACCCAGGAGATAGAGGTTGCAGTGAGCCGAGATTGCACCACTGCACTCCAGCTTGGACAACAGAGTGAGACTTTGTCACACACACACAAAAAGAAACTAGGATATTTTATTATTTATTTGTGGCTAAGAGTCCTTTTTTTGTCTAATAGATGTTCCAATAGCTGACAAAAAAATCATGTGAAATGACCTTACTCAATTTCTCTCCCCCCCTACCATTGACATAGTAATTTTGTTTACAGTGGAATTACATCTCCTTGAGGGATGGGTCCTCAAGTCAACTCTTTTTTGTTTGTTTGTTTTGAGACGGAGTCTAGCTCTGTTGCCCAGGCTGGAGTGCAGTGGTGCGATCTCAGCTTACTGTAACCTCTGCCTCCCAGGTTCAAGCGATTCTCCTGCCTCAGCCTCCCGAGTAGCTGGGATTACAGGTGCCCGCCATCACACCTGGCTAATTTTTGTATTTTTAACAGAGACGGGGTTTCACTGTGTTGGCCAGGCTGGTCTCAAACTCCTGACCTCGTGATCTGCCCGCCTCGGCCTCCCAAAGTGCTGGGATTACAAGCGTGAGCCACCGCACCCAGCCAAGTCAACTCTTCAGGGTGAAAAATCTCTGCTTAATCAGAATGACTCCAGAAAAATTCCTAAAATAACCAGTACCTAACCTTTTGGAGGAACCTCAAAAACCAAAAATTTGTTTCCCCATAGATTTTGGTTTTGCCTCTTTTCCAAGGTCATGAGGGCTAAAGTCCAATTGAAATGAGTGATTTAGGTGGGAGAAAGAGGCTTATAAGAGTTTCAGGGATTTTCCCAATTGCTTGTTGCATTTCTATTTGGTGTTAATTCTAATGAGTTAAATGAACATATAGTATAATTTTGTAGTATTTGTTTAATGTTACTTTTTTTTCTGTGAAGAAAACCTGGACACTGTAGTATTAGTTGTGTAGTTACGATGATCCATATAAACTTGAGCATCAGAGTAGATTTGTACAAAATGTGAGGTGAATTTTTCTTTTAACTCAATGATTTCTGTTACTTTAAAGTATATTTTAAACTTTATTTAGGGTCTGGGATTCGATATTTGCATGAAAACAAAATTATACATCGAGATCTAAAACCTGAAAACATAGTTCTTCAGGATGTTGGTGGAAAGGTAGGTGAAACCTGAAGTAATGTTTCATGCCTATTGAATATAGTCTCTCTGATATAGTTAGTCCTTGAGCTTTGGTGTCTTTGCTGTATGCCCATAACAGTCTTACTTTTTCCATTTCAGACCTCACCACACTGAACTGTAGTTTTGTGTTTAGTTTTTTTGTCCCTTCTGCTAAACAGTGGTTCCATCAGAGAAGGAACAGCACCTGCTTTTTTTTTCTTTTTCTTTTTTTTCATTTTTCATACTTAACCCAGCTCCTAGACTTCACCTGTCTTGTTCAAGTCTGTTTTTCCATCATAGTATCTAGCAAAGATACAGGCTGTGAATACATAATATGTTAACACTTATTATTTTATTCTTATGAAGCACATCCAAAACACATACATGCACATCCTGGGTCCACTTTAAGAAAAAAAAGAAAGTATATATATTTTTAAAACTTATTTTCCTTCCCCCAATTTAAATGAGTCATCTGGAGAAGAACCAGAAATTGTGAATTGACTCTTAAAATGTTCATTTCATTGGTAACTTAAGCAGTTTTCTTGTTTCCAGCATCCAAATTTCATTCCAATAAAGACTTAAAGGCCAAGAGTCTGAACCTTGTGTTGAGTTGTGTGTGCCGTCTCTTTAGTTAGTGAAAATAGTTGTTGGCCTCTTGGAGGTGTTGGAACCTTGGTGATGCCTCTTCTCTTAGGAACCTTTCACGTATGCTTGGCACCAAATATCTCTGCTTTTTTTTTTTTTAATCCAAAGACTTCAGGACATTCCTGAAGTTAGATCTAAGTATTTACTCACATTTAATCTACTATAAGGAGGTATGATGCTTCTTCAAGTTTGGAAGTCACCCTTGCCTTTACTTTCCAGTTTAATGGATTGAGCTTATTTTGAATATAGTAAAATAAAAATTAATAGCCCACCTGTATTCAATTTTTACCATGTACCAAGCACTGTGTTACCTTCTTTACTTTCGTTATTTCATTGGATCCTAATAACAATTCTGTGAAGCAGGGACTGTTAGTCATCCAATTAGATTACTGAGAGAGGTTAAATAACTTGGTAGATCACATGCCTAGTTAAGTGGTGGCACTCAGACTTGAAATATTTTTGTGTTATTACAGAGCCCAAGGTCCTCACCACTACCCTGTCTACAGCCTCGTAAGGATATTGTTGTCTTTCCTTTTTAAATTTCTCTACCATTTAATACTTAATCTGTCTTATTATTTTGCAGATAATACATAAAATAATTGATCTGGGATATGCCAAAGATGTTGATCAAGGAAGTCTGTGTACATCTTTTGTGGGAACACTGCAGTATCTGGTGAGACCTGTTTTGTTTCTTTGAATTTAAGTGTGTATAGGATTCTCTTATTTCTGAAGATCATGAATATAGTAGGTCAAAAATAAAGTAGCTTTTCCCATACAGTGTTGGTGTTTAAAGCATTTTCTCTTTTGAAGGCCCCAGAGCTCTTTGAGAATAAGCCTTACACAGCCACTGTTGATTATTGGAGCTTTGGGACCATGGTATTTGAATGTATTGCTGGATATAGGCCTTTTTTGCATCATCTGCAGCCATTTACCTGGTAAGAAATGGATGAGAACTTGGGCATGCTTAATGGGAATGGAAATTTTTTCATTTGTCTTTTTTTTTCTTTCTTTAATTGTTTAATTGCCTTTGAAATATACAATTAAATATAATTAAATGGCAAGAAATCTTAATTTGTGAGAATCACTTTGTCAACTGAGGTAGCTTTTGATTTTATAGGCATGAGAAGATTAAGAAGAAGGATCCAAAGTGTATATTTGCATGTGAAGAGATGTCAGGAGAAGTTCGGTTTAGTAGCCATTTACCTCAACCAAATAGCCTTTGTAGGTAAGTATATTTTAGTTAAGGAAGTTTGCCTCAGTTTCTCCAGAGTTGTAAAGGAGCAGGAGAGTAGTTGTCTGTTTCAAGTTGCATTATCCAGTAGAACTTTCTGTGATGATGTAGAAACCTTCTATATTTCTGTTGGCCACATGAGGTTATTGACTACTTGACATGTAGCTAGTTTGGCTAGAGAACGAATTTTGAATAAATAGTAAATATAAATAGCCACTTGGGACTAGTGGCTACCATTTTGGACAGCACAGGTCTGGTGGAAACAAGAACTGCCATTTAACTGTTTGACATATGTCCTAAGAAGGCTCTTAGGATAATGAAGTAAATGGGTTATTTGCAGAATGGATTTGGACTCATCCGTCAGAGTTGTCAGTAACTAACATATGTGGAGTTTTGAGTAGTTTTTGATGGAAAAAAGTTTGTCCCCTGTCATTTCATGAATTTGAAAGTAATTTATGAAATGGTACAGACAAGTGATGTGGGAAAGAAAATGGACAACCTGCAAAATTACCTTTCTAACAGTATAAAGGGAAATTGGAACATAATGATTTGATTTTCACCCTATTTTGTATGTTTTCTAGTTTAGTAGTAGAACCCATGGAAAACTGGCTACAGTTGATGTTGAATTGGGACCCTCAGCAGAGAGGAGGACCTGTTGACCTTACTTTGAAGCAGCCAAGATGTTTTGTATTAATGGATCACATTTTGAATTTGAAGGTTAGTCTTAATGGGTCTACTGCATAAGACCAGCATTGAAAGTAACAAGTTTATTTGGAAAATTAGCATAAATACAGTTTAATAATCTTTTCCTGTTGCTTATTTATTTATTTATTTTGAGACAGGGTCTCACTCTGTCACCTAGGCTGGAGTGCAGTGGCATGTTTTTGGCTCACTGCAACCTGCGCCTCCCAGGTTCAAGCGATTCTCTTGCCTCAGCCTCCCGAGTAGTTGGGACTAAAGGTGTGCACCACCATGCCCAGCTAATTTTTGTATTTTTAGTAGAGGTAGGGTTTCGCTATGTTGTCCAGGCTGGTCTCGCACTCCTGACCTCAGGTGATCTGCCCGCCTCCACCTCCCAAAGTGGGATTACAGGCGTGAGCCATTGCGTCCAGCCCTGATGCTTATTTGAAAAAGAAAATTATATTCTTAGAGCTGATTTTTTAAAAAGTTTATTTAGCAAGCTGTCTCAGTTTGCTTCTCTGTGGTCTTTGTTAATTACTCCTTTGAAGCAACTTTTTTATTTACCTTTTCCCATGTTGTTGCCATTATCCTCGATTCATTTATGTCTAGTCATACTGGATTTGATTTGGTAAGGAAGGTTCCTATCTGCCTTTCATGGCTCTGCACTTACTCCTTAACCTATAGTTCATTCAATATGTACTACCTATCTCATCTTCTGAAAATGCTTTTTTATTCTTCTGCCCAAGAAACTAACATAGTTCTTTTTTTTTTTTTTTTTAACAAGTCAAGTGTAAACTGATCTGCTTGGTTTTTTGGGGGGGCTTTCCCTAACCAAGTTTTGCCTTGTACCTGCTTCTCTTAACCTTTACCTCATACAAGACCAGCTTGTCACTGCTCCTTATGCCTCAAACCCGTTATCTACCTTTGTGCTTTGACAGATGCTATCCTTCTGCCTGGATATCCATTTCTGTGTATCTTCTCACCTACACTGGCATATCTTTAAGAGCTTTTCTTTAAATGGTCTCTGCCACAAAATTTGTCATTTAAAGGCTATATTCTCTTTCTCGTCTTCCATTCATGCATCTTCATATAGACTGTTGTCTTCTTCAATGTTGGGATTGTTTTACTTCTTTTATTAACAATCACCCACCCTACCCTTCCTAACCATGGCATTCTGTACAGAGCAGGGCATGTATCAGGTTCTTAGTAAATTATTTATTGATATGAATGAGAGCTATAGATAGTTCTATTATGCAGTGTACCCAGAAACAACTCTCATCAATAGTCTTTACATTTGTATTGATTGTTTGTAGTATACAGGTTTCTAAAATTGAAATGAGAAATTATAATCATGTAATGTTGGAGTACATGGCGAGATAGCTCACTTTAGTCTGCAACCCCTGAGCTCAAGTGATTCTCCTGCTTCAGCCTCCAGAGTAAATGGGACTACAGGTGTGCGCCACCTCTCCTGCCTAATTTTTAAATTTTTGGTAGAAATGGGGTCTCACTGTGTTGAGCAGGTTGGTTTTGAACTCCTGGCCTCAAGTAATCCTCCTACCTCGACTTCCCAAAGTGCTGAGATTACAGATGTGGGCTACTGTGCCCGACCTTGGCATACTTTATTAAATAGAAACTTGAGGCCATGTGGATGTCATTCTTGGCTAACACTGAAAAGATACCTGGCTTCTTCTTGATTTGGTTTCCTTCTAATGTGCCAAAGAATAAATTATCCCTCAGTGTGTTAGGAAAGCAGGGCTTTAGTTCTGTGTTGCCTCTGAAACATTTCAGCTGTGAATGAACCACATCTCGCATTTGTTTCATACTTGTCATAGGAATCATAGCATAGTTTCTGCTCTGAAGGGCATCTGTGAGCCTCTTGTTATAGGGCACGGGGAAAGAGTCCACATTATGGAGTTTATAGTTTACAGACTTTAATTCAGTTTGCAGCACCACTATTTACCTATCTGTGAACCTGAGCAAATGTCTCTCTATCTCAAGGACAGTAATATCTTCCTCAAAGCATCAATATTATTATGAGGTTATGCAGAATAAGGTATGTATAAGGTACTAGTTATAGTAGTTCAAGAAGCTTCAAGGATGCTTGTTAGACATGATAATAGGACTGAATTTTGAAGAATGAGAGTTTTTAGGGAAAGGGTGAGGGCGGGAGAGATTTATAGGCAGCAGAGCATCATGAGCAAAAGTACAGAAGCATGAACTGCAAAACAGCTTGGTGTTACTGTAGGACATTTTCCCAAAATGTTTATATATATTGTACAAGAAAGGAATGATGTCTGTTTGATTTTCACTTAAAAAAGGAAGCAACAAAACAGTTACTGAAATATTTCCCTTTTGAAAAAATAGCTTAGCAAGTCTGATTGTATGCATATTTTCCAACTGTTTATTATGAACATCTTTAGATATGTAGAAGAGTTGAAAGAAGTGTACTGAACCTACCACTAAAAATAATGATGAAACAGTAGCATTTAATTATTATTTTTTTTTGCCTCCTCTTTCACGCCCCTAAATGTAACTATATTCTGAGTCTCTTCTTGGTTCTCTCTTTTTCCATTACATTTCCTTTCTTTTATTAGGCAGCCTCTTCAACTGTATAGCTTTACTTATAAACTACATATGGCTAACTCCTAAAGTTATTTATCTCTGTAGCTGTGACTCTTCTGCCAAGGACTTATAACTGCTGTATAACTGTATAACTACCTGGCTGTTCCACTGGCACTTACAACTTAATTTATTAAAAACTGAACATATTTGTTCTATCCATTAAATCTACTTCTTTTTTTTTTTTTTTTTTTTTTGATATGGAGCCTCACTCTGTCTCACGATCTCAACTCACTGCAACCTACACCTCCTGGGTTCAAGTGATTCTCGTGCCTCAGCCTCCCGAGTAGCTGGGATTACAGGTGCCTGCCACCGTGTCCAGCTAATTTTTATATTTTTGGTAGAAATGGGGTTTCACCATGTTGGCCAGGCTGGTCTTGACACCCTGACCTCAGGTGATCTGCTCACCTCGGCCTTCCAAAGTGCTGGGATTACAGGCATGAGCCACTGCACCTGGCCCATTAAATCTACCTCTATAGATTTCCTACACTTCTTATTTGCACTGTCACCTTTCCAGTTACCCAGGTGGGAAACTTTGGATGTGTTGACTCTTCCTTTCTCTTCAATCGATATATCCAATTATTTTATCAAATTTATCTTTTGAATATCTTAACAATTTTGAGCTTGCCAGGTTCTCAATTTAGAAAGGCTTGCATAGTTTTCTTTCACTTATTGAATAAAGTCCAGACCCTTTCATTGGTACTCAAAACCTATCTTGGTTTCATATCAACTTACACTCCTGGACTTATCTCTTACTAATGCCCTGAGAGGCCATCATTTTAGGTACATTTGAACTGGATTAATTGTATTCTCTGATTATGCCCATCCCTTTCTACTTTTCTGCTTCTGCTCACCTTGTTTTCTGCCTAAAGGAACTCTTTTCAGTCTTTTCCCATTTCAGTCTTTCATTTCAAAGTTTAGCTCAAGTAGTGCCTCCTTTATGAAGTGCCTGCTTCCTACTGCCAAGTGTATGATACTTTACACTGATTATAACACCTATCACATTTTGCCTGGTACCTTAGTTCTCTTAGTATATCTTAATATCTTCTGTTTGACTATAACTGTATGGAAGGCAAGGATCATAAGGTACTCAGTTTGTATACCCACTACTACCACCACAACACACTTAATAGTATGTACCAATAGTATGTACCTACCAATAGTAGGTACTCATTAAATATTATAGTGAGCAAAAAGATAAATTTAGGTTGTATTTCCTCTTCTTTCTTTTGCTTCCTTCTGGCCTGGAGCTTTGGTAGTGAGATGCCATGATGACATACTCTAATATCCTGTGTAAAAGTAGATGTCCATTATAGGATTTTCTATTGCTATAAGTGGCAGCTGTCATAGTGTGAAATCTGCCTAAATTGGGAAGGCATGGAAAGTCTCAGGTAGTATAATTGTATTGCAAATCCGTATCAGTTTTGAAGATTTCCCTACTCCCCTTTTAAACATAAAGATTTATATTAAAGAAAAGTCTCTTAATAAGAGAAATACTGGCAATTGTGTTATGACATTTGGAATTCACATGAAAAGGATCAGCTTCAGGTTATAAAAACAGTTTGGTATTTCTTTTTTAAAATTTTGTTGATACAGGTGTGGTGGCTCATGCCTGTAATCCCAGCACTTTGGGAGGTGGAGGCAGGCAGATCACTTGAGGTCTGGAGTTCGAGACCAGCCTGGCCAACATGGTGAAACCCCATCTCTACTAAGAATACAAAAATTAGCCAGGGATGGTGGTGCATGCCTGTAGTCCCAGCTACACGGGAGGCTGAGGCAGAAGAGTTGCTTGAACCTGGGAGGTGGAGGCTGCATTGAACCAAGATCGCACCACTGCACTCCAGCCTGGGTGACAGAGAGAGACTCTGTCTCAAAAACAAACAAACAAAATTGTTAATACGCTTTTAATTTTTTTTTTTTTTTTTGAGATAAGAGTCTTGTTCTATCACCCAGGCTAGAGTACCATGGTGCAATCTCCACTCACTGCAACTTTCACCTCCCAGACTCAAGTGATTCTCTCGTGCCTCAGCCTCCCGCGTAGTTGGAATTACAGGTGTGCGCCATCATGGCCAACTAATTTTTTGTGTGTTTTTAGTAGAGACAGGGTTTTGCCATGTTGGCCAGGATGTTCTCAAACTCCTGTCCTCAAGTGATCTACCTGTCTTGGCCTCCCAAAGGGCTGGGATTACAGGTGTGAGCCACCGCGCCCAGCCTAATTTTTTAAATTGACAAATAATTATACAAATTAATGGGGTAAATAGTGATGTTTCAATACATGCACTGTGTAGTGATCAGATTAGGGTAATTAGCATATCCATCAGCTAAAACATAATTTCTCTGTGTTGGGAATATTCAGTATCCCTTTCTTTTTTCTTTTTTTTTCTTTTTCTTCTTTCTTTTTTTTTTTTTTTGAGACAAAGTCTCACTCTGTCGCCTGGAGTGCAGTGGCGCGATCTTGGCTCACTGCAGCCTTGATCTCCCAGGTTCAGGCGATTCTCCTGCCTCAGCCTTCTGAGTAGCTGGGATTATAGGCGTTGTGCCACCAAGCCCAGCTAATTTTTGTGTTTTTAGTAGAGACAAGGTTTCACCATGTTGGCCAGGCTGGTCTTGAACTCCTGACCTTAAGTGATCTACTTGTCTTGTAATCCCAAAGTGCTGGGATTACAGGCGTGAGCCACCACGCCCAGCCTCAGTTTAGTATTTCTGTAGCACCACTTATTTGGGCATCTGTGTTAGGATTTGTAAGTGGAAATAATAGTGGGCCTTCAAACTAAAAAGTGTACAGTAGAAAAAATAATCAACAAAACGAAAAAGCAACCCAACCCATGGATTGGGAAAAGATATTTGCATACCATACATCCAATAAGAAATTAATATCCTAAATTTATAAGAAACTCATGCAACTCAATACCAAAAATGTAAATAACCCAATTTAAAAATGTGCAAAGGACCTGAATTAGACACTTCTCAAAAGAAGAAATTCAGATGGTCAACAAACATATGAAAAGGTGCTCAACAACTCTTAGCATCAGGGCGATGCAAATCAAAACCACACTAAGATATCACCCCCCACCTGTTGGGATGGCTATTATCCAAAAGAAAAAAGATAAGCGTTAGTGAGGATGTGGGAGAAAAGAAATCCCTTGTACACTGTTGGTGGGAATGTAAATTATTACAGCTATTGTGGGAAACAGTACAAAGGTTCCTCAAAATTAAAAATAGAACTACTGGCCGGGCATGGTGGCTCATGCCTGTAATCCCAGCACTTTGGGAGGTTGAGACAGGTGGATCACATGAGGCCAGGAGTTCGAGACCAGACTGGGCAACATGCAGAAACCCCATCTCAACTAAAATTACAAAAATTAGCTGGGCATGGTGGTGCACATCTGTAATCCCAGCTACTCCGTAGGCTGAGGCAGGATAATTGCTTGAATTCAGGAGGTGGAAGTTGTAGTGAGCTGAGAGATCATGCCACTGCACATCAGCCTGCGTGACACAGCAAGACTCTGTCTCAAAAGAAAAAAAAAAAAAATAGAACTGTAAGATTCAACAATGTCATTTCTTGGTATATATCCAAAGGATTTTAAAGCAGGCTTGTGAAGAGATATTTGCACTCCCATGTTCATTGCAGCATTATTCACAATAGTCAAGATCTGGAAATAGCCTAAATGTCCTTTGACAGATGAATGGATAGGGAAAAAGTGGTATATATACACAGTGGAATAGTATTCAACCTTAAGAAAAAGAAGGAAATTCTGCCATTTAGGACAATGTGGATGAACCTGGAGGACATGTTAAGTAAAATAAGCAAGTCACAGAAAGAGAAATACTGCGTGATCTCACTTACATGTGGAATCTATAATAGTTAAATTTAATAGAAGCAGACCATAGCATCATAGTTGCCAGGGGCTGCAGGGATGCGGGTGCGGGGGTGTATGTAGAGATGTTTATCAAAAGGTCCAAAAATTACGGCAGCAAAAGAAAAAAAAGGTACAAAAATGACAACTATGAAGAGGTGACAGATATATTAATTAGCTGAAATGTGATAATTTCACAACGTATATCAAAACATCAAGTTGTATAACTCAAATATATAACATTTTTATATGTCAAATTAAATTGTCACAAAATAAAATATGTAAAAGATAAAGCAATAAATCAGGAGAGGGGGTTATGATAGATGAAACAAGATAGGCTCTATGTAAATGATGGTTGAAACTAGGTGAGGCATTCACAGGGTTGGGAGGGGGCTTATTGTACTGTTGTCTATAGTTTTGTGTCTTTGAAAACATCAATTCAGATTTGTGTTTTAAAGGGAAAAAAATAATAGTGGACTTGGATTAATGCCTTACCTTTGTAGTAAGGATTTTCAGCAGAGAGAATTTTAATCATTTGCATATACTAGTCAATGTAAGGCATGGAGAATGTAGGCATTAATTTCGTATGGCTTTTCTAAGGATACTGGAAGGAAGAGAATTTAAAATCATGTTCTTTTCAAAAGACTGAAGTCCAACTCTGTGGCTGTCCGCGCTGACAGGTGGGGACAGAGCCCCACCTGACTCAGCCTCACACTCACTTGGCATGTATCAGGCTACTTTTACTGGGGCTTTAGGTGAGAGTGATAAAACGGTTCTTACTTGATTTGGGGCCCTTAAGCAGGTTGCTGCTCTGGGATTAGGTTGTCTTATAAAAAGGTAACTCACCACGCATAACAATGCTTTTTCCTGTTTAAAGAGAGACCTAGTTCTTCTATCAGATGATTTCTTAAGGCAGCATGAAGTAGCCAGACACAAAAAGAGTTAAGATCCAAGCTCTACCAGTTATTAGCTGTGTGATCCCTAACAAGTTATTTAACTTAGAACTCTGGTTTCTTTCTCTGTTTAAAATGGAGATTAAAAGATCTAATTATTGGGGATGTTATGTGAAAGTGGTTTATGCCTGTGGTTGTCTTCTGTTAGGCACTTCATGAATTGGAATGTTTCCTTTTCGGTCTATGATAATGTTTTTTTCAAAATAAATAACTTAGGCCGGGCGCGGTGGCTCACGCCTGTAATCCCAGCACTTTGGGAGGCCGAGGCGGGCGGATCACGAGGTCAGGAGATCGAGACCATCCCGGCTAAAACGGTGAAACCCCGTCTCTACTAAAAATACAAAAAATTAGCCGGGCGTAGTGGCGGGCGCCTGTAGTCCCAGCTACTTGGGAGGCTGAGGCAGGAGAATGGCGTGAACCCGGGAGGCGGAGCTTGCAGTGAGCCGAGATCCCGCCACTGCACTCCAGCCTGGGCGACAGAGCGAGACTCCGTCTCAAAAAAAAAAAAAATAAATAAATAAATAAATAAATAAATAACTTGTTCTTTCAAATTGGGATTTTTCTTAATTTTGAAAATTTCTTAACTTTGAAATTTTATTGTTGGAACTAACATCTATTGTAGAAAAGGAAATTGTTCAGTTTTCAGAATGTCATTTTATAATTATAAAAGGAGATCTCACTTTGGAGAATGAGTGAGCCTTGTTTAATGTAGAAATAATGCCTTTTGCCCATATTCACCTTTTAGTATCTGGCAGCGAATCTTTTATGTAACAAATAATCAATAACTTTACCTTTTTTTCTTATTTATACAGATAGTACACATCCTAAATATGACTTCTGCAAAGATAATTTCTTTTCTGTTACCACCTGATGAAAGTCTTCATTCACTACAGTCTCGTATTGAGCGTGAAACTGGAATAAATACTGGTTCTCAAGAACTTCTTTCAGAGACAGGAATTTCTCTGGATCCTCGGAAACCAGCCTCTCAATGTGTTCTAGATGGAGTTGTAAGAAAATTAATTATAATATCCCTAGAGTATGTGAAATCTAGAGGGATTGCGTGCCCTGCAATTTTTATGCATACTTGGAATTCCTTGGGAGGCCGCACATTTTGTTTTGGTTTTGTCCTTCTCCCAACTCTTATCATTGCTTTGCAAGGTGAACAGGATAGAAATGAAACATTTGTTGTTTTGAACTTTGCAAGACTTTTTCTTTGGTGCCAGTTTTCTGCTCCTGTTCCCAGACCAAACTGAGGGTCAGGCTGCTTACTCTCGCGGCCCAATAACGAGATGCAGATGAATTGGGAGAGATGGGAGTTTTTATTTCTGTAACCAGTTACAGGTAGAAGGCCTGGAAATTACCGCCAGACCAACTCAAAATTACAAAGTTTTTCCGTAGTTTATTTATCTTCTAAGCTATATGTCTATGTGTAAGTTTGCATTCATCTAAAGACATAAGTGATTAACTTCTTTTAATCTGTAGCTGAGGTCTGAGTCTTGAAGACATTCCTCTGGAGCCTCAGTAAATTTACTTACTCTAAATGGGTCCAGGTGCTGGGGTGATTACCCTTATCTTGTCTCCTATTAAATCACAGAGGTTTAAGGAGTTCCTTCAGACCCCCAATAAACTTGTTTGTGGAGGCCTGGGGTTTCTTCAGACCCCCAATAAAACTTATTTAATTCTGAACGGGTCCTGTTAAGAATTCCTTTGTTATTTTGCTTTTAGGCCTGGGAAAGGCCTGGGCAGAACTCTTGGTAGGCTTTGGCTACATTTCAGCCTTTGTGTAAGGGCACTGGCTCTTCCAGTTTTTTTTTTTTTTAGACAGTCTTGCTCTGTTGCCCAGGCTGAAGTGCAATGGCACAATCTCAGCTCACTGCAACCTCCGCCTCCTGGGTTCAAGTGATTCTCCCTGCCACAGCCTCCCAAGTAGCTGGGATTATAGGTGCCCACCACCATGCCTAGCTAATTTTTTGTATCTTTAGTAGAGACGGGGTTTTGCCACTCCTGACCGACCTCAGGCGATCTGCCTACCTCGGCCTCCTGAAGTGTTGGGATTACAGGCGTGAGCCACTGCACCCGGCCACTCTTTCAGCTTTTAATATTTAACTTCACCACTCAGTCGTGCTGAAACAGTTGTTATTTAGGCCTGCATTAGTGAGACCTGGCCTGCCACACTCCCAGTTAATATTCCTTCTTGGCTTGGTGCAGTGGCCCATGCCTGTAATCCCGGGACTTTGGGAACCCAAGGTGGGTGGATTGCTGAGTTCAAGAGTTCGAGACCTGCCTGAGCAACATGTTGAAGCCCTGTCTCTACAAAAACTACAAAAATTAGCGGGGTTTGGTGGTGCACCCCTGTAGTCCTAGCTACTTGGGAGATTGAGGTGGGAGAATCACTTGAGCCCAGGGAGGTTGAGGCTGCAATGAGCCATGATCACGCCGCTGCACTCCAGCATGGGTGACAGAGCAAGACCCTGTCTCAAAAAAAAAAATTTCTTTTTGTATTTGAAGCCCAGTACTCTGAAACTACTGTGAGAACAGCAGTCTCATAGGTCCTGCCAAAGGATAAATGGGTGGTAAAATATGACTGTGGTCATGACTTTTTCCCCCATTTTTCTTTTTATGACTTTATTGAGGCATATTATCATGTTAGTTCCCATTTAAGGTGTACAATATAGTGATTTTTTATTTCTTTTTTATTAACTTGTCACTGACTTGATGCTCAATTACAGTGATTTTTTTTTAAAGTAAATTTACCAAATTTTGCAGCTGTCACCATAAATCAGCTTAAAAACATTTCCATTAACAGTCCATTAACTGTTAATCTCCATTCTGTCCACCCCAGGAAACCAGGAATCTATTTTTTATCTCCACAAGTTTGCCTTTTCTGAACATTCCATATAAATGGAATTATGTAATATATAGTCTTGTGTCTGACTTTTTTTACTTGCCTTGTATTTTTGAAGCCCGTGCATGTTGTAGCATGTATCAGTACTTCATTCGTTTTGATTACCGATTAGTTTTTTCACTGTATATATCTTTTTGCATTTGTTCTTTGGGTTTTGGTGATTGTTCACTTTAGCCCATACAAAAGTTTGGGTCTTTTTTCCTCAACAAAAGTTTGGACTCTGTTATCTGTAAGAGATATGGTAATACACATTGATTTTGTTCATTTGCATTTCAAAGTAGGAAATCTGGTGCATAAGTATTTAGAAAACCTAGGATTTTCAAAGATCCTTGAACAGGATTTTAACTGTTTGTTTCTTTTTCAGAGAGGCTGTGATAGCTATATGGTTTATTTGTTTGATAAAAGTAAAACTGTATATGAAGGGCCATTTGCTTCCAGAAGTTTATCTGATTGTGTAAATTATATTGGTAAGTCCAGTCCATTTAGTGGCTGAGCTTTAAACATGAATTAATATAACTTTGACTCTCAGTATGATTAGTAGAAATGGACTTTTGGTGTTGTGTTCTGTATCTCATACTTGAAGTTTCTATATGGAGTTATATGAGAACTCTGAAAAATGGATTTATATAGTTTGGAAGGTGAAAAGGTAGATATTAAATCTCCATGAGATCATTCAAGAGAAGATTTACTTTCTTGAGGATAGGGCTCTCACAGGAGAATGAAACTTCACTATTAGTTGAACCTGCTTTTTAATTGTCTCTTCATAGTCTAAGCATGTTCAAGTATTTATTTCATTTTTCCTGTGAATACTGCTTGATGTTCAAATGTTTTAATTTATCCTGTGAAAATTATTCTTTTCTTTTGAACAAGTTAAGTGTTTGATCACTGTATATCTGTCCAAATAAAGTAAAGCACAAAATTGTAAAATCAAGAACAAAATTGAGCAGAGGGGCTAAAATGTATGTAATCTTACTTTTTTAAAAGTCTTTTTATTAGTTTTCTTTTGAATTTTTCTTTTAAATTGAGGCAGTTTACATAGAGTGAAATTCACAGATCATATAGTTTGATAACTTTTGACAAATTTAGATACTTGTGTAATCCACACCACAGTCATCATGTAGAACATTTCTTTCACCTTAGAAAGTTCCCTCATGTCTCTTTTCAGTCAACTCCCCTTGCCCCAGACTTTATTACTATTTTACTAATGGACTTTTTTTTTTTAAGAATGGTTTTAGATTTGCCAAAAAATTGGGCAGATAGTACAGAGTTCTCATATAACTCCCCTCACTCACGCATGTAGTTTTTCCTATTGTTAACATTTTACCTGGGAGGCGGAGGTTGCAGTGAGCCAATGTCACACCACTGCACTTCAGCCTGGGCAACAGAGTGAGACCTTTCTCAAAAAAATAAATAAAAAACATAAAATATTTAAAAATATTAAAAAGTAAAAAAAAATCTATTTTACATTAGTATGATGTATTTGTTACATTTAATGAACCCATTTATTATTAATTGAAGCCCATACTTTATTCACATTTCCTTCATTTTTACCTAATATCCTTTTTCTGTTCTAAGATCTCATCTTAGAACACATTACATTTGGTTGTCATGTCTCTTTAGCTCCTCTTTGCTGTGACATTTTGTCAGACTTCAAATAGTCCTTGTTTTTGATGACCTTGACAATGACCTGAGGAATACTAGTCAAGTATTTTGTAAGATGTCCCTCTGCTGAAATTTGTCTTTTTGTTTTTGTTTTTGTTTTGTTTTTGAGATGGAGTTTCACTCTTGTCGCCCAGGCTGGAGTGCAATGGCACAATCTTGGCTCACTGCAACCCCCACCTCCCGGGTACAAGCGATTCTCCTGTCTCAGTCTCCCGAGTAGCTGGGATTATAGGTGCACACCACCACGCCCAGCTAATTTTTGCATTTTTAGTAGAGACAGGGTTTCACCGTGTTGGCCAGGCTGCTCTTGAACTCCTGACCTCAAGGGATCTGCCCGCCTTGGCTTCCCAAAGTGCTGGGATTACAGGCGTGAGCCATCACACCTGGCTCTTGTGTGTATTCTTAAACCTGGATTGTTGGTCCAGAATATGAAATTTATTATTCAGAGGTAGGAAAGACTCAGAGGAGATGGGACTTGATTTAGAACTTGAAAGAAATAATTTGGATTAGCAGAGAGAAAAAGAGTATTCCAGGTTGCAGAAAAGCAAGCAAAAAAGACAGATACAGGAATAATCTCAAGCTCTGTGAGTGTAGCGATTGTGTCATTTTTATTTCCCCCCTTGTATGTGGAGCGGGGCTTAAGTATTGCAGGTGCTCTGTAAATGTATATTGAACTGAATTAAATGGAAACAAGTGGTTCTTTTAGCATCAGTTTCTAGCATCTATGGGAATCCTGTTTGTGTGGACAGGAAATCACAAAGAATGATAAATCAACTCTAAAATCCTCAAAAGTAACTAACCTCCCTTGCCCTTTTTCTCATCTTCTTGTATATAGTACAGGACAGCAAAATACAGCTTCCAATTATACAGCTGCGTAAAGTGTGGGCTGAAGCAGTGCACTATGTGTCTGGACTAAAAGAAGACTATAGCAGGCTCTTTCAGGGACAAAGGGCAGCAATGTAAGTGGATTCTGTTGTTTATAAGCACAATGCAATGTGCATCATATACTCAAGAATTAATCTTGCCGGTTTTCACTAATCAATATTGCATGTAATAGTAACATACTGGGCCAATTTGAAGTGTAATGTTCTGATAAACTTGTAGAATTCTTACTAATGGACTGAGACCATTCTATTGTAATGGCTTGAGGGTAATAATTCCCATACGGTCCTAGTATAAAAAGATTGTTTATCACAAAATATTATAGGCAGGAAGTCTTTAGAGATCAGATTCTAGAGCTCAGTTATTTCTCATAGATTGATAATAGAAACTTAGGCTTTGGCCTTGTGGCAGTTTATGTTTTTACATTATTGTTCAATGTTTCTGAATGCTGATAATATCTTTTTTCTTTTTCTTTTTTTTCTTGCTGTGGTTTAGGTTAAGTCTTCTTAGATATAATGCTAACTTAACAAAAATGAAGAACACTTTGATCTCAGCATCACAACAACTGAAAGCTAAATTGGAGTTTTTTCACAAAAGCATTCAGCTTGACTTGGAGAGATACAGCGAGCAGATGACGTATGGGATATGTAAGTGTCTGTGTAATGTATTTGAAAGGAGCATCTGGTTTCTTGAAGCCATCTGTTATTTTGCCTTCTTAACTCAGCCAGTTGTTTTACTTACCTTCACATTAGAACAAGAGACAGGACAACTTAAATTAACATAAACCATGTTTGTTTTGAATGTTACCTCTTTTTTTAAATTTGCTTAGTTGAGCAATTTAGCTTCACAATTGGGCTAAAATTATTTAGCTCTAAAAAAATACAGGTGCGATTTAATAATCTTGAATTTCAAACCTGATTTTAAAATAAATACAAAATCTGGACTTCTTAGCCAGTGCTGTGGACTGAATGTATCCCCCCCAAAATACATATGTTGAAATTCTGACCCTGAAGGTGAAGGTGTTGGTAGGTGGAGCCTTTGGGAAGTGATTAGGTCATGAGAGTAGAGCCTTCCTGTTTGGGATTAATGCTCTTACAAAAGAGACCTGAATGAGATCCCTCATCCCTTCTGCATGTGAGGACAGAGCAAGAAGATGGTCATCTAGGAACCAGAAAGCAGGCCCTCAAATCTGCCTTGTTCTTGGACTTCCCAGCCTCCAGAACTATAAGAAATAAATTTCTGTTGTTTTTATGGCACTTAGTCTATGGTATTTTGTTATAGTAGTCCAAATGGACTAAGACAACCAGGGGAGTCTTAAACTGCTTACTTTTCTGTAAATAATGACACAAATATTCTAAGGCTATGTTTTTTTCAAACCATCTACTGTGGAGTCCTACTATTTTTTAGTGTACACAGTCTCCAAATTTTCCATATTTGACTCCAAGCTTATCTCCTTCAGATGTACTAAGGAAGTGTAAAAAAACAGAGTTAAAATATGAGTAAATTGAAGGAGTCATACTACCAGCATTTCTGTTTTCTTTTATAAAACAAATCCTTTTTAGGAAACAAATACTTGTTTCCTAAAAACATATACTTGTCCTGAGCAAACTCTGTGTATCTCAGAGTAAACAATCAATAGTGTCCAGTTGGGTGAATGAATTTACTCTCCAGAACTGGTTTTATTAATATTATTGATATTTTATTTCTATTTATATATTATTGATATTTTATTTCTATTTGTATATTATTGACATTCTGGTGAGTGATAAAACATTATAATTATTTCATTAAAATATCTTAGACTTGTCAAAGGCTTATTATACAATTGTTAAAGAAAAATGAGGTAGATCTATATGTGCTTTTATTAAAAGATCACCTAAGTCTTTAGTTGACAGTTTTAAATTGTGGGAAAAAATAAAGAGTATACAGATGTTTTCACTTGTGAGGGAGCAGGCTATGTGTCTATGTAACAGATAATCATAGTAAGGTCCCTTGAGGTGGATGGTAGAGGGGTAGAAGAGAGAGTCTTTTCTGTTTATATCCTTTTATAGTATTTAATTTTTAAAAATCATATTCAAGTATTAAATTTCTTTTCTGGCCAGGTGGTGACTCACGCCTGTAATCCCAACACTTTGGGAGGCCAAAGCAGGTGGATCCCTTGAGCTCAGGAATTCAAGACTAACCTGGGCAACATGGGGTAGAACGCCATCTCTACAAAAAATGTAAAAATTAGCCGGGCATGGTGGTGCACACCTCAGCTATTCAGGAGGCTAAGGTGGGAGGATCGCTTGAGCCCTGGAGATAGAGGTTGCGGTGAGCTGAGATCATGCCACTGCACTCCAGCCTGGGTGACAGAGTGAGACTCTACCTCAAAAAAAAATTTTTTTTGTTGTTTTTTCCTTTATCCACCCATCTGCACACTGGTATAAATATATATATTTTTAAGAAAAAAGTCATCTGTATTCATTTCCTAAGGGTTCCATAACAAAATCCCATAAACTGAGTGGCTTAAGCAATGGAAACTTACTGTCTCACAGCCCTGGAGGCTAAAAGTCCAAAATTGAGGTGTTGGCAGGGCCATGTTTTCTCTGAAATCTGTAGAGAAGAATCTTTCCTTGTTTCTCTCTAGCTTCTTATGGTCTGCTAGCCATCATTGGCATTCCTTGGCTTACAGCTGCAGCACCTCAATCTGTCTCCATTGTCACAGAGCATTCTCCCCTGTGTATCTGTATCCTGTGTCTCTTCTAAGTACACTGGTCGTACTGGACTAAGGGCCCAGACCATTCCAGTATGAGTATTAATTTATCTGATTACTTCTGTAATGACCTTATTTCCAAATAGGTCACATTCTGAGGTATTAGGGGTTAGGAATTCCACATATCTTTTGGGGGACCACAATTCAACTCATAACACATCTTTGATGTTGATATGGCAAGGAGGCAGGCAGCCAGTAATTAAAGATATGGCTATTTCTGAGATAACCAATTTAGACTTTTCTTTTAGCTTCAGAAAAAATGCTAAAAGCATGGAAAGAAATGGAAGAAAAGGCCATCCACTATGCTGAGGTAAAATCATTGACGTCATTCTGTATACTTATTAATTCTTGATGTCTCCATTAGAAACTATCTTTGGTTTTGATATATAAAGAGCATTTTTCATGTCATTCCTGAAATTCAGACAAAATTCTAGTAGATGCTTTGTATATAAAGAGGGATGTATCATAGTGATTAAAAACAAGGGCTTTGGGAAAATTACCTAGTGCCTCACTGAGCTTCAGTTTCCTTTATTTATTTATTTTTTGAAACAGGGTCTCACTCTGTTGCCCAGGTTGGAGTGTAGTGGCATGATCAAAGCTCACTGCAGCCTCGACTTCCCAGGCTCAAGCAGTCCTCCCATCTTAGCCTCCTGTGTAGCTGGGACAAGAGGTGCACCACCATGCCTGGCTAACTTTTACATTTTTTGTAGAGACGGGGTCTCACTATGTTGTCCAGGCTTGTATCAAACTCCTGGGCTTAAGCAATCCTCCCACCTCAGCCTCCCATAGAGCTGGGATTATAGGCATGAGCCACCACATCCAGCTAGTTTCCATATTATAGGGACAATTTCTTTTCTAGTAGGGTTATGAAGATTAAATGGGAGTCAGTAATGGTAGTTGTCACTATTATTTTTGTGACTGGTTTAGATAGGATGGCTGCACATCCTGGTTTACCTGGGACTGTCCCAGTTTATACTTAATGTCTTGCCATAATTATCAGTAGTAGTCCCTTTCACTCTCAAAATTATGCCGGTTTGGACAATAAATTATATGGTGTCCCTAGGTATAGCTCATTCTCTAGGTGGCAGATTTTTTCCCCTTATCCTGTACATTTGTCCACGGTCCTAAGTTATTACACTCCTTAATGTCAGTACTTACCCTGAGGATGTGGGTGGGGATACCCATGGTGTCCTGGGGTGGGAAATCCAAGTTCTTTATCTTTTTGTGTCCCTATTCAAGGTAGTGGGGACCAGGGGGCAGTCAAAATCATAGAGCCAAGATACAAGTAATACCAATGGTTTTGGTGGTCCTTTTTCTTTCTTGTTAGTTGATACCTGTTGTAGCTTTTTGCTTCTCCGGAGGTAAAAGCAAATACTAGTAGTTTACTGTTGTCAGGAGAGAAAAGAGAGAAGACTAAGACTAAGTATGTTCTTATGTGAAAGATTAAGTGTCAGAATCTGAAGAATAGAAAGGCTTTAACAAAATCAGTGTTTCGTATTATATTATTTAGTTCTCTAATGAAGCAGCAAGTCATTCTGTATCCTTAAGATCTGAATTTTGTTTCCTATGATGTAGTGGTAAGCCTTTCATTTCCTTTGTATTTTCATCATATTTTAGGTTGGTGTCATTGGATACCTGGAGGATCAGATTATGTCTTTGCATGCTGAAATCATGGAGCTACAGAAGAGCCCCTATGGAAGACGTCAGGGAGACTTGATGGAATCTCTGTAAGGATGCACTTGTGTTGTTGGTCTTGACATCTGTAATATTTTGTATTCTTTCTGCTTACATCTGGCAAATTAAACCTCTAGTGGTTCTTTTCTATAGTTTTCCTTTCCCCAAATATATTGGCATTATATTTAAAATGGAAGCTTTTTCTCAGTCACAGGAAACTTCGGAAATAATTCTTTGGGTTGGCCTTTTTTGGTTTTTAATAAAAGCATTTATTTCATAGGAGTGTTAAGAATTTTCCAAGTATAACTAAGTTACAAACTATTTCCCTACTCATTATACCTCTGGTCCAAGGTATTGACTCTTAAATGCCCTAAAACTTGAAATTTTTTCTGAATTAAAGTTCTGGATTAAAAACTTCAGATATTTTCTCGAATTATAGGTCATAATTTTTGTCTTTTTAAGTGTCTGTGGTGCAGAGATGTCCCCATGATAGATCAGAATAGATATGAACTATATTAAACTTTGCATTTTAAGAACTTGTATAGTTCTTATTACTCAATACAATGCTCTGTGAAATACTTGTTGGCAATATGAACTTGCTTTAAAATGGGTTCATTATTCAAATAAAATATTGTTTCAAGTTGTAGATTATTGAAGTCATTAAATTACCTTCACTTATCAGAGCGTGTTTTCTCTTTTATAGGGAACAGCGTGCCATTGATCTATATAAGCAGTTAAAACACAGACCTTCAGGTAAGACACTTCTACCACAGTGCTTGAAGGCATTTTAGGTAACTATCACTAGCCTAACAAATGTGGGGGATCTAATATTTTTAAGTTAAAAATTTTCTTAAAGCTGCAGAATAAATTCCAGTTTTGGTATTGCCATTGAGACATGGTATAATAAGCTTTAAGATTGTGAGAATTTAGGAGATGATAAAGAGAAAGTAACAGAGAACGTGAGGTAGAAAAATTTTAGAAGGGGACGTGAAAAGAAAGAATGGAAGACAGAAAAAAGGAACTCAGAGAGGAAAAAGCAGCAAGAAAATGTTTAGAAAGATGGAAAAAATAAGTGTTGCTTAAGATTAGAGAGGTTGGGCCAGTTGTGGTGGCTCATGCCTGTAATCCCAGCACTTTGGGAGGCCAAGGTGGGTGGATCACCTGAGGTCAGGAGTTCAAAACCAGCTTGGCCAACATGGTGAAACCCCATCTCTACTAAAAATAGAAAAGTTAGCTGGGCATGTTGGCATGTGCCTGTAATCCCAGCTACTTGGGAGGATGAGGCAGGAGAATCGCTTGAACCTGGGAAGAGGAGGTTGCAGTGAGCCAAGATCACACCACTGCACTCCAGCCTGGGTGACAGAGCGAGATTCTGTCTCAAAACAAAACAAAAAAATATTATAGAGGTTGGAAAGAATTTGAGGCAGTGGGTTCAGGTATGGAATGGTTAGAGGGAAGGCCTGTGCTGTTCTAGGCCAAAGCAGATTGCTTTGAAAATAATGCCTTCATCTGCACTGGTCACTGATGACTTGTTTTGTTGGCAAAATAATTCCAGTTGAACATCTGCTAAATACTGAGCAAGGTCTGCTGGAAAGAGTACTGGATGGGGAATCAGAGGCTTGAATTCTAGATTGAGTAATTTACTGACCGTTACCTCAGGCAAATCTGCGTTTCCCATTTCCTTCTTCTGCAAAATGGGGTTGAAACCTAGCTTTCCTACTCAGTGAGTATATTGTGACAGTGTATTTAAGAGGATGTTTGTGAAAATGCTTTGAAAACTATAAACTATTATGTACTTGCAAGATATTATCATTTAGTTAAAAATTTGTTTTGAAGGGTAACAGAAGAAATAAAGTCTGTGCCCTAATGTGCATTATACTTAAATGCATGTTAAAAAAAGATATACTTTTACACTTTAAAATTTGTAGACACATAGCAACACATGCAAATTAATATACATGTGAAATTGTATTTCATATACTATTTTCACATTTAAAAAATAACATTATCTCCTCTTATACTGCTTTTATTTTACTGAAATGTATTCAGTTTAGTCTGACCAGCAGTTCTCAAAATGTGGCATATGGACCTGTGAGAATCCTTGAAACTTTGTCAGAGAGTCTGTGAGGTTAGAACCATTTTCATAATAAGATGTTATTTGCATTTTTCACCATGTTGACATTTTCATTGATGGTGCAACATAAAATGGCTTTCACCTTAGTATGAATCAAGGCACTAGCGCCAAACTATGCTAGTAGCCGTTATATTTTTTACCACCATGCAGTCACAGTTTTTAAAAAATGACAGTTTCACTTACAAATGTCCTTGATAAAGCAGTAAAAATATTATTTTATTTAAATCTCAACGCTTGAGTATGGGTTTTTAATATTTTGTGTGATGAAATGGGAAGTACTCATAAAGTGTTTCTTCTATACAGTGAAGTATGATGGTTGTCTTAAGGAAAACCACTTCAGTAATTGTTTACGTTGCTAGTTGTCTGGCCTCTTTCAGGGAAGATACCATTTTTACTTGGAAGAGCAACTGTCAGGCAAACTATGATTATTCAGATTTGCATACGTGAGATAATTTCTAAGAAATTAAATGAAAATAAAAAGTATAGCACACTTATTACTTTAAGGGAAAAAAGCAGTATTTGTTGTCAATGATAAAATTCCATGTTTCAAGCAAAAAGAATTTTAGAAAACTTGTATTTACCAGCTGGAATGACAGCTTCTCAGTACTTAAAAACTTTTCTGATGAGATTAGTGGTGATATCAGAAAGGTTTGCAAAAATGTAAAACAGTGCAAGTGTTCTCACTCAAATTTTTTTGTTTTAGAAAATATCGTTTTTTGGTTTTTGTTTTTAGAGGTGGGCTCTTGCTATGTTGACCAGGCTGGCCTTGGACTCCCTGGGTTCAAGTGATCCTTCCACTTCAGGCTTCCAAGTATCTCAAGTAGCAGTAACCAGTGAAAGGAGGTGGCTCTCGTAGATATGAGTATACTGTGTAGACACATGTATGTATAGCACTTAGCATGTCTGAGGAAATGCAGTATGACTGGAGTGTAGAGTTTCAGGAGAGAGAAAACCTAAATATAGGAGAGAGAGAAAACGTAAATATAGGTTTTTTTGTTTGTTTTTAATAAAAACATGTTAATGGGCAATAGGTTTGTTATTTTTAAATGAATTAAGACACGAGTATTTTTAAATTTCTGTTTAATTCCTGAAAAACCCTTTGGGGTTCTCAAGAATTTTCTAGTGTAAAGGGGTCCTGAGACCAAAAAGTTTGAGAACTGCTTATCTAGACTATTCTCAGAAGCTTGGCTGCTCAGGAAAGAAGAGAGGTGGGTGAGTAGCTAAAAGTTGATGTAGAGTCAAGGGAGGTCACTTCTCAGAAGGAAGACTTAAACATGAGGTGCCACATGATGATGTTTTGGTTAACAACAAATTGTGTATACTATGGTAGTCCCATAAGATTATACTACTGTATTTTTACTATGTATTTTCTATGTTTACATGCACAAATACTTACCATTGTGTTACAGTTGCCTACAGTATTCAGTACAGTCACTTGCTGAACAGGTATGTAGCCTATTGTCAAAAGGCTATACCATACAGCTTAAGTGTATAGCAGGCTGTACCATCAGGGTTTGTATAAGTATTCACACAGTGACGAAAGTGCCCAATGATGCACTTCTCAGAACATATGCTCAGGGCCAAAAAAGCCTGTGGAGAGGGAGGTCCCTGAACAAGTTGAGAGATTGGCTCCAAAGAACAGTAGGAGGGATTAGCCTTGATACTATTGATATTGGAAAGAGAATGAGTGTGGATACAGATACTTTTTTGGGAGTAGAGGTTGGAAGATCAGGGTCTTACTGCCTTATGGCCTCTTATCCTGCAGTGGTAAGTGAGGTTAACTGAAATGGAAGAGGTGACGACCTCATAGATTTGAATAGAGTGCTAAAGACTTCTAAAAGCCACTGTGTGCAGTGGAAGATGTTGTTGACCCAAAACATTCATTAAGAATCCAGGCCAGGTGGCTCATACCTGTGATACTAGCGCTTTGGGAGGCTGAGACAGGAGGATCGTTTGAGGCCAACAGTTTGAGACCAGTCTGGGCAACATAGTGAGACCCTGTCTCTACAAAAAAATAAATCAATAAAATTTTTAAAAAGCTGGGTGTGGTAGTGTATGCCTGTAGTCCCAGCTACTCAGGAGGCTGAAGTAGCAGGATCGCTTGAGGCCCAGGAGGTCGAGGCTGCAGTGAGCCAAGATTACACTACTGCACTTCAGCCTGGGTTGACAGAGCAAGACTTTCTTAAAAAAAAAAAAAAAAAAAACCCAGAGCAGAAATGAAAAACCTGTGAATTAGCAGTGACAAATAGTGAACAGTAATATTAATTTTTTGTTGATAATTTAGTAGCTTGGATACAGGAACTGATAGAGCAGATGGTTGGATTAATCCAAGGTTAGGATTTTGCTGATGGAATAAGAGGATAAAAAGGTTGAAGATGTTAACAAATAGTGATTTAAGTGATAGAAGTTGTAGCTAGAGTAAAATATTAAAATCTAAGATTTCAAATAGAGCAAGTCCAATTCTTTTTCTTTAATCAATATTTCTGGGCCAGGCGTCGTGGCACATGCCTGTAATCCCAGCCACTTTGGAGGCTGAGGCAGGAGAATTGCTTGAACCAGGGAGGCAGAGGTTGCAGTGAACCAAGACTGTGCCACTGCACTCTAGCCTGGGTGACAGAGCTAGACTCCATTTCAAAAAAAAAATTCTGACTCCCAGTTTTCTGGCTAATGAATCAGATACCACAGATACACAGTGATAGCATTTGTTTAGGTTATATTTTTTAAAACTTTGAGGCAGCCCTGTCAACATACCATGAAGCTCAGAAATAAACTGCTACCCAGGTAGCTTCTTTGAGTGTCACCTTGAGTGACAAACTGTAACAAGATTGTGTCTGTCATTGGGGCCTATTATATAATCACACTTGATTTGTGGCCTCTATTGTCTTTTCTAGCTTAGAGTTGACTTGAATCTCTTGTTCATCTGAAATGGTTAAAACCAGCTTTCTTCATTATCCTGGAGAAGGCTAAAGTTCTGAGGGCTTTCACTGTCTTAAGGAGCTAGTTATATGAGAAAGCTCTTGGCTTGGTCCATGGTATTTAGGAAGGAATGCTGTTTGGAGAAGAACCTTTTTGGAGCCTTGCATTTGATTGTTGGTGAGGAGGAGACAACAGAGATGTGTGGGGAATAAAGTTGGGCTATGGGGGAAGTATTTGGAGTGATAGATAACAAAGGACACAACGTTTTTTAAACCTCCTTTGATGCTCATCATTTCCTTTTTGGTAAAATGGGGGTAACAAAAGTAGTCTTCTCACATGACTGCTGTGAGGATTAAATGGGAAAATTATAAGCAGAGAGTAGCAAATATTATTATTATTGCATTTAGGCTTAATTATTGTCCAAAGAATATACCAGCATGATGCATAAGCAACTTTCAACTCCTTTAGCCATTTTCTGAAATATAACAATTAATGATTTTTTTTTAAAATCGAGGTCACATTTTAAACTGTAGAACCCATTGTGACCAACAGCCATCCCATTTGAGGGTATCTGGCTGCTGCCAGTTGGCTTTAAGATGTCATACTGCCCTCAAATGGAACTTTCAGGATGTCTACAGGTCCCTTTACTAGTTGGTTTCAATGAGCTTTTTTCAAAGTTTTTCTGGGTTGTAAACAGACGGATAAACATGAAATTCCAAGCAACCTAGTTCAAGGGCCTCCTTCCTTTAGGTAATGAAAGTTTGATGAATTGTCCTACTGTTTCTAAATATGTGGTTAATCATCCAAGAAAAATTGTTCCCTTGGCCAGAGGCTGCATTTGTGTCTAGGGCTTGGGTTAGTATGGGTTAAAGATAGCCAAGACTATTGTTCTCAAGCACAGGCAACTAAGGTCTCTTACTGATAAATTTATATATACATTATACACCTGCAAACTTTATTTTTTATATATAACTAGATTTTATTTATAGGTAATCTTTATATCTTTTATCTTAACCCAATTTTTAATTTAAATGGAGATGTTTATTAATTAAAATTAGTTTCAGAGTTTCAGGGATTTTTGAGGAATTTTTTGTTTGGAGGCTGATATGTTACAGAAGAAAGGTTATATCCACTGACTGATGTCTTTTATAGATCACTCCTACAGTGACAGCACAGAGATGGTGAAAATCATTGTGCACACTGTGCAGAGTCAGGACCGTGTGCTCAAGGAGCTGTTTGGTCATTTGAGGTAGGAAAATTGCTTCATTTCCTACTGAAAAACCAGGATACGTTTATCTTGTTCCTCTCAAAGTACAAAAGCCCTCTTTGGTAAAGTATACTTACCCAGGAAGAATTCTGAAGGTACCTTGGGTAGCTTGGCCATAGCTATCTGCATTTATGTGTCCTTTTGTATGCATTACTTTGGAGATAAGTCATTAAATCTGATGCTGATTGTGGTTCATTTCCTCAGCTGGGTTTTGGGAATATGGTGTACAGTCTTGGGGCATGTGAAAGTGTCTGACACTGATTTAATCTCTCCAGCAAGTTGTTGGGCTGTAAGCAGAAGATTATTGATCTACTCCCTAAGGTGGAAGTGGCCCTCAGTAATATCAAAGAAGCTGACAATACTGTCATGTTCATGCAGGGAAAAAGGCAGAAAGAAATATGGCATCTCCTTAAAATTGCCTGTGTAAGTAATTATTAATGAATTATTTAATGTGACATTGAGTTGCTATTATTCCTTGCAAAGGGGATTTTTATCAGCATGAGGTGGGCCCTCTTGAAGACATGTATATTTTGCATTGGGATGACATCCATGTTCCTTGCTTGGTGTCCAGACTAGCAATTGAGATGCAGGACTTATTATCATCTCTCCTTTCCAATTTCTCTGTTGTTATACTCCTCTTAGCCCTTGACTACTGTGGTATTCCAACCTAACTTGGGGATAGATGTACCTGCCTAGATAATGAAATTGACCATCTATTCAACTGGGTTTTTTTTTTCTTTCTTCAACTAAAATGGTATAAGATGAGTGGATATATTTGGTTTTAGTCAATGAAGAAAGGGTCCAAGGACAGGTTACTAATGGTGTGTAAAGGTGGGAATAGTTTTGTACTGAAATACTCTGGTTGTGCATATAAGTAGTAACGGAAATGTAAGTCTTAGGAATATGATAAGAAATTGTGTGAATCAACAGAGATGCTTGCCTGTAATCTTTTGATGTTTTTTTCTTTTCCTTCAGACACAGAGTTCTGCCCGGTCCCTTGTAGGATCCAGTCTAGAAGGTGCAGTAACCCCTCAGACATCAGCATGGCTGCCCCCGACTTCAGCAGAACATGATCATTCTCTGTCATGTGTGGTAACTCCTCAAGATGGGTGGGTTTACTTTGTAACAATAGATAGCTGTGTTTTCATAGCAGTGGTATAGGAATGAGGCAGTAGTTGTTAAGGTAGTCTTCTGTGCCTTCAGACCAGGGTTGAGTCCTGACTATCCCTTTGTAATAATCTTAGGCAACTTACTTGACTTTTTTGATGTTCATATTTCCTCACCTGTAAAACAGGAATGTCTCATAGAACTGCTGTGGAAATTTGATTAGACAATGTATATAAAGTGCTTGGGAAATAAATGTTCAGCAAATGTTGCGTATTATTAGCTCAAATGTTGCTTATTATTAGCTAAGTCCAAGTTCTAAGTCCTTTCTTTTATTGGCTTATTACTTTCTTTTACTCAAACCTTACTCCTTCATTAACAGTTTATGAGAAATTATGCTATCATTTTGCATTTATCATTTTGGGGATCCTTGATTACCCTTCTAATAAATTTTTGAGATCTATTTTATAACTTTGTATTTCTAAGATTAGACTTTTTTCAGTGTTTTAAATCAGTTTTGCAAGAACTCAGATTCCAAGCCCTATATTTTATTAATTCCTACTCTTTTGCTAAAAGCTGAATGACTATCCATTTCTGTTATTTTCTCAGCTTAAGATGTGCCGTATCCAAAGCCAGTGGCTCTTTGCTAGCTTGTGTATTGTCGCTTTTCTCACAACTCATGGAGACCTCTACAGCACCAGCATTTCCTGGAAGCTCTGCCCATAATTAGTTTTGCAGAAGTGCAGCCATGTTACATCACTGCTCAGGAGGTCATGCAGTTGCACATTCTGTACTCTACTTTTATGAGAGAAAAGCACATGGCAGGAAGGCAAGCTGATATCAGGTATTTTATTTTTTTAAAGAAAGCAAGTTCCAGGGTATATATCTTGGGGTCATTATACATGTGGCCCAATGCAGTACACCTACAACTGTAGCACAGGCTATAATTAAATATATAGACTTTACAAAATACTCCAGTAATCAGAGTTGAAGGAAGTAAAATTTAATACTTTACTTACTTTTTTGCCTTTATTAAAGGCATTTAAGTTTTTTAGCGGATGTTAATGTTTACAAATGTCACCACAATACAGGTAATTTCCAATTTGAAGTGTAGTTGCTTGCAAAAGTATATCTGACAGACATTTTCAATGTATTTTCTAGAAGGAACACATTATATTTTGTTTTGAGACGGAGTCTCATTCTGTCGCCCAGGCTGGAGTGCAGTGGCACAGTCTTGGCTCATTGCAACCTCCGCCTCCCAGATTCAAGCAGTTCTCCTGCTTCAGCTTCCCGAGTAGCTGGGATTTCAGGTGCGTGCCACCATACCTGGCTAATTTTTGTATTTTAGTAAAGACGGAGTTTCACCATGTTGGCCAGGCTGGTCTCGAACTCCTGACCTCAAGTAATCCACCTGCCTCGGCCTCCAAAAGTGCTGGAATTACAGGCATGAGCCACCATGTCCAGCCAGAATACATTGTATAAGAAAATTGATTTCAATTATAATGTACCTGTGGTACTTAACTACCAAGGATTGGGAACTGTTTGACCATAATTTTTCCATCTGTTGGATAAGAGCTGAATCAGAATGTCATTCTAAGCTAATAGTGGCTATCATCCATGACCTAAAACGGACTCTTGTTAGGGGACTGAAGATTGGCAAAGGGAGAAGCTAGAGGCCATATAGAAGAGGAAAGCATGAAGGTAGAAACCACAATCAGGACTGCCTTCAAATATGAACTTCCAGGGATACTTCTTGGTTCTGGGTAGCTCCCCCACCACACTGTTTTCTTTTGCTGTCCTCAGGAATCAGCTTGCTTGTTTCGTTTCATTGCTATCATCTGTAGTTTCTAATGAGTTTTTCACTTTCTGTGATCTCTACAGAACAGATTTTACTTTTCTCTCTTCTCCCCTACATTTGTGTCTGTGAAGTATGCATGCTGGTGTTTTTACTACTTTTAAGGAAAGAGAAGTATTTAGAAACAAAAACGTATTTCATCTGTCTTTGCCACAAGGATTTTTTCCTCCCTAGTTACATTTTCACGGGAAAAACAAGTTGTACATAAGTGCATCTTACATTTCAGAGGAAAGTCAGACTGGAGTTATAGTGGACTTCTTATCATTAGTTAGGTAGAGGTAGAGGCAGCAGCCTGGTCTTAACAGGACTCTGCCTCTGTAGGGAGGGATGAGGAAACTAAAGACTACAGGAGTCAACTGCACTGGGGTACTGGGTTACAGGAAGGCTAGTGATCTTGCTAACCTAGAAGACTAGAAAGTAGAGGAAATTCATATGCCCTTTTCCTGAGTTTGAAAAGGCTTTGTTCTTTCATCTCACAGGGAGACTTCAGCACAAATGATAGAAGAAAATTTGAACTGCCTTGGCCATTTAAGCACTATTATTCATGAGGCAAATGAGGAACAGGGCAATAGTATGATGGTAAGTTTTGTGTGGATATGGGTGCCTGCTTTGGCTATGTTGGGTGCAAAAGGTTTAACTTTCCATGCTAGCCTTATCTGGCATTTGGGATGCATATGGGAAATAGAAGAACTCAAGAGGAAAGAGCATTTGGGGAATATCCTCAACCTTAAATCCTTATCTGCCGTTACTCAGGGATATACTAGGATTATGTCATCAATTATCTTCAATAATAGCATTTTTGGTCAAATTAAATGAGTGGTAAGCTTCTTCACAATGTGACCATTGAAATTGAATGGTTTGTTCTGTACCTTTTTGCTTCAGCAATCAATTTTCTCCATTAAGATGGGACTTGTACTTTAATTCAGATATGGTACCTCCCGAATAGAAAATAAATTATGTTAATATAGTTGTAATAATAAGTGTGTGTTAAGATTTGGTTACTATAAACTACTGATTTGTTAAAACTTGAGGAAATTACCATAAAATGTCTACTGAATCAATTTTTCCTGCATTTAGTCTTAATGTCAATTCTGTACATTTCCTCTTTCATTAAGAAAAATAGCAGTGGCCAGGCATGGTGGCTCACGCCTGTAATCCTAGCACTTTGGGAGGCCAAGGCAGGTGGATTGCTTGAGCCCAGGAGTTTGAGACTAGCCTGGCCAACATGGGAAACCCTGTCTTTATAAAAAATATAAAAATTGGCCAGGTGTGGTGGCACACACCTGTGGTCCCAGCTACTTGGGAGGCTGAGGCAGGAAGATCGCTTGAGTTCAAGAGTTTCAGGCTGCAGTGAGCCGTAATCCTGCCATTGCACTCCAGCCTGTGACAGAGTGAGACTTTGTCTCGGGGAAAAAAAAAAAAAAAAAGGATAATGGTGGCCAGCCATATGACATGTACCTGTAGTCCGAGTTACTAGGGAGGCTGAGGCAGAAGGATTGCATGAGCCCAGGAGTTCAAGGCTGCAGTGCATTATGATTGGACTTGTGAATAGCCACTGTACTCCAGCTTGGCAACATAGCAAGATCCTGCTCTCTTAAGAAAAAAAAAAAAAAGAAAAGAAAAGGAAAGAATAATTGTTTACTTCAAATATTTATGAAAAAAACTCTGAAATTTTTTTAAATCAGGAAATAAGGTAAATGAAATGATTTTTCAACTTTTGATTATGAAATGTCCAAACAGAAAACTTGCAAAAATGAACACCCATATACTTATAACTTATAGTCAACATCTAATTGTAACTTTTTCATGCCTGGTTTTAGAATCTTGATTGGAGTTGGTTAACAGAATGAGTTGTCACTTGTTCACTGTCCCCAAACCTATGGAAGTTGTTGCTATACATGTTGGAAATGTGTTTTTCCCCCATGAAACCATTCTTCAGACATCAGTCAATGGAAGAAATGGCTATGAACAGAAACTACATTTCTACTATGATCAGAAGAACATGATTTTACAAGTATAACAGTTTTGAGTAATTCAAGCCTCTAAACAGACAGGAATTTAGAAAAAGTCAATGTACTTGTTTGAATATTTGTTTTAATACCACAGCTATTTAGAAGCATCATCACGACACATTTGCCTTCAGTCTTGGTAAAACATTACTTATTTAACTGATTAAAAATACCTTCTATGTATTAGTGTCAACTTTTAACTTTTGGGCGTAAGACCAAATGTAGTTTTGTATACAGAGAAGAAAACCTCAAGTAATAGGCATTTTAAGTAAAAGTCTACCTGTGTTTTTTTCTAAAAAGGCTGCTCACAAGTTCTATTTCTTGAAGAATAAATTCTACCTCCTTGTGTTGCACTGAACAGGTTCTCTTCCTGGCATCATAAGGAGTTGGTGTAATCATTTTAAATTCCACTGAAAATTTAACAGTATCCCCTTCTCATCGAAGGGATTGTGTATCTGTGCTTCTAATATTAGTTGGCTTTCATAAATCATGTTGTTGTGTGTATATGTATTTAAGATGTACATTTAATAATATCAAAGAGAAGATGCCTGTTAATTTATAATGTATTTGAAAATTACATGTTTTTTCATTTGTAAAAATGAGTCATTTGTTTAAACAATCTTTCATGTCTTGTCATACAAATTTATAAAGGTCTGCACTCCTTTATCTGTAATTGTAATTCCAAAATCCAAAAAGCTCTGAAAACAAGGTTTCCATAAGCTTGGTGACAAAATTCATTTGCTTGCAATCTAATCTGAACTGACCTTGAATCTTTTTATCCCATTTAGTGTGAATATTCCTTTATTTTGCTGCTTGATGATGAGAGGGAGGGCTGCTGCCACAGACTGTGGTGAGGGCTGGTTAATGTAGTATGGTATATGCACAAAACTACTTTTCTAAAATCTAAAATTTCATAATTCTGAAACAACTTGCCCCAAGGGTTTCAGAGAAAGGACTGTGGACCTCTATCATCTGCTAAGTAATTTAGAAGATATTATTTGTCTTAAAAAATGTGAAATGCTTTTATATTCTAATAGTTTTTCACTTTGTGTATTAAATGGTTTTTAAATTACTTTCTTGATCTCTATTCATTATAAAAATCAGATTATAATAAAACAGTTGAATATGGCTTAGGAAAATATGAAGGTTCCATGAAGTGGAATTAAGAGCATAGAATAACTGTACTTTCCTTAGGAATAATAGGACTTATGGTAAAGGTAGTATTGGGCAACTTCTTTAAGAGTGTTTTCCTCTGAGATGTCCTATCACCACTATCTACATCTAAAAAACATGCTCGATTCTTGCCCTATAAACTGATGTCACAGCCCCACCATCCCCATTTTTGCTAGTGGTATCATTTTCCTAGTCAACCAAATTTTTTAGTCATCACATATCACTGTTCGTCATCTATTATAATAGGCAGTCTCTCTCTTGTTTCCCTGGTTTTAGAAGATTTTAGTAATAAACATTTATTGGGTACCTGTTACTTGGAGGGTATTAAGCTAGATGGCAAGATCTGAAACAACATAGGCAGTATAGTAAAAGTGCTTATCTGGGAGTCTGAACATTACAAGCCATCCAAGCATTGCAATTATTGTTAAGGATTATTTTCAATGGTCATGCATTTTCTAATATTTTAATAATTGGTTAAAGATTTGTTATAGCGTGGGGGCCGCTGCTGGTGTGTGGCTGGGGTTATGTCAGGGCAGCCTGATCTATATAATTTGGGCAGATGGTGTGAGTCAGAACAGACTATTATAGTGGGATCCCCAAACTTGCTTTTGATGCATGAGTTGGACCACTATTTTTTGGTGGGTAACAACTTTTCAGAGGGGAATGGCAGTTGTGAATTGTATACATTTCATTCTTTAAGCAATATTATGAAAAACTTCAGAGAATGTCTACAGAAAACAGGGTATGGAGCAAGTTATTTTCCATTCTTTTTGCTTTTTGGAAGTTAAAATAGCTAAGCTCTGCAAATATCATTTATTTGGAACAGATAAGGTCCCAGACATTCCTAGATAATAAAAATCAAATGAATGATACAGGTAAGTGTATTTATTGAAGGGTGTGGGTAGAGTGGTCTGGGAAGTCTTGCTTTAATGAAGACGGATTGATTCTATTTACCTCTTCTTACTTCCACTACTAAGTAACCCTGGGCCTGCAGTTTCCTAACCACTTGACTTCCTTGCCAACAGTCTGTCTCCACTTTCAGCCGTTTTATAGATTCATTGGCCCTAAAGCACTGCTTTCCCATACTTCCCTACCCAAGAGGGCAGGGGTCCCCAAGCCCTGGGCCGCGGACCGGAACCAGACAGTGGCCTGTTAGGAACCAAGCCGGATAGCAGGAGGTGAGCGGCGGGCGAGTGAGCATTATCGCCTTGAGCTCTGCCTGCTGTCAGATTAGCGAGTGGCATCAGATTCTCATAGGCACGCGAACCCTATTGTGAACTGCACATGTGAGGTTTGCCGGCTCCCTGTGAGAATCTAATGCCTGATGATCTGAAGTGGAACAGTTTCATCCCCAACCCACACACACCCCCACCCCGTCCGCTGGGTTAGAGGACTTTACAACCCTAGTCCACCTTGTCCAGTTATAGTTCCACCTCTAGCCTTTCAAGGCTTAAACCATTAATGTCCTTAATTTCTCTTGTATTCATCTATCTCCCAACTATACCTTTTTCCTTCCCTTTTTTATTTTTGGCAATATGTGCCCATGGTTTTTTAATTTAAAACGAACAGAATATGTAGTGACGCCTACCATAGCACTCCTTCCCATCACACAAGCCTTCAAGGAAACTGAAGTACTTACTTTGGTCTCCCTGGAGGATTCCCTCCGCCTCCCGCCCCATGTGCTTAGCAATTCTGTTCCTGTAGTCTGGATGGCCTTCATAAAGCCCTCACTGGACCAGCATTCTGGCACATAATAGGAACACTTAAAAAACGAGAGAATGATGCCGTTATATCTAATATCTTCCTCTTCTGAACTTTCACAGCACTTTATTTGCAACAAGTTTAGTTGCTCCTGAAGGGCAGGATCTCTGCCGGAAGCAAGTGCGTGCCACACAGTGGGGCTCCGCATACACTGCAAAAGGACAAATAAACCGAACAGCTACCGTTTGAGAGTGAGCGAGTGGGTTCTCTGCACAAGAACAAACCAACCAGTCCCTTGTCCGAAAGGGCGTCTCCTTTTCTCTGCTTCGCTGCTCACTCCAGACTGCGGGCTGTCCTCTTCCGAAGCAGTTAACCAGCAGTGTACAGAAAGCGACTTGCCTCCAAAGGAGCCTGCGCGGCCCGCGGCTAGGAGAATTTTGTCCCATGCGCTCCCCGTCTCACTAGCCGCGGGCCGGGGCTACGCCGTGTGCGTCCCCGCGCAGCCGCAGTGCTGGGCGAGTGGGCGGGGCCGGCTGTTGGCGGCGGTTGGCTCGGCGCGGGAGTCGGCTGCACGTGCGGGCGGGGGCGATGCGTCACTGATCGGTGAGGCGCGGCCGAGGGGTCGGCTTTCCTCGCGAGCCTGCGGCTGGGCTTCTTCTCAGTTAGTGCCTTCCACCCGGGAGCGACCCTTGGGAGAGGGAGTTTCAGGAAGCTCACCGAGCAGGGGCGGCCCACTGGCCTCCGGGGGCGGAGGAGTTGGCAAGGGGTCAGCGGGCTCAGCCAGAAGGGAAGAATGAGGGGACAGGGGTACTGGACTCCCCGGCTCAGCCTGCGAGAGAGCGCCAAGTTTCCGGAGGGAGAGGGTAGAAACTGGAGGGGGTGGACCTGTCACTCACGGGACTGAGGGTCCTTTTCTCCCGCTCCCAGGAGGAACGAGAATGAATATGACTCAAGCCCGGGTTCTGGTGGCTGCAGTGGTGGGGTTGGTGGCTGTCCTGCTCTACGCCTCCATCCACAAGATTGAGGAGGGCCATCTGGCTGTGTACTACAGGTGAGCGGCATGTGCAGTCAGTTAGGGCTCTAGAGCAGATTAAAAGGGTACTCCAGAGTGGAGTCTGGGAAGTTGTTCCCTCTGCAACGTTCGGGGGCGCATGTCCCATCTCTAGGGAGAGCACGGGGGTCGAAGCGGGCTTTTGCGGAGCACCCTCCAGATGTTGGACAGTTTTAGTGCTATGTTCGTTTTGTTGCAGAGATTAAGTCTCCCTACGGTTATTCCTATACACAGCAAACTCAATTATTTGTAGAAAAATGAAGAAGGAAGAAAGGAAGTAGTCACTCTACCTCTAACTGAAGAGATGGATAAATTATAGTTCGTTCAACTGTACAGGCTTTAGTTTGCCGCTGTAGATGCTGTATGTTTATGGTTGTTTCTTAGACTTTTTCATTTAAAAGCTTCCAGTGTCTGGTTACGTCTTGTAACACCATGATGACTGTGATGGTGCTTATGTCCCTGGACCTCCAGGGACATAAGCACAACACTGATGGGCCATGCTCCTCCCTCCTTACTGTTGCTGTTCAAGTTGGGGACAGGAGTGGTGTGGGAGCTGTTGCTCTCTTGTTGAGCTCGCTTAGCTTTTCCTTCAGCCTAATTACCACAAGTTCCTTTTGATACAGACTAGTAAGAGAGGCCAGTTTGTGGAGAAATTGGGATAATGGTGTATTCAAAAAGAGCGTCAACTTTTTGCTTGTTTCCACTATCCCTCAAAACTGATATTTCTACTTTCAAATCCATCCTGAATCCTAGAAAAAGAGCAATTTTAATGGTATATCTTAGCAGATGGAGCTCTACATAAGAAATTACAGATTAGTCCAGATTTCCTTCCAGTTTAAAAGCATTGTCTTTCTGACAGTAAAACCAGAGAAAGGACATTTCAAGGAATGACTCAAAGAATTAGTAATGAACCTCAAACAGTTCATCTTTCCTTGTTATTATGACCTTGCAAATGTGTTTATATTTTCAAGACCGGTAGCTAAGTTCTATGAATTTACAAGGTGCAAAATAGGACTTTGTTTTCTTTGCTCCCCAAATGCCTCCTTTTTATAATTTCCAGGGCTTGCTTTCATAGTTTTCACATTCCAGGATTTGGTTAACAAGCCCTTATGCTATTTATTTGTATAGTCTTGTCACCCTTCATCTTTTCATGCTAATTTTTTGTTTTTATATAGAAATTTTATGTTCCCAGTATTTTAATTACCTTGTAGATAGATCGAAAGAATTATAAGCCTCAGAAATTTTCTCTTTACTTCAAAGTTTGCATTGTCTTTTTTTCAACCTGGTGATTAAATGTATTATATATTTTGATTTGGCTCTTGTTATGTACTATTAATGTACCTCTACTGAAAGCCATTAGAATTTTTTAAACAAATATTTCTCAGAAGGTTAAAGACCGAGGAGAATCCTTTGAACCTTAGAGCAGTGCTGGAGACCCAGAGGTACGGTTGGTTGAGCTTATGAAACAAGGTGTAACATTGGCAGTTTAATTTGATCTTTTTCCCTTTTTAGGTGTGGAGGTATTTTAAGCAGTTGTTCATTATGAGCAATTCATATTAGTGAGGCTTTAGTAGGTCAGCAGCATGAGCAAGAGTGAGTATTTATTATAGCATTTTAGATTTGGAAAGATAATTTTTCTTTTTATAATTTTGTCAAATTGAAACATCTTTTTGCAGGGGAGGAGCTTTACTAACTAGCCCCAGTGGACCAGGCTATCATATCATGTTGCCTTTCATTACTACGTTCAGATCTGTGCAGGTGAGTGATTCCTAGGGGAAGCCTCCATACCAGATAGACAGGCATGACAGGAGTTACCACACTTGTGGGTGGAGATAGATTTCCTTATTGCTTAAGCAGATGGTGGTATTTACTTAAATGCAGAAGTTAACGTTCAGAGTACAGTTGTTACAACACAAGTTATGATGTTAAACCACCTCACTTACTTGAAATGAATTAAAGGTATGAACCAGGAAGCTTGGAAGGACTGACTTCTACCATCTATATCGTGGTATATAGCAAATTTTCTGTTGCTGCTGTCACAATAAAAGTAAGAATTAGAAACACAACTAGACATACAAACCAGTGATTATGTGGTTTAGAACAGTGTTTAGTTTCCATAGAGGCAGGCTCCTGGGCTACTGTTAACATGGAGGATCAAAATTTTTATACACAGCCTTTCTGCCTCATGTTTTTTTGCCTGGTATATTAAGCACAATTTTATGTGGAACCTTAGTGAATGTTATATTTTGATGGCATCCCGGGATATTTGAAATAAGTGTCTAATCCTCGAAAAGTGTCTTGGCCATGGGAGACAATAAAATAAGTATCTTTCAATGTAACAAGATGACAAAACCAGGATTAGGCTGTGACCACTTTCGCAAGCCCAGTGTGATCATAAATCTTTGGATTCAGAAGTTTGTCTGCCATCTGCTGCTAATTTTTCAGGACTCAGGAAAATTCTGTGTTATTTAATCTTGTAATCTTATGTCTAGGCTTCCTGCTAAGTGAGAGTTTAATTATAAATTCTTAAATCCCCTAGGTTTTCTTCCTGTCCCCTTTTAGATGGCTTAGGGAAAGAATTGTGTCTACTGAAGTGAAATGTATTCTTCCCCTAATCAGACTGATTTCCATATGTTGTTCCATATTTATTTTACCCATTCTTTCCTTAGTTCATGCCATCACTTCTTTATCTGCCATCTCACTCTCCATTCCTTTTCTCCTGTCTAAATCTTGCCAGGCTTTTAAAGGCTCATCCCAGATTCTTCCTCTTCTGATCTATAGCTCTTAAAGTCTATATTGTAAATTTTGGCCCTTTGTCTTATTTTCTTTAATATTGTTGTCTTGCATTGTTTGCTAAGTTTTTTTATGTGTTTTCTTTCCAGAAAGGCTCCAGTTTTCTTAAAGGCAGGAGTTGTAACACATTTATATTTCTGGCTTTCTATTTATGGTGGAAGTTGTTAAATTGAGCTGATTTCTCAGGAAGCAATGTGGTGTAATGAACATGGGGACCCAGCGTTACCGCCAGTTGGTGGCATGACTTTGGAAAAATTGCTTAACTGTCATAGACTTCAGTTAGTCTTCTGTGAAAGGAGGAATTTTAATTACATAACCTCATCAACAGCCGAAACAATCTATAATAATGTTAGCAATGGCAGCATTAGACCCTTAAAAATCAAGACTCTAAGGCCCGGCGCAGTGGCTCATGCCTGTAATCCGAGCACTTTGGGAGGCTGAAGCAGGTGGATCACTTGAGCCTAGGAGTTTGAGACCAGCCTGGGCAACATGGGGAAACTCCGTCTCTTAAAAAAAAAAAAAAAAAAAAATCAAGGCTCTAACAAATAGATCTTGTTCAAAACCAGGTAGATCTGTCTCTGCCTTCATGCTTAGTATGTTAAGTCATACTGATGCAAAAATATAAATAAAGGAGATATAGATAATAGTAAACAGATTTTGGAGTTTAATTGTGTATATATATAACAAATATAGTGTGTGTATATATTTAATAATAAACTATCATAAGAGATGTAAATGAAATTAGTACAGAGACTTCAGTGTAAACTAAAATACTTCGCATCTACAAAAAAGTTTTACATGGGCTAGAGCCAGCCAGTGTGACTAAATAGGAATGTTCTTTATGTGTAAAACGGTAACATTCTAGGAAATAATTATATTAATAAAACCATATTTAAAAAGTGTTCTTGGCCGGGCGTGGCGGCTCACGCCTGTAATCCCAGCACTTTGGGAGGCCGAGGCAGGCAGATCACTTGAGGTCAGGAGTTCAAGACCAGCCTGGCCAACCTGGTCAAACGCTGTGTCTACAAAAATACAAAAATTAGCTGGGCGTGGTTGTGCGTGCCTGTAATCCCAGCTATTTGGGAGGCTGAGGCAGGAGAATCGCTTGAACCTGGGAGACCGAGGTTGCAGTGAGCCGAGATCGTACCCTTGCACTCCAGCCTGGGCAACAGAGGAAGACTCCGTCTCAAAAAAAAAAAAAAAAAAAGAGTGTTCTTAAGAGAGTAAGACATAAATTTATTTTTAGGAATTTTTGGAACATATTAGAAGACATAGTCCAGATAAACAAATGGTTTAACAAACTTGGCAATTGAAAGGAATGTATATAAATGTGAAATTCCATATATGATGTAAAAAGAAAAAGCAATGGAGAAATTATATGAAAACCTTCAGCCTTCATAAAGTAACCATAGATTCACTTTTTAAATAAATTTTCTGTCATACTGGGAAAGTAATTTTTAAGAGGACATAAAAGAAATATAAAAGTACATAAAGATAGGGTGTTAAATGGAAGATTTAACATTTGAACCCTTTCCTAGTTCTTCTGAGTTTGAAAATTGGCTAGAGAATATCCTTTTGGTTTAAATAGGAACGTGTATTTAAAGTTGGTGTGGAATATGGAAACTGAATTAATGTTATAAAGGAAATAAATATAATTTGTCTCTTCATCAATCCCCTTAACCTAGAACTGCCACCAATGTTTACTGTCATTCTAATGTCTCAACCTAAGAGTTATTTTTTATTCTTTCCCCTCCTGGAATTTTATATCAACCAAGTATCAGATACCTCCTCTATTATGTCTGGATTGACAGCTTTCATGGCCTTTACTGAATTAATCTAAATAAATTAATTATTTAGCCTCCCAGCTGGTTTTCTTACCTCCCTATAAGATGGAGAATGAGAACTACATCACATGTGAGAAAAGGAATTAAGTAAACATATTTTTGAATGGTTCGTTTTGTGACTGTATATAAGGTGAACTAGAGAGATCCCAAACTCCCCAGCCAGCATTCAGGGCCCTCTGTCTAGTATTACCATGGTCTCTTGTCAGAATTTCATCTTTCATCCAAATTGTCCCTTCTGCTCCAGGCAAGCCTATCTACTTTCGTTCGCCTATACACATGTTGTCTTCAACTGTGTGTATTTCAGTAGGATATTTATTGAGCTTAAGATGTTCCTCTGCCTCATCTGTTCTTATTTCTCCCACTCTAGACCTGGCTTATAAATCCTTCACCTCAGAGAGCTTTTCAAACTACTATTTTTTTCACTTTCTGTAATTTACCACTTAACAGTTCAGTTTATAATTTGTGTTTTTGGTTTTGTTTTGTTTTGTTTTGTACCTGTTGATGGATTGATTGCATTGTAACATTTTGTCTCCTGTGCTGGATTGTGAACTCTTTGGAAACAGGGACTGTGATTCCTTTTTCCTTTGCTTTGTGCTTGATAAGATGCAGTATGTCTAGAATGTACTCATTAGGTGCTGACCTATTTGAGGCCTTAGAGTACAGCAGGAAGTCATTCATTCTGGATCTGAACAAAGGTGTGACAAGGGCAAAGCAATTAAGTACCAGATTGTTGGTTCACCAGGAGGAAGCAGTACTGGTGGTAGCACTTCTATTAAAAAGGAAACTGAATAGGACATGTGAGAGATCACTAGGTATTAAACTAAAATGTTGACCACAGCTTTAGAGAAGAAAGGTTGCTGTTGGATTCAAGGGCAGCTTTGAGTCTTAGAGTACTTGTATGCATAAAATCTCTTTTATCTTCAACATAAATAGTAATATTAGCAGTGGAATCAAAGTTCAGAGTGCAAGTTGTAGCCAGAGTATCTATGTGAGCAAGCTGTGTTGTTTACAACCCCTGGCCAGCTCCAGGCAGGTAAGGGACTCTGGAAGAGTTTTCTACTTATTAGCAGACTGAACATTGAACCTTTCCCAGTGAATCTTAATTCAAACATTCGCTGTAGGCCAGGCACAGTGGCTCACGCCTGTAATCCCAGCACTTTGGGAGGCCAAGGTGGGTGGATCACTTGAGGCCAGGAGTTCAAGACCAGCCTGGCCAACATGGTGAAACCTCATCTTTACTAAAAATACAAAAATTAGCTGAGCGTAGTGGTGCATACCTGTAATCCCAGCTACTTGGGAGGCTGGGGCACAAGAACCGCCTGAACCCAGGAGGCAGAGGTTGCAGTGAGCCAAGATTGCACCACTGCATTCCAGCCTGGGTGACAAAGCAAGACTCTGTCTCCAAAAAAAAAAAAAAATTGCTGTAAAATATTTTCTGTCTCAAGTCTTTCATTTCTACTAGAATACAAAAAGAAATGACTGTTCTGAGAGCTAATCTTTGGGAACTGAAATTGTGATGGATCTCTGCTGTACTTACTGTCAGCAGCTTTCCAGAGATTTGCCTCTGGTACCAGTAGTTTTTTGACAATGTGTGTCTTGAGTGTTGATGAGATATCTTTTCCTCCCTAGACAACACTACAAACTGATGAAGTTAAAAATGTGCCTTGTGGAACAAGGTAAGCTTTCTCTTTGCCTACGAGCCTCCCTTTAGCTCAGACAGAGTTTCTGTTCCTACAGCTATGATCACTTAGACATATCTCAAATAGGCATGATAGTTAACCCAAGGGGACTTCTGATCTGAGCATTGTTTGAGCAAAGGCCTATCTCCAAATAGGAGCTTTTCCATCTTAAGAACCATTATTGTTCTTATGGTATTATTGGAAAAAACTGGAGTTTTAGAGCAAGTAGACCTAACTGTGTATTAGCACTGCTGCATCTGCTTTATTGACTATTTTTTAAAGACTTTATTTTTTACAGCAGTTTTAGGTTCATAGTGAAATTGACCAAAAAGTACAGACAGTTTTTATATACCTCTTTCCCCAACACATTCCTTTATTGACACTTTAAAGCTTAGTTTCCTCCTTTATAAAGGCAGTAAAATCTACCTTGCAGAGTTGTTGTAAGGATTAGAATTACTGTATATGAAGTGCCTAACCAGAACTTGGCCCAGAATAGGTGCTTAATAAAACATAGTTTAAAATTAATCATCCCACCGTCTTCTCATCTGTAGTGTTAAATGCCATCTAATTTAGAGTTTCTGATTCAATAGGTCTGGGGTGAGGCCCGAGAATTTGCATTTCTAACAAAAGTTCCTGGGTGATGCTGATACTGCTGGTCTGAAGACCTCACTTTGAGAATTGCTGTCCTAAAGAGGTTTAGGGAAAGAAAGGCAAGCAGGGCCCAAATTATTTCTAGGGTATAATCACTGCATTGAATTGTATCAAAAGAAGAATGTGAAGTTCAAGGTATTTTTTAAATTACTTATTTTAAATGACTATTACAAGTGTAAAAAAGACATTGACATCTATAGAGGGACAGAAATGCTATGAAAAAGGAAGCGAACTCTTTCTGTGTTTTAAGTGAATATTAGTATGTTTCATTATCAGCTTCTCCCCAGGTCTATCTATAACTGTGTTTTATGGATTGCCTTTAGTAGTTCACACTTTTTTTCTTTGTTTTTAGTGGTGGGGTCATGATCTATATTGACCGAATAGAAGTGGTTAATATGTTGGCTCCTTATGCAGGTATGTTACCCATCTACCTGTGGTTTTTATAGTTATAGCCAGAGGATTTATAGCTGAGAGATTCTTTGAGGAATAGAAGGGTACTTTGAAAGTTTTATGACTTCATTGATCACTGATTAATAAATTTCTGGGGAATAGAGGCAAAAATAGGTCAGAAGTTCTGGACAGAGTTGACTTTCTGCAACTGTATGAGTTACTCTTCTCTGAGCTTAGTGTTTCTAAGAGCAAAATGGTCATTGGTTATTTCTAGAATAGGAAAGTAGTATTTTATCCAGTCAGGATGAGAGATAATTTCCTTGGGTGTTAGAAATCTGTAACTGATCAATTCCTTGGCCCACACTGATTTGCCATCAAAGAGAAGTATTTTCTAGTTGAGATTTGCTATAATTTGCAAAGCAGTCTGAAAGCCTTCAACGTGGGGAAAGCATTTTCTTGATAAAAGATGAAAACCTACAGGTATGGGGTGGGTAGGTACTGTTGTAATCAAAAACTTAATTAGAAGCCCTGAAGAAAGATATACCGTCTTATATGCATGCTTGTTAATAAAACTGGCATGTCTAGTATGTACAGAATATTGTGTTTGGCAAGAATAATTTGAAAAGATGAAATTACAGCCTTTGCCTTCAGGGGTTTTAATTTTACTTGAGAAGACATAATACAGAGCTAAAAAAGGATATATTGGGATGTAAGGTCATAATAAATTTCACATAACCGGTACAGGCACAAATAGTGAAAAGATTTCAGAGTAGAGAGCAGGCGTATTACTGTCAAGGGCATTTGGATTATATTTTTCAGAGAGTAAGCATTTTCCTTGTCTTTTTTTCCTCTCCTTTCCTTGATTACAAATCACTGGAATGGATTATGATTGAAAAAGGGAAGGGACTGATGATTCTTTAACCAGAGATTAAATAGGAAACTATTTAGATATAATTCATTTGGGAAATGATCAAGCAAATGATTTAGTCATTAAGTATTTATTAATGGCCTGTCCATTAATTTTTTTTCTTTTTTGAGATGGAGTCTTGTTCTGTCACCCAGGCTGGAGTGCAGTGGCATGATCTCAGCTCAGTGCAACCTCTGCCTTTTGGGTTCATGCAATTCTCCTGCCTCAGCCTCCCTAGTAGCTGGGACTACAGGTGTATGCCTCCACACCAGGCTAATTTTTGTATTTTTAGTAGAGACAGTGTTTCACCATGTTGGCCAGGCTGGTCTTGAACTCCTGACTCAAATGATCCACCCACCTCAGCCTCCCAAAGTGCTGGGATTACAGGCATGAGCCACCGCGCCCAGTCGGATTTGAAATCCAGTTGCATCTAATATCCCACATGGGAAGGCCAGTGGAGCAAATTCTTGGATCTGAAGACAGAAGTAGAAAGCAGCATGTTTTTGTAGATAAAGAACAGGTTCTGACGTGGTCTAGTATGTACCTTTTGGGCATTTCTAAAATTCTCTGTTTCTTAGTTTCCTAATATGCAAATTTAGGAGAATTCAGTGCTAATTTATGTAAATTACCTGATATAAAGCCCAGCTCAGTTAATGTTTTAACAACTTTAAAAAATTGCCTTTTTAAAAACGGTCTTTTGCAACTGCTTTCTTCTTTTATTTCTACTGTTCCTCAGTTTGCCTAGTCTCTCTTTACCTCTTAGCTAAACTTTTGCAGTAATTGCCTTATGCTTTCCCTGCCTCTGATCTTTATGCTTCTCAGTTCATCTTCACACTGCTGGCCAAAGCGTAAATCTGACTGTCATGCCCTTGCTTGAAACCTTTGATAGTTCCTTATTACCTCCAAAATAATGGATACTTTAGTGTGGACTTTAAAGTTAGCCCCTGTTTGATGGGCTAACCAGCAGGTGTTTGGCATTAGTATTACAAATGCAAGGGTATTTGGAAAATTGAGCACAAGCAACACATCAAGATTTGTTAGTTGTGGTTTTTGGTTTCACTATTTTGTTGGCACTTTTCCTCATGTGTAATATATCACCCTGACTTTTACCCTGGCTGAATTTGAAGGTACCTGTGTCATTGTTGGGTAAAACAAACATGGGTTGTACCTCTCCTTCAGTGTTTGATATCGTGAGGAACTATACTGCAGATTATGACAAGACCTTAATCTTCAATAAAATCCACCATGAGCTGAACCAGTTCTGCAGTGCCCACACACTTCAGGAAGTTTACATTGAATTGTTTGGTAAGTGTCTTAATTCTTATGTATGTAAATAGCCAATTGGAAATCTTTGTTCAGCTTACTTATTGAGGTTATATTGGTAAACCTTAGTGCTATTTAAGCATTTCTTCTGAATTTATCATAGAGCAATTGTCTTTAAAATATTTTTTATCTTAAGTTTAAAATTTTTTATATAACTTGTTAGAGATTGGAAAAACTACTCAGACTGTATTCTGTTTTTACTGTAATAACTTAGTGAAAATTAGCTTTGTTGATGTTTTAATAGATAATTTGAAAAATTTAGAAACCTGTGTCTTGAGGCTCCCATTTTTGATGATTTGGTAGGAGACTGACAGGACTCAGCACATAGTTGTGTTCACAGCTAAGATTTATTACAGCCAAAGGGTACAAAGCAAAATCAGCGAGAGGCAAAGGCACACCAGCAAAATGCAGAGGAAAGCAGGTGCAGGCTTCCAAGAGTCAAACATGTGCCTAATTCCCACAGCAACAAGCTGTGACAACACATGTGAAATGTTGTCTACTAGGGAAGCTCATTGGAGACTCATTGCCCAGGGTTTTCACTGGGGGCTGATTATGTAGGCACCCTCTGCCTACCACATAAAAATTCCAGACTCCTGGAAGGAATGCAGGTGTTTGGCATAAGCCACATTGTATAAACAGTTCACAGCAAGTCAATTGTATTAGCTCTGGGGATAGTGGGACCCTTCTACAAATCCAAGTTCCTAGGTGCCAACCAAGGACGAGTTTACAAAAGGCCTTTCTAAGGATTGCAGTATCAGCCCTGCTTTCTTAACTCACTTCTGTACAACTTACTTTTCATTTATGATAGTGGAAGTTCTGACCAGGGAATGAGTTGTTGCTGTTGGTAGCTCACTTTTCCCTCCTGAAATTTTTAGTGAATTTCTAAGATGAAGGAATAAGCAAGAGTAATCAATTTAAAATCTACCAATTGAGTCCTCTTTGGTGATTGTCAACCACTGAAGTGGCATGTGAGGAAACTGATGGGTCCTGCTTTGTCTCACCACCAGTCATTTAAATAGCGAAAGTACCATTGAGGTGAATAGAAAGTGCATAGTTACAAGCCCAAGTGTTCATGCTGTGTATATTTCAAATACTTTTCTATGAGCTTCTCTCTCTGTCTCTCTCTCTCTCTCTCTTTAAATCCAAAATAACAGTGAGGCTGAGATCCATGGAAATGAAGTTTAGTTATTTGGGAATTTGAGTAAAGATTTACTGAACATAGAAATTTGTTTTTCTTTGAGAATGAGGATACATATTGAGTAAGAGCCCTGAATTAAGATACTAGAGATCCAGATTCTCCATTTATTAGATCAACATATTTTACCCAGTAGTTGTTTATCCAGTAAATAAGTCTAATAAGTTACCCAGTAAAAAAGCTTATCCATAGTTAAGTAATACATTTAGTGGGTAAACTTATTGGATAAACAGACTATCTGCTTGTCATCTTCGTTCCTTAATTTCTTTATTAGATAATTCCTTGCAATTTTTTTCCCACACAAAAGGGAAGAAAAGGCAGTTTAAGCTCTGTAAAAGAATAGTACTGTGGAAACTTTAGGTCTAATAATGATTAGTTTTGTTTCATTATGAATACAATGTAAAAAAAATTGACTATCATGAGATCTGTTGTTCTTGGCTTAAAAAACAGATCAAATAGATGAAAACCTGAAGCAAGCTCTGCAGAAAGACTTAAACCTCATGGCCCCAGGTCTCACTATACAGGTAAGTTCTTTTCCTAGGGAAGTTCTCTGGGGATTTTGAGAGCTTTGAGTTTGTTCCTCCTTTCATTGGATTGTTTTATTCAGCAATTATTTGAGATGCTATGGTGATTTATAGAATACCTTTCTCAATTTGACTTTAGATCTCTGCCAAAATAAAATACTCTTGTAGCTTACTATGGGTGACATTTGTGAACTCCTAGAGGGAACTGATAAGCTGAGGCTCTTACAAGGAAGTAAAATTCATATTTCTGCCATGTATGAAGCATTAAGATACAGTAATGGTTATAAATCAGTGTAAGCATAATCCCTGCCCTCAGTAAGATTATGAAAAGGGAGTTCAAGTGTAAAATTTGAACAATCCTGGACAAAATAGTTATCACAAAGTATTAATTGACAGATGAATCTATTGAATGATTATTGCTGTAAGAGTAAGAGAACATTGGAAGACAGTGTGTCTAGGAGAGGGCTGTGATTGAGTTGAGATTTTAAGTAGGTTTGGAAAAATTAATTGGATTTAAATGGGGGAAGAATGAGAAAGGTATTTCAAGTGGGAGGGACAGCCCTAGTAAAAACAAGGTAGCAGGTGAATTTAGTGGTAGTGGTGATGGTGACGTTGGGAAATAGAATGGTGAGAGGTTTTACCCCTGCTTTTTTTTGGGTCACTGTGTTTTCCAGATTGTGGGTTGTAAAATCAACTTTAGTGAGTCATGAACAGCATTTTAAATAAAATGGAATAGAATAGGAAAAGAAATGGTATGTAATAAGTTTAAATATTCTGTGACACTTGTGTTTCACAGTGTGGCGGGGTAGGTGTTTATATTGGACGTCAGTGCAAAATGTGTTTCTTACTGTGTCCACTGTCAGTAACATTCGAAAGCCACTGCTCTGGATCCAGATGACCTAAGAAGTTATATTGAGGCTTCTCTAGTGTCCTTTCTCAGGAGCTCTAGGAGACCAGTTGATTGTTGATTGTTGTGATGAACATTACTGCAACTAAAGCTTATCACATGTCTCTCAATTCTTTACACTCAGCACCACTGCTACTGAGAGTGTGCGCTCACTGTGATTGTATGTGTTCGTGCTTCTCAAAAACAAGACTGAAAGATAGGTGGGGTTTTCCTCATGGCCTCATTCATGCAATGTCATTATCTCAGGCGCTTGAGGGTGAGCCACCAGAGTTAAGGGGTCGTTTGAAATGTCCAGAGGTAACTTTGTAAAATCCTCTGAGTTGTTCAAGTCAGTTGTAGCTGGAGTAGCTTTTTAGTTTTAAAGATAGTGAATGTGAAGGTCAGCTCTTAGATTCTGCCCAGGGTGTTACTCAGAGATCTAGCTCATTCAACTGTTGTTTAGAATTCCTTGCCTTATATTACTTAGCCATTTTTCTGTTCCCAGTTTTTTGCTATTAAACAATAGTGTAATGAACATTCATGACACATGTTCTTGTATGTACAAATTATCTTTCAAACTGACTGTACAAATGTACATTCTTAACAGCAATATGTGCAAATAATTGTGACCCATGAACTCACCAACATTGGAAGCAATCAGACATACTGATTGTTACCATATGGATGGGTGGGCAATTATATCTCCCTTTGATTTGCATTCCTTTGGTTGTTAATGAGGTTGAACATCTTTTGATACATTTATTGGTCATTTATACTGTCTTCTGCTGATTGCCTATTCATATCTTTTGCCCATTTTTCTGTTGGATTGTTTTCTTTCTTACTGATTTGTTCTGTATAAATTTGGAATTTTTATACACACACGTTATTTATGTTGTAGAAAAAAGTTAGATACTAGGAAAATGATGAAGAATAAAATGAAATTCACCAGTAATCTTATTATGCAGGGATAACATCATTTGTTATATCTTTCTCGACTATTCTTAATGTATATGAACAAATGTTTGTAGATATAAATGCATACATGCTCAACTAAAGCAGAATCATACCATACTTGCTTTTTTCACTAACATTGTCTATGAACATCTTTCCAAAACAAAAATATAGGTTTGGTAAATCATTACTTTTAATGGTTATATTTAGTGAATCTCTATGGTTTCAAATTTTTTACTACTGTATGCATGTTGGAATGACCAAGCTTATATATTCTGTACATCTTTTTAAATCCCTCTCTTACAATAAATTCTTGAAGTGGGATTGATGATCAAAGTGTATGCCCTGTTTGGGGGCTTATTGATACATACTACCGAATCACCTTTTAGAAAAATTTTAGCAGCTCCCCCCCTCATTAGCAGTGTTGGTAAGCTGTAGTTCTTACACATTTGATTGCATGATTGTACCCAAATAATTAGCAGATGCAAGCTTTCCCTTTCTCTCTTAATCCTTTTGGAGAAAATTAGTCTGTTATTTTGTGTTAATTATTGAAGTTGAATACCCTAGGTTATTAGCTGTTTTTATTTCATTTATAAATTGTTGGTTTTGCTCATTTTTGTAGTTAATGGTTTTTCTAACTGATTTTAATAAGCTATTTTTGGCTGGGCATAGCGGCTCACATCTGTAATCCCACCACTTTAGGAGGCTGAGGTGGAAAGCTCCCTTGAGCCCAGGAGTTTGAGGTCAGCTTGGACAACATAGTGAGACCCCTTCTCCACAAAAAATTTTTTTAAAAAATTAGGTAGGTGTGGTGGCATGTGCCTGTAGTCCCAGCTACTTGGGAGGCTGAGGTGGGAGGATGACTTGAACACAGCAGGTTGAGGCTGCAGTGAACTGTGTTCATGCTGTACTCTTGTCTGGGCAACAGAGCAAAACCCTGTCTATAAATAAATAAATAAATAGCATTTGTATATAGAGAACTTGTTTTTGAACCTTACCCTTTGAGAGGGGTAGAATTCGTTTTTAAAAATAAACTTTTTCATATGTTAGTTATTGTAGCTCTTTTTTATATTTATAGGAAACATTTTCTTCAAATTTTTTCTTTGTCATTTAACTTTGTTTTTTCCTTGCTGATAACTTTGAAGTGTTCATGTTTTACATAGTAATTTCAGTGATTTTGTCTTTATGGTGTGTTGCTGAGCTGGCATGTTTTAAGAGCTTTTCACCACCTTAAAAGTATAGCAATTAAAATTAGAAATTATAAAAATTGTATCTGCTTTTACAGTTGTATTCTTAGATTTAAATCTTTTAATTCATCTGCAACCCATTTTGATCTCAGTTGCAAGGTAGGCCTTCAGCTCCATCCCCTCAACCCCAAATTGGGTAACAGCGGTAATTACTGAATAGTTTATTTTTCCATCTTCCCCCTTCTTTGAAATAGTTTTTATGTTACATACTGCATTCCATTATATACTAGAGTCTTTTTCTGAACTTAGTTCTGTTCCATTGATCTTCCCATTCCTACTCTTTCATTAGTTATTGAGTCCTTGGTCTTTTCTCATCAAATCGAATTTTCTCCTGTGTTTTTCATCTTGTCAGTTAATGGTAACTCTTTCCCCTCAAGCCAATCTAGAAGTGTAGGAGGCATCTTTGACAATCGCCTCACCCTCAGCATCTAATCAGTCCCTATGTCCTGCAGATTCCACCACCAAAATCCATGTATTAATAAAACTGACCACACCTCCATCTTCACTGTCATCTCAAGCCAAGCTACCAACTCTAACCTTGACATGTGCAGTAGCAGTAGCCGCCTGTCTTCTTTCCCCACTTTCACTTTTACCTTTGTCTACTTCATTTTCTGCACAACAGCCAGAAGGATCTTTTGAATTTACTTATATTTATTTGCTGTTTTTATAAAAAGTTATTGATTGAAAAAATGTAGTTTTGTTATACGTTCTTAAAGTGGTAGAGATCTCCATTGTTTTAGGGTTTAAAAAAATTTTAAAATAATTTTTATATTTTGCAATAACTTAAGCATACCCTGAGAAGAGAAGAGCTCCTTTGCTTTGGTTGCTTTTGTCTTGTTATAAAATTTTTTTTACAATAGTTGGAATGCATTTTAAGAATTTCAAGGCTGTTTTTGAGCTTTGTTATTTTTAACACATTACCATATGGTTGTGATAATTCAACTTTTTATTTTAAAATCTGGCAAGAGACATCATCTTTTAAAAAATAATGGCCTTTGCTGTTTCTGCCAGCTTAATCTTCCAGATGAGTTTTCATTATCGATATTTTCAAGCTATATCAGGCACCTAAGTGGTCATATACATGTTGTTTTGTTTTGTTTTGTTTTGAGACAGGGTCTCCCTCTGTTGCCCAGGCTGGAGTGCAGTGGCATGATCATAGGTCACTGCAGCCTTGAACTCCTGGGCTCAAGTGATTCTCCTGCCTTAGCCTCCCAAGTAGCTAGGAGTACAGGTACACACCCCCACATCTGGCTAATTTTTTTATTTTTTGTAGAGATGGGCCTTTGCCGTGTTGCCCAGGCTGGTCTCAAACTCCTGGCCTCATGCAATCCTCCAATATAAGTTAAAAATAGAAACATAGTTTATGGCTTTACTTTATCATATCAGCCTTTTTGGTTTTTAGAATTTCTGATTTAGGGGAGAAACTCATATCCTAAGTTAAATTAATACCAATGGATTTAATGAATTTTAATGCTGTTCAATATGTAGTCTTTTTTTTTTTTAATCATTGAGGAATGTGATTGATTCTTGGTAGATTTATCTTATATCTACAACTTGAATTCACTGCCTTCTAGTAATTTTTGGGTTACTATTTTTACAGTCACTATTATATTTTTTTCCTTTCCATATATTTATATACCATTTTTCTTCTTGAAAAACTACTCTGGCAAATTAGAATGATGAAAATGGTCATCTTTGATTTTTTTTTTCCTATGTTATTTAAGGGAGTGACTATATTATAGACTGGCTTTTGATATATAATATATGCTTAAAACCCAGGGGTCAGTTTCAATACATATATTCCTTTCATTAGCCATTTTTTTCCTCCATTCACTCTATGTATGTGAGTGGGATGGGGGCATTATTTTATTATTTGAGGTTAAGAGCAGAGGTTTAATAGGCAAAAGAAACAGAAAGGAGAATAGCTCTCTCTCCTGTGAGGGAGAGGGGTGCCTGAGTGGGACTTCCCACTTTTACTTTTAAAATCTCTTTTGATGCAACTTACTCATGGTATCTGTACAGTAAGTGTTTATGTTTTCACATATTTGAAAATCTGTGAGATTTCCCAAGATTGGCAAGCACAATGTAGTATGTTCTTCAGCCTCATTCAGCAAAATAGGAGTCTTCAAAAGACAGTCCTGGCCGAGTGTGGTGGCTCACGCCTGTAATCCCAGCACTTTGGGAGGCCGAGGTGGTTGGATCACCTGAGTTCAGGAGTTCGAGACCAGCTTGACCAACACAGTGAAACCCTGTCTCTACTAAAAAACAATACAAAAATTAGTCGGGCTTGGTGGCGCATGCCTGTAATCCCAGCAACTAAGGAGGCTGAGGCAGAAGAATCGCTTGAACCTGGGAGGCGGAGGTTGCAGTGAACTGAGATTGCACCACCGCACTCCAGCCTGGGTAACAAGAGCAAAACTCCATCTCAAAAAAAAAAAAAAAAGTCCTACTTTACGCTTCTTTTAATAAGGCTAAAAAGATATGTGGCCAGTCTCTTAATTAAATGCAGTATGACAGTGCTTCCTTGAATCATATTAATCCATATTGGAAGTAATCTTATGTCTGCTAGTCACATGGTGAAATCTGACATCTCACAAAATCTGGTCCTGAATTTTTATTTGTCTTCTGCATGTCTCCACTGAGTTGTGAGGCCTCACATGTGTCACTGCCAGTGTGTTGTGAGTTTTTTCCACACAGCCTTCAGCTGCTTATTCCATTCCACTGTAATCCTTATATTTAGTTATGATTGTCCTCAAAATTACCTACAAATTTGACTCATCTATTTCATATAGGAAATGCTATATCGCTTAAAAGTTTTAAAAGCCTTTAAAGAAGACTAAGTGCTTAAAGGCTTTGTTATTCTTAAAAGGTTAGCCAGTTTTCAGAAGGAAAACTTCTTCAGACCAGCAAAGTGTTTTTTGTGTGTGTTTGCAGTATAGGTGGGGCGGCGGGGTATCGTATGTTTAGTAAAATCAAAAGCTTTTGAGAGATCAAGTCCTTGATGTAGAAAAGTCAGCCTTCAAAAAACAGTACTGTCCAGGTAGATAATCTTAATTGTGTCAAAGAACACTATGATTAGGGAAACAAAGTGTCTGGTAAACAGCCTCTACAAAGACAGACTTTGTTCTAAGTGAGAGTTAAGGAAGAAAGAATATAAGCTTTTAATTGATATTTGTTTTCCTTCAGCCAGTGGGCTGTTTACTTACAGCAAATACCAAGTGATTGCAGGGGTTGGAAGTGATAGATTAATTTACTCACTACTCACTGTATTAAATTGTATACACCAACCTGGGTTTTTTTGTTTGTTTTTGTATTTGACTAATTGTTTCTGACTTTACAATTTCAGTCTTGGAACTTTGCCTTCCCGGCTTCTTTGGTTTACAGGGTTGAAAAAGAAAGCAAAAGTATCTAACGACCTTTGTAAAACATCTTTTAAGTGAGAACCTTTTTCATAAGGCAGTTGTTTCCTCAGTGGGTAGATGGTTTTTCCTGTAATCTGGCATTGTGTAAGGAAATAAGAAGCAGCTTGTCTTTGATTCTTGGTGTGATGGCATGAAAAGTAAATGTTCTGGTGGGATCCCCAAACGTGTTAGTAGGCCGCTATATTATAGCTGTTGTTTATTAGATTAGTATCATTTGAGGGGCTTTTCTGTAGAAGATTTAATTTGAAGATTTATCTTTCAAATATACTTTGGCTTTTTCACTTTTATTTTTTAGGCTGTGCGTGTTACAAAACCCAAAATCCCAGAAGCCATAAGAAGAAATTTTGAGTTAATGTGAGTAATATGCATGGGATCCCAATATTTCTGTTTAGGGCTGTCTGCATATTAATATTCCAGTCTAGAGGAAACATGTGAGACAATACACTCTGGGGTGGAGTATGTGTCTTATCTTCTTTACTCTTACTCTAGTAATATTGCCTATTCTTGTGTCTTAATTCCCACTAGACTCTTACTAGTGTTCTCTTTATGTATGGACATTTCAGGAGCAGTTTCAGTGGCTAAAGATGCAGTTTGCTGTAAAACTATTGCTGGAAGCTTAAGGAGCTATAATTTTATATGAATAGTACCTTGAATTAAATATTTAATAGAGGAAAGAGTCCTGAAGCCGTTAGGGTTGAAGAGAGTGCTCATATTTTGTTTCTGTGTTGTAATGGTAGGAATAGATACCTTGTTGGTATAAAGTTTGGTTTTCCATTGTATGTGATTGTATATCTAAAATTAGACCTGGTTCTTTATAATGTGCCTCTAGGGAAGCCTTGCTTCTGTTGACTCCTGGTAGTCTTCTCTTTTATGTATCCAGGGCTGACTGGGAATGAGAAGACATGAAATTAGTTTCTGACAGGATCCCTTTTAGGGGAATACTTACTGTGTTTGAAATGGCAATATTGTTTTCGTATGACTGGTACTGAAAAGAAGAAATAAAAGTCTTTAGGAAATTTGGCTGATGTGTTAAAAGGGAAAGTATAAGACGCTGGAAAAATAAATTTGCACAAGTCAAGGATACCACAGATGTATAAATACTGGAAGTCCAAGGAGCAGTAATACTACTTTATGAGGTTGTTTACTTCTGAGTCCTTTTTGTTACCATGCAGATTTTTATTGTTTTTTTCTTCTTTTATATTTTCCTTTTCCCTCATACCTTCTCTGAGCTCATACAGAGTTTTATTTCTCTTTTTCTTAATTTTTTTTTTTTTGAGACAAGGTCTTGCTCTGTTGCCCAGACTGCAGTGCAGTGGCACAATCACGGCTCACTGCAGTCTCAACCTCCCAGGCTCAAGTGATTAAGCGATCCTCCCACCTCAGCCTCCTGAGTAGTTGGGACTACCAGTGCATGCCACCACACCTAGCTAAATTTTGTATTTTTCATAGAGACGGAGTTTTGCCCTGTTGCCCAGCCTGGTCTCAAACTCCTGGGCTCAAGCAGTCCTCCTGCCTTGGCCTCCCAAAGTACTGGGATTACAGGCTTGAGTCACCACACCCAGCCTGTTTTCTCTTTTTCATTGTAGACAAAGAACTCTTCTTTTAAAAGTATAAAATGTAGACTGCCAGGCTGGGTAGATTATGGATGTGATCCACTTATTGAAAAAATATTTATAGGCGGGCTGTGGTGGCTTATGCCTATAATCATAGCACTTCAGGAGGCTGAGGCCGGCGGATCACCTGAGTTCAAGAGTTTGAGACCAGCCTGGCCAACATGGTGAAACCCTGTCTCCAGTAAAAATAGAAAAATTAGCTGGACATGGTGGCAGGCACCTATAATCCCAGCTACTGGGGAGGCTGAGGTAGGAGAGTCGCTTCAACCGGGGAGGTAGAGGTTGCAGTGAGCCGAGACCACGCCATTGCACTCCAACCTGGGCAAAAGAACGAAACTCTGTCTCAAAAAGAAAATTTTATTAAACTGTCAGCATGTCTTAGGCTTTAAATATGATTGCTTAGGCTGGGTGCGGTGGCTCATGCCTGTAATCCCAGCACTTTTGGGAGGCCAAGGTGGGCGGATCACGAGGTCAGGAGATCGAGACCATCCTAGCTAACACAATGAAACCCCGTCTCTACTAAAAATACAAAAAATTAGCCAGGCATGGTGGTGGGCGCCTGTAGTCCCAGCTACTCGGGAGGCTGAGGCAGGAGAATGGCGTGAACTCAGGAGGCGAAGCTTGCAGTGAGTCGAGATAGTGCCACTGCACTCCAGCCTGGGTGACAGAGTGAGACTCCATCTCAAAAAAAAAAAAAAAAAAAGATTGCTTCTGGTGACGGAAAAATGAATATTGTGTGTTTTCTGCTCTCAAATAAATCATAGTATTCAGACTGTCATTTGATGTCTTTATCAATGTTATCAGAGGAAAGGGGAAACTTTGAGGGGAAGTGTTTTGGGGAAACTATTGGAGTTACTTTTCAGATGATTCTGGATCTTTCTTAATTTTATGGACTATTGGAATTCCAGAATTAAAAGCTACCTTGGGATGATCCAGTATAACCTTGCACCTGATAGTAGTGTTTTCTTATACCATTTCTGCCACGTGGTTACCCAGTAGCTACTTGTACATGCTTAGTAATATGCCAGCCATTTCCATTACAGGTTTAGTACCCCTTATCCGAAATGCTTGGGACCAGAAGTATTTTAAATTTTGGATTTGTAAAGATTCTGGAATATTTGCATAGACATAATGAGATATCTCAGGGATGGGACCCAGGTCTAAATATAAAATTTATTTATGTTCTTCCTTGTTGGTATAGTGGTTAGTTTTTTTTTTTTAAGGTATTTTATTTATGTCCCATATACACCTATAGCCTGAAGGTAACTTTATAAAATATTTTAAATAATTTTGTGCATGAAACAAAGTTTACCTTAAGTGCTTATGTGTGGAATTTTCCACTTGTGTCATAATGTGGGCTCTCAAAAAGTTTCAGATTTTGGAGCATTTTGGATTTCAAATTTTCAGATCAGAAATGCTCAACCTGTATTAGACACTGGAAGCCTTAGAAAATTCTCCTTACTGTAAGCCCCAGTTTACTACCTAATAACTACCACCTAGTTATATCTTCTGTGCAACAAATATGGTCACTGCACATGGGTGCCCACCTGAGGAGGGCAGGGGCTGAAACCCAGCTTCATTCTGCATGTCAAACCATGCACCTGCAGGACTGTAGAAACGGCTGGTGCCGTTTTCTAATTGGCACAGAGCTGCTGTATGGACTAGCTGGAGGTCTAACAGCAAAGGAAGTATTGATATATTCCCTTCCAAATCACAGGCTTTACACAATACAACTAGGAGAAGAAAGCCAAACTAAAATTCAAATGTACTAAATTTTTTTCCTATCTCTGGGTGACTTTGGGCAAATCATTGAATCTTTCAACCTCAGATTTATTATAAGTAAAATAAAGTAACACCTCTCTTAACCTACCTTAATGGGTCCAAAAGCTCATGTTGACAAAACGGTTCTCTGACTCACTGTAGGGTCAGAATTACTGGCTGTGACTGCACATAGGAGAATCATTTCTAATTTTTATAACATTTTGCTTCACAGGGAGGCTGAGAAGACAAAACTCCTTATAGCTGCACAGAAACAAAAGGTTGTGGAAAAAGAAGCTGAGACAGAGAGGAAAAAGGCAGTTATAGGTACTTGGATTTCTCTGAAATGATTGTCTCTAAGTACATTTGTTTGTCCTGTTCTTTGTCAGTCTCATTTTGGGTATCATGGGACTCAGTAAGATTGCATCATAGGTAGTGGGGAATTCTGGAATCTCCACTGTACATTCAGATGTTCTAAAGCCTTTAAAAGTAGGTGAGACCAGTACTTAATGATGTGCTGTGGCTGTCCATCATGTTGTTAGATGCTACTGTTGTCTCTTTCAAGAACAGGGAGAATGGATAGGGTTTATAGGCAGCTTGAGTCTGTGGATAGCATTTTCATTTGTACAGATTAAGAATAGGGAAGTTTTTTGACCAAAGTTTCAGATTGTAGTATGCATCCTTGTTGTTGACATGCACTTAGTTTTACCTGGATAGGTAGTGCCGTTTATGAAAGCATGGCAGGATTGTTTACAGTTCATTTCAGATTACAGTGGCTTCCCTTATACTCCAGGTCACTGTGTATTAGATTGCCCTCTTTGGCCCTCGGTTGATGCTGAAAGTTTAATACATCTTTAATTAAATAATTCAATTATAGAGGAATGTACAGAGAACAATATAATGAAAGCTTAAGATTTTGCCTTATTCCCTTCAGATCTTTTTTTTTTTTTTTAAGAAAAAAATTAAATATCTGTTTGAAGCCTCCTTTGTATGTTCACTGGTCCTACTCTTTGACTTTTCTTCTCAGATTAACTTCTATTCTGAAGTTGATGTATATCCTTTCTGTCCATATTTTTATACTTTTACTGTAAGTGTGTAAGAGTTTATAAAATTGTTTTACCTGTTTGAAACTACAAAAATGTTACCAAACTCTTATTTTACAACTTGCCTTATTTTCACTAACATTGAGTTTTATTCATATTGATACATGTAGATCTAGGGATTTTTTCTTTTTTTGGCATTTTATCCTTATTCTCTGTGAGATGGTAGATCGTTTATGTTTAGCTGCTACATTTTTCGTTCTATGAGCGGGCCTAGTTTTATTGTAATGAATTACCAATGAGGAGTTAGGTAGTTTCTAGTTTTTCCTTATTACAAACACTGCCACAATAACATTCTTATCCAGTGCCTCCTGGATACAGTGTACATGTGCAGGTTTCCATAGAGTAGCATTACTCAGTGTATGGTGTGGGCCAGTGCCCTATCACCAGCTTTTTGTTTCTGAGCCTCAATGAGATGAGTATAGAAATTGAGAATGAGTGTTTAGAAGTTTTTATAGCATTTTAATACAGCAGTTTTATGTCTGTTGAATCAAAAATAAAAAATCAGAGCTTATATATTTATGTTTTTGTTTTTTAATTTCTTTTTTCTAGTACTGTAATTTGTTTTTGTTATAGTTTACAATTTATTGGTTCCTCATAAATTGAAATACACACACAAAAAGGTAAGGTATTTTTCCACAGGTGGTTTGAGAAGCACTGCTCTAGAATAGCTATCTCAAAGTAGAATTGATGGGTCATAGGGTAGCATGTCTTCACATTCAACATATTGACAAATTGCTCTCTCAAGTACTTCTTTGATTTTACCATCTCTTCAACAATATTTGATATCCAGTTTCTATGCTGCCATATTTGAATTCCCATTTCCACACATCCTTCTTGGTCCTTGGAGTTATCAGACTTAAAACTTTATGTCTGTTTAATGGAAGACATGGTATCACATAATTTCAATTTGAATTTCCCTGATTGTTAGTAAAGTTGAATATTGCTTATTGGTCATTCAAGTTTCCTTTTTTGTTGTTGTTATATGAATTGCCTGTTAATGTCCTTAGCCCATTATTTGATTGCTTTTTTGAGTTGATTTGTAAGAGTCCTTTCTGTCTCCTGGATACTGATCCTTTTTCAGATTTATGCATTTCCAACATCTTTCAATTTGTGGCTTGTCTTTGAACTTTACAATGTCTTCGATATACATATATGTGTAGTTTTTGTGTAGACAAATTCATTAGTCTTTTCCTTTATGTTTTGTGCTTTTCCTATCTTAAGAATTCTTTCCCTAGTCCAAAGTAAGACTTTTATTCTAAAAGTTTTAAAGTTTTGCTTTTCATATTTAAGTCTTTAGCCCATCTAGAATTTATTTTGGTGTTGAGTATGACATAGGGATTCAGTTTAATTTTTTCAAGTGGCAAGCCAATTGTCTCAGACTGTTTATTGAATAGTTTATTATTTCCTCTACTTATTTCTAATGCCATATCCATCATATAATAAGATACTATACATAATTTATTCTGATGCCATAATCTATTATTTTCCAATTTTTTGGTCTCTCCTTCCTCAATATTAATTTGTTTTAATTATTGTAGCTTTTATGTTAAGTCTTGCGATGTGGAGAGTGAGTTGTGTAACTATTTCTCTTACCTGTTAACTATTCCTAACTATATTTAAAATTATCCTGGACTATTCTAGGCCCTTTATTCATCCACATGAATTTTAGAACCAGCTCCTTAAGTTTTGTGAAATATTGTGTTGGGATTTTGATTGGAATTGCATTGAATGTATGCATCAATTTGGAGAAAATTATGATATTGAGTCTTATAAATCTGTTTCTCCATTTAGGAGAGTTGTCTTTTAAAAAGTGTCATAATTTTCTTCTAAAGTTCTTGCACATTTATTAAAGATTTGTTCTTATATACCTTTATTTTTTTATTGACTTTTTTAAAGGCACATTTTCTAATGGGTTTTGTATAAGTATGCTGTTGATTTTTTTATTTAGCAATATTGCTGAAGATGCTCTTATTTCTAATAGTCGCTTAGATTTCCCATGAACAATCATATGGTCTTCAGACAATAGGTCCTTATCTTCACATAAGGACAATTTTATTTTTCTTCTAAGTCACATACTTTTTATTTCTTCCTGTCTTACTGCTTTAGGCTATGACTTCTAAGTACAGTGTAGAAAAGAAAGTGACAAGTATTCTTGTCCTTAACTTTAAATAGTCCCAGTGACATTTGCTGTACTTAACACTGGTTAATAAAGTTTCAATCTGTACTTTGCTTGCTGAGAGCTTTCATTTTGAATGGCTGTTAAAACTTTCAGAATTTTTTTGAGACAGGGTCTCGCTTTGCCACCCAGGCTGGAGTACAGTGGTGTAATCACAGTTCACTGCAGCCTCAGCCTCCTAGGCTTAAGTTATTTTCCCACCTCAGCCTCTCGAGTAGCTGAGACTACAAGTGCACGCCACCACACCCAGGTAATTTTTGTATTTTCTGTAGAGACAGGGTTTCACCATGTTGCCCAGGCTGGTCTTGAATTCCTGAGTTCAAGTGATCCACCTGCCTCAGTCTTCCAAAGTGCTAGGATTACAGGTGTGAGCCACTGTGCCCAGTCTGAAAATTTTTTCTACATATATTGAGATGTTTTTAAAGCTGTTAATATGGTAAATTATATTAACAGATTTATCTTTGTGTTTCTGGGACAAACAATCCACTTGGTCATTATATAGGTCATTATATACATTTTTATATAGTTTGCTGATAATTTCTTTAGAATTTTTACCTTTATTTTCATAAATGAGATCAGCTTATAATTTTCTTATACTTTTAGTGTTAGGTTTTTTTGTATCATGGTTATACTATCCCCAAGATGAGTTGAAGAGCATGGCTTCCTTTTCTGTGTTCTATTGTATATCACATCATTATGTATCAGATCTGTATAATTTCATCTTTGTAGGTCTGGTGGAACTCGTAAAAGCCATCTTAGTCTTGTGAGGTTTCTGCTTTTTTTCATTTGCTTTTTGTGGTAACAGTTAATCTATTGATTTAATTCCTGTATTGAGTATAGGTATATTCAGATACATGTTTTCTTTTTAAGCCAGTTTTGGTAATTATATTTTCATAGAAAATTGTTCATTTCATCTGATATTTCAAATTTTGGGGCATAAATTTGTTCGTAGAATTCTCTCATGATTTTTAAAACCTCTACCAAATCTGTGTGCCCCTTTTCATTGCTAATACTGTTTTCTTGTGCCTTTTCTTTTGCTGTATCAATTTTGCCAGAGGTCTGTTTTATTTTATTTATCTTTTCAGAGAATTGGCTTTTGTTTTGGTTTTGTTGATTGTTACTTTGTTTAAATTATATTATTTACACTTTTTAAAAAATATTTCCTTCCATCTTTTTTTTTTTTTTAGTTCATTTGTTCTTTTTTAACTTCTTGAGTTGGATAGTTAAGTTTAAGTCTTTTCTAGTGGAAACATGGAAGATTATAAATTTTCTTCTAAGGATTGCTTTAGCTATGTTTCACAGGTTTTGAAATGTACTTTGTATATTGGTGTTCAGTTTTAATTCTAAACCTTTTCCTTCTAATTTCTTCTTTGGCTCATGAATTATTAAAAGTATATGCTTCAATTTCTGGTTTAGTGGGTTTTGAGGGGCTACCTTTTTATTGTTGATTTCCAGTGTTACTACATTGTAGTCAGAAAATAAGACCTGTTATATGGATTCTTAAATATTTATTGAAAATTGCTTTGTGGCCTACCTGTACACGGTCCTTTTTTGTAAATGTCTGTGTGCTTGAAAAGATTGAATCTGTGTTCTCTGGTTGTTGGATGCAGGTTTCTTTATATACTCATTTGGTCAGGCTTATGAATTGTGTTGTTCACATCTTCTGTATTCTTCTAATTTTTGCCTTCTTGACCTATCAATTACTGAGAAGGATGTGTTAAAATTTCCCACTATGACCATGGGTTTGTTGACTTGTAATTTTTTTCTTTATATATTTTGGGACTATATCATTAAGAACATTCAGGTTCAGGATTGTTATATCTCCCTGGAGAATTGCTTCTGTTTTGTAATAATCTTTATCCCTAGATATGTTTTTAACTTAAGAGCTATTTTGCCTGATAATATAGCTATACCAGATTTTTCTTGGTTAGTTATTTTCTTGGTGTACCTTTTCCCATTCTTTTACTTTCAACTTTTCTATGTCATTATGTTTTAGGTGTGTCTCTTGTAAACAGCATATAGCTGGATTTTGTAATCTTATCCAATGTGAGAATCTGTCTTTTAACTGGTGAGTTTAGTCTTTTTATATTTATTGTGGTTACTGCTATATTTGGATGTGTTTGTATCATTTGATTATGTGCTATTTACCATGCATTTTTCTCTGCTTCTTTTTCCCTTTTCTGATTGGTATTGAATTGATTGAATTTTCTTTTCTTTTCTTCCTTTTACTTGATTGGAAGTTTTACATTCCATTGCTGGAATGTATAACTAGTTGTTAATCATTCTATCCTCTTCTTGAACAGTACCTTAGAATGCTTTAACTCTTATCACTGTCCTCCAGTCTTACATTTTATTATTGCGTAGTATTTTAGTTTCATGTTGTCTTTATCCTCCCATCAATTATGATCATTATGATTAATCCTTACAGTAAACACTTATTTTGATTGACATGTGTTGAGTAATGTTTTTTCCTCTCCATTGTTTCTGGTGATTTTTTTTTTCTAGTAATTTTTTTTTCAGTGAAGACTAAGGAGTGAAAGTTATCTTCGGTCCTCCTTGGTCTGAAAATGCTTTTATTTTATCCTTGAATGGTAATTTAGCCTACAATTCTAAACCAAGCTAATTTTTCCTTATCAATATGGCAGTATTATTTCAATTTTGTTTGGCTGCTTGCACCTATTTACAAGTATGTTGTTAGTCCAGTTGTTCCTTTTGAGTAATCAGCCTTTCTTCTCTTTTTGCTTTTAACATGTTTCTGTCTGTATTTGGGTGTTCTTCAGTTTCACTGTGATGTGGCTAGGTAGAGAAGAGGTTACTTCTTAACTGGGCTGGTTGGTAGAGTGTTTTAGTTCCCCTTTCATTAGAGTTGCAGCCCTCTAGAGGTCTCAGTTTTATGCAAGGGTCTTAGTCCTAATATCACAAGGCCTCATCTCCTGGTCTTGCATGGGTAAAAACCCAGGTCCCACTCCCTTCTTGTCTAATAACCACCCCAGGGACACCACCATACAGGCTCTCGGCTCCCCCTTGGCTTAAGTTACTTGAGGATCTCTCATTCTTTCTTACAACTCAGCCATGCATTAAAAAACAAATTTGCTATATTTCATCTAGCATTTTAAGAGGTTGTTAGCTAAAGGGTTTTCTCTCTGGCCTTTTGGCCTTTTGCACCATTTTTCTAGAAGTCTGGTCGTGCTTTTTATTGATTTATTCCCACATGACAGAGCTTTGTTGAATGAGATTACCACAACAGTCCCCCTATGTTGAGGTAACATCCTTTGGGTTCTAGCTGCAGGCTTCAGATCCCTCACCTTTTATTCATGTTTTATCTTGAGTTTCTGCTTACAGTTCAATTTCTAGCCCCATTGAACATAGTAGTTTAGTTTTTGGATGGTGTAATATAGATTGATTTTACATTGGTGGAGAAAGAGGGAATTATCTCCTGGAGCAGTTCGTAAAGCATACTGTTTTATGGAAAGAAAAAAATCACTTGGAAGTTTTCTTTCCATTATGTACTTTTTCTAGGGGTCAGAGATAAGATGTCCTAAAATACCCATCTTCTTTGACTGAAAAGGAGAATTGAGAATGTTCTTTAAGAATAGCAGTGATTGAATGTAAAGTGTAATTCAAGTCTTTCTTCCTTGTCCTGGGTCATTTGGGTAGGCCAGAGGTTTATTAAGGGTGTTGAGTTTCCTCTGCATGTACTTGCTTGCCACACCAACATGTTCACTCCCAATGCTTGTTTTCACCTTCTCAAATGAATCACCCTGCTTTCTGCTTTATTTCCCTACAGCAGTTGGAATACTCCTCTTCTGATACCATTTTCATCCTGTCATTTCCCTAATGGTAACTTAACAGTAGATCCTGAGTATAGTAAAACTAAGCTCCTTAGCCTGTCACTCAAGACAGAGGTCTCCTAGCCCTCTTTCTCTTCTTATTTTATGTTGTCTTCGCTTGTTGGCTGGTTCCATATCACCTCTCCATTGTGACTTGTTCATTTGTGCCTTCTTGTCTTTCTTTTTTTTGTTTTTGTTTTTGTTTTTGAGGCAGGGCCTCACTCTGTCACGCTGGCTGGAGTGCAGTGGCATGATCATGGCTCACTGTAGCCTTGACCTCCCAGGCTCAAGAGATCCTCTTGCCTCAGCCTCCTGTGTAGCTGGGACTATAGGCACGCACCATCATGCTTGGCTAATTTTATAAATTTTTTCTAGAGATGGAGGTCTCACTGTGTTGCTTAAGCTGGTCTTGAACTCTTGGGCTTAAGAGATCCTCCTGCCTCAGCCTCCCAAAGTGCTGGGGTTACAGGCGTGAATCACCATGACTGGCCCTTCTTGTCTTTCTCTGTGCTTCCTGGCATGTCTTCTTAGGTCATATCCATTATTTCCTTTAAGATTACTTCCAGAAGGTCTTCCTTGGTTTAACTTATGTCACTCATTCTTTCTTTCTCCTGCCACATTAATTGTCCTGTGTTGCCATGCATTTATGTTGCTCTGTTTTTGTTCTGTGGTACTTTCATAAAGTATCTTTTTTTCCCATTAGCTTGTGGACCGTTGCTACAGAGTTGCATGAAGGACTGGCACTTTAACCTTTTTTTACTCCTTCTTCCCACAAAACTAGCACTGTCAAAATAGAACAGTAAATTAGGAAATAAATTCCCTTTTTTCCTTTGAGTAGTTTACAGTCTGACTAGATAAAACTTAGTGAAACAATTAGCACATAAAACTTTCTGTAATTAAATGTTAGACTGTGTGCTGCTGGTTCGAAGTGCCTCAGGTACTGTAGAAATGGTTTTGAATGTGTCTTCTTATGTTGTATGATTATAGAAGCAGAGAAGATTGCACAAGTGGCAAAAATTCGGTTTCAGCAGAAAGTGATGGAAAAAGAAACTGAAAAGCGCATTTCTGAAATCGAAGGTACATTGTGGGGAGAGGATGAAGCTCTGCCTGTCCCGAACTGCCTCCTCTCTGCTCCAGGGTTCAGGCCTTTGATTGTGGTGGGTGAGAAGGCCATAGACAGAATAATCTGGTCTGGAGGAAATAGCTGGCCTGATAGTCTAAATAAATTTTTTTAAATTGCTATCACATTTCCAGCTTTTGGGTTTGTTTGTGACTGTGGGTAGCTCAGCTTTCCTTTTCTTCCTTAAATTGGGGCTTATTAGCTACCACTTTATTTTCAGGCAGACAAGGTATGAAAATTACCCATAATCAATAGTAAAGAATATACAAGATAATAAACCCCATCTCTGGCCGGGCGCCGTGGCTCACGCCTGTAATCCCAGCACTTTGGGAGGCCGAGGCGGGCGGATCACAAGGTCAGGAGATCGAGACCATCCCGGCTAAAACGGTGAAACCCCGTCTCTACTAAAAATACAAAAAATTAGCCGGGCGTGGTGGCGGGCGCCTGTAGTCCCAGCTACTTGGGAGGCTGAGGCAGGAGAATGGCGTGAACCTGGGAGGCGGAGCTTGCAGTGAGCCGAGATCCCGCCACTGCACTCCAGCCTGGGCGACAGAGCGAGACTCCGTCTCAAAAAATAAAAAAAAAATTAAAAATAAATAAACCCCATCACGACCAGTTTCTTTTCCACCTGTCCAAAAAAAAAACAAAATTAATTGGGGGGAAAAACAGTTTTCATGGAGGGCCTCACACTACTTGATTTCACATAGTGAGATGTTGATGTTCTTAGCTCGGTCTTGAAGTCACTTGTTATATATTGCTGCTTCCTGTCTGTCTCTGTTGACTGATTCTGGATGAAATTTGGGGGGGGGCTGGAGACAATGCAGTAAATAGAGCTTTTATGTCTGGACTTATTTTACTTGAAGCTTAGTACCTGGGTGGAATGTAAGGCTCTGGGTGATAGGAGGTGGGAGAGTGGGTGGAGGAGAGAAGGAACAACTTAGAGTAGAAAACAAGTAGGCTCAGATGAGCTGAGAGTTATTTGACAGTGAAAAGAGTATTCCTCGTAGAGAAGTTGCTGTTTGGGGACTGGGACTTGAAAACTGCTAATAGGTTTTTAAAACTTTCAATGTGAAATAAGCAGTCACAATATTAAGCAGTGGGGAAAGGGACTCTTAACTAGCTGAGGGAATGGATTGACACCTTTCCTTTGTTTATTTGCTAGATGCTGCATTCCTGGCCCGAGAGAAAGCGAAAGCAGATGCTGAATATTATGCTGCACACAAATATGCCACCTCAAACAAGGTGACTGGCTCCCTGGCCACTTTCCTAATGATGCATTTCGGGGTTTTGCTTTCTCTTTTCAGGAGCTCTGATATGATAGAAGTGATTTTATCCATTGTCAAGAAAGTGTAGTGACCAAGACATCCTCCAGAATTAGTCAGTTAGCAAGAAATATTTCACATTGATTGGGTAGGGACACAGGCCAAATGCCGTAATTCCATTCATTTGTACTGCTATATAAGGCTGAATAATTAATTAAGTTGAAGGTCTTCTGAAATAAGAGTGACAGAAGAGTAAAGTCTATTTAGAATTGCTTTCCAAATAAGGTAGTTTTTTTGGTAGATACTTAGCTTGATTAGAGCAGTATTTCTCATCAAAGGCATTCCTGGCATTTGGGGTTGAGATACTTTTTCATTGTTGAAGACCATCTCATGCATTGTAGGATATTTTGTATCCCTGGCCCTTGTCTACTGAATGTCAGTAGTGGTCACCAGTTGTTTTAACTGCCACACACACATGCATGTATTTCCATATGCCCCTTGTTGAGTACTCCTTGTTTATTGGATTTAAAAAACTATTCCAGTCATGAGGAATTTCATGTGGGATAACTTGAGAAGGCAGGTTGGGTGATATATAGGTGATAATTTGGTGTAAGGACTGGGGTAAGCTGGCTAGACGGTACAGGGCTAGTGAGCAGGGGCTATTTAAGAGGCAGCTAGAACTCCGATAGTATTCTGAGAAGGGAAGGGTATGTCCAAGATTTATAAGGTTATCGTGGAGCAGATTGGAACAGATAAAGGGTTGAGAAAGAGATTACTAAAGTGGATGATGCAGTTTGAAGGATTAGAGTCAAGTTTTAAGATATAGACAGGGCTTTTAATTTAGAAAGGAACAACATAATCCGTATTTAGAAGAAATGATAAGATGATAGAATGAGAGTTGTCAGTACTTTGAAAACCAATATAAATTTTAAAATGAACATAACATTGAAAGACACAGTTCTATAGACACAGAATGGAATTTGGCCAAAAGAAAGGCATGACAGGAAACTCCAGTTGAGGAAACTAGGAGTCCAAATCTAATGGGAGAAGCTCGTCAGGCACAAGTTTCAAGACCTTGCCATTGAGGTCTACCTTATTCAGAAAGGGGCAGTAGTTTTATGCCATTTTGAAAAATGTGACTCAGATACTAACCTATATTAAAAAGGCTTGAGGAAGAAATGTGGTTGTGCACTATGACCAGATTTGATTGGAGTGTTTCGACAGAGGATATGAATCACCTGGAGAAGATAGAGATCCAAAGAGTGAAAGATGTCAAAGTGTAGAAAATAAATGCTGTAGGACTGTGAAGGACAAGATGGACTTTTGCCTGGGGGACAGGCCAGGACTCAAGATAAGGAGAGGATCACAGAGCAGGGTCTGAGGGGCTTTGAAAGGCATATGTTACAGGGAACAGTGGAAATGGGTTTTAATCAAATCCAGATAGATTCTGGTTAGATACATCTTGGCATCCTGATTTAGACAAAACAAAACAGTGTGACAGAGGGAGATCTGGTGGTCGACGAGTTTTAATCAAACCCAGATAGGTTCTGGTTAGATACATCTTGGCATCCTGATTTAAACAAAACACTGTCACATAGATCTGGTGGTCGACAAACATCTGTCTGTCACAAGCAGCTTAAACATCCAGCTTCTGGGGAAAGGCAGAAGGCCAGATCAGGTGACAACTTGAGATTTTATTCTAGTTCTAGAATTTGTTCAAGAAAAGCAGAATCACAGCTAATGATAAGATAATGAGCACCAGCCCTTCCTTTGAAGTTCTGCTCTCATCCACTGACCTGTGTATCTCTCTCAAGAGAATCAACAGAGAACCAGGCATGATGGCTCATTCCTGTAGCCTCCCTGGAGGCTAAGATGAGAGTATCTCTTGAGCCCAGAAGTTTGAGGCTGCAGCAGCGAGCTATAATTGAACCACTGTATTCCAGCCTGGGCAACAGAGTGAGATCTCATCTCCAGAAAAAAAAAAGGCTGGGTGCAGTGGCTCACATCTTTGATTCCGACACTTTGGGAGGCCAAGGTAGGAGGATTGCTTGAGGCCAGGAGTTTGAGACCAGCCTGGCAACATAGACCCCATCTCTACAAAAATAAAAATAATTTTTTTAGAAAAGAGAATCAACAGAAACTCCAGACCAATTCCAGGTTGAATTCAACTAGATGAAATGAAAGTCACTTTAGAAATATTAGTTATTATCATTAGTTATCACAAATTGTTTTCCAACTCCCCCATCCTTTTATTAAAAAGTGAACAGCTTCTCTTGCATTAAGTCAGGAGCTTAATGAAGGAATTTTAAGTCAGGAACGCAGCTGTTAATGTGATAGCCACTCTCCAAAGTGAGAGAGGGTCATTGGCAGTTATTCAGACTTGACTCATGATACTCAGGAGAGCAATAGGTGAAATGTATATAGGGAGAGAGAAGACTGTTGCACCAGAGTATTCTGATGCCTTTGCTCTTGTTTGCTCCCACACAGCACAAGTTGACCCCGGAATATCTGGAGCTCAAAAAGTACCAGGCCATTGCTTCTAACAGTAAGATCTATTTTGGCAGCAACATCCCTAACATGTTCGTGGACTCCTCATGTGCTTTGAAATATTCAGATATTAGGACTGGAAGAGAAAGCTCACTCCCCTCTAAGGAGGCTCTTGAACCCTCTGGAGAGAACGTCATCCAAAACAAAGAGAGCACAGGTTGATGCAAGAGGTGGAAATGTTCTCCATATCAAGATGTGGCCCAAGGGGTTAAGTGGGAACAATCATTATACGGACTCTTCAGATTTACAGAGAACTTACACTTCATCTGTTCCACCTCTCCTGCGATAGTCCTGGGTGCTCCACTGATTGGAGGATAGAGCCAGCTGTCTGACACACAAATGGTCTTTTCAGCCACAGTCTTATCAAGTATCCTATATGTATTCCTTTCTAAACTGCTACTCATGAATGAGGAAAGTCTGATGCTAAGATACTGCCTGCACTGGAATGTTAAACACTAAATATATAACAAGCTGTGTTTTCCTAAGCTGAGATCTGTTGAATAATGTTTACATTCGTCCCCCGGGGAAATGTATGCTCAGCCACCATTCAAGAGATGACTGAGAAGGAGATGGTAAGTTCAAGAAGACTGATTGCACCTGGGACCCAGGCCCTTTCTTTGGGATCCAGTCCCAGCCTTCATCCATGTGATTAAGATCCAGGCCGCTGAAGTTCCCCAGGAAATGATCTTCCACTTGAGCAACCTTTTACTTGATACGATTTGCACCTTTCTGTTTTCCTGCAGTCAGGGTGGTGGCCTGCAGGGACCTGAGCTTTGCTACCCAACCAGATTCCTCATAGAGATTCCTAATCACTAGTTTCTTGTATTCATAAACTCAGAGATACAGAGGGCTTGGTTTGAAGTTGGGGTGAGATGAAACCTTTGCTCTGAGCCAAAGCTCTGGGGCCTTGCATTCCCTGCATTGGGTTGATGACTGTCAGCATCACTGCCGCAGGCCATGCTTGACTAAGGTACCTGGTTTTAGCCACAGCCACCTCCTTGTATGTTACCTTTCAGCTCTGGCCAAGAGTGGGACAGGGTTTTAACCACAAATAGGAGCAGCATGCAATTCCTAGTGACTTGCTGCACAGTATTGTATCATAATTACAGGAAGTTTTTATTTTTAAAACTGGATCTGGGGTATATTCATTTGCCCCATCACCTCTGTCTAAAGGCCCAAGTCCTAGGGCTGCCATGGTCACAAGCACACTGATGCTCCTTAAGATTGTTTATCTGGAGCCCACATAGTGTGGAACAAAAAGTCACCTAGAAAGCATCCTTGGTCATCATTGTCTCCTTCCCACCTGGCCCAGAGATGCTTAAATCCAAGTTGTTTCTCCAGCTGTCACCTCCCCCAGGAGATCAGGATTCCACTGACGTCCTGGGCAGCCAGTGAATTTAATTTTCCATGAGAAACAACAGAGTTAACCTGTGGCATTAGGAGACCTACTTCATGTGGACCCTTTTTTTCCTTCAGTTTAACTTTTCTGGAGCAGTGTGCTGCGTAGTTCGGCCTGAGTTTGTGCAGCTTGTTAAGACAACTCTTGTGTACGCTATGTTGAAGCTCAACAAAAAAGTCATGGGACCACTTCTAGAAATCTTTCAGCTGTCAGGCCTGTCAGTCTCATGACAGTTTGTTGGTTGTGCCAAACACTTTATTTGGGAAAGGAAAGCCCAGATTTGAATGGGTCTTTCCCCTGGGCCTTATCCTATAGAGGCATTTGTAATATGGAGAAAATAATTTTTCATTTTTGCTCATTTAATTCTATAAATTCTCTTTATAAATGAATTTTGTGTTCTTTAGTTCTCCTTAAAAGAACTTTTGAATTATAAAAATAAAATCTTTACCTGTCGAATTGTTGCTGCAGATGATTGTTGTGGAAAATCTGGATCATTGACCTCTGTGCTTTCATTCCTAGAGATGTTTTATAGTTACATGAGCAAAAGCTGTTGCCCCAAAGTGATGGCCCTGGAGGCGGGGCTGAGGAACAGGGAAATGCCGCTGTGAAGTCTTAAAGCACTTCTGCTTAAACTCCCATGTGTGAGGAGTGTGCCTCCCTGTGCCCTCTCAGCTCTGAGGCTGGCCGTCTTTCGGGGTGTTCCTTTTGGCAAATATACACTGTAATCTTGAGTCTAAATTTATATGTTGAAATGCTACCTTTTTTAAAATAAGAAACTAAATAAAATTATTTTACTATCAGTGATTTGTGTTTTTTTTTCCCACGTCTTCATTTTTCTGTCATCTTAACATGCTCCTAAGGCTGTCTTGCACATTTCAACTAGGGAGCCAGTTTATTTGCGGGTTTAACTTAACTGTAGAGGCTTTTGTTATACTCTTGCCAGAATACTGCCTACCTGGTATAAGAATGTTTAAAACAAGGTGTCCACTCTTTGCTGACTCCTGGAATTTAACAAGGGGTGTTCTTCTAATCCTTTGTGGGACAGGGCCTGTGGCAGAGGGGCAAGGAGGGAGGATGGAGCATCAGGCCACTGGGATCCGTCCCTGAGAGCAAAAGTACTTCTGCACTGAGGAGGGGAGGAGACAGACCAAGCCAGAGAAGGACAATTTGTGTAAATTATAACTGGTAATGTAATGGCACAATATAACCAACTTGACTATTAAGATGTTAGCGGCCCAAGAGCCAGAGTTGGACCTGCTCTTCCCAAACGTTCTGTATTTCCTCCTGGGATCAATTTCCTGGTGATCTTGGGCCAGCAGGGAGTGGTAATGGGAGTTGTGGGGAAAGCAGCTCTTTCCTCCTGTTCTTATGGGATCAACCCCATAGTATCCTAGGTCAGTTGCTGTGGACCTGAGAATAATTTGAACTGACCATCCTATAGGTTATTGGTAGGTATTAAAATGAAGTGATTTCTGCCTCTTCTGTGGCAAAAGAATTTGTGAATTAGAAGCCGTGGCTTCTAATCGCTTTAGGATTAAGTCTCAAATGTGTACACACGAAGTTCGTGATCTGGCCCCTGCTGTCCTCTCCAGCCACCCTTCTCTAAGGTCCCTGAATGCACCTTCTGTCTGTCCCTTCTCATACGTTGTTCCATCTGCCTGGTTCACTTTCCTTCCCTCGTAGTGCTGACTTTCCTCAGCCAACTCCTGAGTCTTCATCACTTCTTCAGATGTAAAAGCTTCAGTTCACTTTGAACTGCTTGGCCTGGGTTAGCATCCTGTATTTCCCCCCCGTCACACATCATGCACACTTCATGTCTCATTATGTGCTCAATGTCTGTTTTCACAAATGCTAATCTCTCTGAGGGCGGGGGCGGGGGCTGTGGCTGTGCTGTTCCCTGGGGATTGTTTCTGTTGCTAATGCCTAAGATGGCATCTGGCCCATATGAGATGGCTTTGTTGCATGAAAGAACAAAAAGTTGAATATGACATGCAGGTAAATCAGGCAAGTGAGTCATGGAAAAAACTTAGAAGTGAGCCTACAGTGTCCATGTCAGGACTTTATGTGTAACCATGGGAAGTTACCTAACATCTCTGAACCTGATTACTCATCCTTGCAGGGTGACTCTTCAGTGGATTCAGGAGGATATGTTGTTGCATCTAGTGTAGAGATTCGCACGTGGTAATTGCTGGGATGCATTAGTTCACCTTGTCTACAGGAGTCAGTTGTCTACAGGAGTCAATATATGTGTCTGTCTCTGAGTAGCTATAAGTTCCCATAGTGGAGAGAGTGAGCACAGTGCCTGCTACCTGCAATTGCATAATAGAACACGTAGATTAATGTCTTCACCAGCTATGAGCTAAGCTAGCTGGATGTTAAACCCCAACCACAGCCCTCCAGGAGCATCCCAACAAGCTGGGCCAGCTTCTCATCTTTCTCCTGGTCTCTGCCCTGGTATGAGCACTTAAAATGAATTTACTGGGCCGGGTGCAGTGGTTCATGCCTGTAATCCCAGCACTTTGGGAGGCTGAGGCGGTCAGATCATGAGGTCAGGAGCTCAAGACCAGCCTGATCAACATGGTGAAACCTCATCTCTACTAAAAATACAAAAATTAGCTGGGTGTGGTGGCACGTGCCTATAATCCCCAGCTACTCAGGAGGCTGAGGCAGGAGAATCACTTGAACCTGGGAGGTGGAGGTTGTAGTGAGCTGAGATCGAGCCACTGCACTCCAGGCTGGGCGACAGAGCAAGACTCTGTCTCAAAACAAACAAACAAAAAAAAACAAAAAATTTACTGTTAATTCATTGCTCACTCCTAGTGTCTATTTTGACATAGACTGTAATGCAGAATGACGTTTTACTTGTTTCCCTTACCATATTTCTTCTGAATTAGTACCTGTCTTTCCAATTTTTCTTATTTCTTTCAATCAATTTTTCTACTTTTTTTTTTTTTAATTTTAAAAAATGTCTTCTTCCAGTGGGGCTCGGTGGCTCACACCTGTAATCCCAGCATTTTGGAAGGCTAAGGCGGGCAGATCAACTGAGGTCAGGAGTTTGAGACCAGCCTGGCTAACATGGTGAAACTCTGTTTCTACTAAAAATACACACAAAAAATAGTCTCCTTTCTTTCTTCCTATAAATATTTATTGAGTATCTACTGTAGGCTAGTTGCTGAGGCAACAAAAAGCCATATAGCCTTGTGTGTGTGTGTAGGATGGGGCAATACAGCAAGTAAGTAGGCAAGTGTGATAGTGTGGTAAGTAAGCAGGGTGTTCACTGGGTGCTGTGGGGCACCAGTAAAGATCAGCCCAGCCTTTTGGTTTCTAGGAAGCAATGTCTGATCTGAGCCAAATTTTTAAGGATGGACAGGAGGCAGACAGCCAGCTGAAGAGAGCAGTGGTGATGGTGGAGTGTGTTCCAGGCAGTGGGAGAAGCACTTGCTATTGCATTTCAAAATGCAGTGCCAGGAGGCATGAGAGGCTGTCCACTGCAAACCTTATGAGGCTCTACTATTACTTCATTTCATAGCTGAGATCTAGAGAGATTACATTACTCAAGATCCCATGAATATGAGTGGCAAAGTAAGGATTTGAACCTGTCATATTCCAGATCCAAGTTTACCACAGCCCTTTATATTTGCCTTTGAAGCCATTAGGTTTAGGGTGATGAAAGCTCTAAATTGAGGGGAGATTTTAGAGGATGTTTATAGAGATTTGTAAGCCCTGCAGTCGAGGTCAGGAAAAGGGATAATGAGATGGTTCATGTGTGAAGTGGTGACTTATGGGTGACTTCTCTGCCCTCTGCAGGACTTGGCAGAGGTGCTCTTAGTAAGCTGAGCGGTATGACAGCTGATTCCAGAAAGATCAGCCCTTTGGAGCCTGGGGGAGCAGCTCCCCTTATTTGGGTTACAAAGCAAGTGGAGGTGAACAGTGCAGGGCTGATGGCACAACACCCAGATCCTGTTTGCAGATGTTAATCACTCATTCTCCTGGTTGCTGGGAGTGTTCATGGTGACAGCTTTTAGCAGAGTCGCTCTGCAGAAATTTTCCTCGGCTAAAGACCCCTGCCCCGGGCCAAGATCACATCCCCTTCCTGGGGACAGCACATTCCATAAGTGGTTGATGCAGGGGTAGAAAGGCAATTTGTTCAAAACAAAATTGCATTGGTTTTCTCCATATGCAAGTCTGTCAGGGTGTGCATCCTAATAGGCACAATAACTGTAACTGGATTTCAGACACCTAAGGCAGGTTCTGACAAACTGGGTGTGTCTGATGCCTCTGGCGCCCTATCGCAATTCCACTCCACCCCACCTCTAACTCCAGCTGTGGCCATGGTAGACAGTTCCATGAGGCATCAATTCACTTTCCTCTGACTGCATCTCACCTCACACATGAGCTGCACTTACTGCTTTTCACCCTAGGGATCCTCCAACGCTATGGAGGCTGCAGTCAGTCCAAACATATGCTCAACTCGAGCACAAGAATTAATAGCCTCTGGGACAACCCCCAACTGGTAGGAGACAGGACCACAAATGGTTAGAGAGGAGGTGACCCAAAAAAACCTTTTCAATGGAGACAGCAACCCTCCTGACACAAGAGAAACTGTGAAAATCACATTAAATACAATTCGACAGATGTTTGTTGAGTACCTGATATGTGCCAGGAAACCTAAAATGTATAAAGTAATGGGCCAGTAATGAACAACAGTGAGTCAGACAGACATAGTCTCTGCTCTCTTAGAATCAACAGTCTTGGGCTGGGCGTGGTGGCTCACGCCTGTAATCCCAGCACTTTCGGAGGCAGAGGCAGGCGGATCACAAGGTCAGGAGTTCGAGACCAGCCTGGCCAATATGGTGAAACCCCATCTCTACTAAAAATACAAAAATTAGCCGGGTGTGGTGGCATGTGCCTGTAGTCCCAGCTACTTGGTAGGCTGAGGCAGGAGAATCACTTGAAGCCAGGAGGCAGAGGTTGCAGTGAGCTGAGATCACGCCACTGCACTCCAGCCTGGGGGACAGAGTGAGACTCCATCTCAAAAAAAAAAAGAACAGTCTGGTGGGAAAGTAGACCGTAACCAAAGCACTTGAGAGACTTATCAAAGTGGGAGGAATGCAGTGCTAGGAGGGTCTCAAAAAAGAGGGAGAAGATAAAGAATGAAAAAGAGCATCCGCCAGTTAAAGATCGGGGAATAACAACTCAATAAAAAGACAACCCAATTTTAAAATGGGCAAAGGATCTCAACAGACATTTCTTCAGACAAGGTATACAAATGGCCAATAAAAACATGAAAAAGGGCCGGGCGCAGTGGCTCAAGCCTGTAATCCCAGCACTTTGGGAGGCCGAGGCTGGCGGATCACGAGGTCAGAAGATCGAGGCCATCCTGGCTAACACGGTGAAACCCCGTCTCTACTAAAAATACAAAAAATTAGCCCGGCGTGGTGGCGGGCACCTGTAGTCCCAGCTACTTGGGAGGCTGAGGCAGGAGAATGGCGTGAACCCAGGAGGCGGAGCTTGCAGTGAGCCGAGATCGCGCCACCGCACTCCAGCCTGGGCGACAGAGCAAGACTCCGTCTCAAAAAAAAAAAAAAAAATGAGAAAGATGGTCGACATCTTTAGTCATTAGAGGAATGCAACAAGATAGCCACTTCACACCCACTAGGATGGCTATAATAAGAAAGGCAGTAACTAGTGTGGGCAAGGAAGTGAAGCAATTGGAATCTGCATAATTTGCTGGTAGGAATGTAAAATGAGGGCACTGCCTTAGAAAACATTTTACAGTTTCTCAAAATGTTAAACAGAGTTAACATACGATCCAGCAATCTCACTTCTGGGTATCTACCCAAAAGAATGGGAACATGTCCACACGAAGACTTGCGCTCTATAGCAGCATTATGCATAGTAGCCAGAAGGTGGACACAACCCCAGAGTGTCCATCACCTGATGAATGGATAAATCAGATGTGGTCTATCCATGCAATGGAATATTCTATAAAAAAGGAATGAAGTACTGATGCATGCTACAACACGAATAAGCCTTGAAAACATTAGGCTAAGAGGAAGAAGCCAGGTTCTAGTTACATTAAATGTTCATCATAGACACATCCCTATGGACGAAAAGACTGGTGGTTGCCTGAGGCTGGGAGGAGAGGGAATTGAGTAGCTGCTAATGGGCACGGCGTTTCTTCTTGGGGTAATGAAGAGATTTTAAAATTTGATTTTGGTGGTAGTTGCATAATTCTGCATATACTAAAAACTATTGAGGCTGGGCACGGTGGCTCACGCCTGTTATCCCAGCACTTTGGGAGGCCGAGGTGGGCAGATCATTTGAGGTCAGGAGTTTGAGACTAGCCCAGCCAACATGGTGAAATCCTGTCTCTACTAAAAATACAAAAAAAAGTAGCTGGGCCTGGTGGCCTCCGCCTGTAATCCCAGCTACTGGAGGAGGCTGAGGCAGGAGAATCACTTGAACCCAGGAGACGGAGGTTGCAGTGAGCCAAGATCGTGCCACTGCACTCCAGCCTGGGTGAGAGAGCAAGACTCCATCTCAAAAAATAAAAATTTAAAAAATAAAAAATAAAAACTACTGAACTGTATACTTTAAATTATAAATTACATGGCATATGAATTATATCTCAAGCTGTTTTTTTTTAAAGGATTGAGTAATAGTGTGAAGACCTCAGTTCAAGAACCTTCCAGAAATGGTAAAAAAATATTCAATATAGGTGCAACATTATTAGTGAGAATGAGAGCACCAAAACAGGAGGCTGAAGAGGTGGGTGTGAGAAGAGGGGAAGGGCAAGGTAGAGCATGGTGGGCCTTCTAAGTCTTATTACCCATTGGTGGCTTTTCCCAAAGGTTGGAAACAAACCTTTCAAAGAAAGCTTTTTGCGACAAGATGGCGGCAGCTGCCCAGGGCAGGAGAAGTGGTGGTGGCGGAGGCAGTAGTGGGGCCAGCGGTGGTCTCAGCTGCGCGACAGGCAGTAGCCTCAGTGGCTTGTTGGCTAAGTGGAAGACGGATGAGAAGCATGGAAAAACTGACAAGTGGGATGGATCCGCTATGAAAAACTCTGGATGATTCTGCCAGAAAGGTACTTCTGGAAAAATACCCGTAGGGGGAGAATTTTGGTCTCATTGACATTTGCCTCACTATCTGATTGCACTCCTGTTTCCTTACCATAGTAGCTTTGATTTGGGATTCTGTGCACCCCTTTGCCGAGTCCAAGCCCGTTTTGGCCATGTACATCCTATCCTATTTTGTGATGATGGGGATTCTGACCATTTATTTATTTTTTTATGTTTTGAGTCAGAGTCTCGCTGTACCACCCAGGCTGGAGTACAGTGCCACAATCTTGGCTCACTGCAACCTGTGTCTCCTGGGTTCAAGTGATTCTTGTGCCTCAGTCTCCCAAGTAGCTGGGATTATAGGCACATGTCACCAAGCCTGGCTGATTTTTGTGTTTTTAGTAGAGACGGGGTTTTGCCATGTTGGCCAGGCTGGTCTCGAACTCCTGGCCTCAAGTGATCTGCCCGCCTTGGCCTCCCAAAGTGCTGGGATTACAGGCGTGAGCCAGGTGCCCAGTCATGACCATTTATATAGCTCACATAAGAAGAGCGTCTTTCTTGTGGCCCACAGGAAGGATCCTGCAGGAGTGGATCCTGATATTTGGCAGCTGGCCTTCATCAATGGGAGAAGAAGGCAGCTGCGGGAAGCCAAGTTCACCAAGTTCATTGCTAAGTTTTTTGACCACGGTGGGACACTGGTCAGGGATGCATAAGAGCCTAAAATATCCAGGCTCCATGACAGTCTCACCACAGAAAGAAAATAAAATAGCCAGTTCTCACAGCAGCCCTCTTTCTGCTGGATCATGCTGAAAATATAGAAAATTTTAAATGCGTAAAGTAAGAAATGTTTAAAATGTCCCTGTTTTGTCCTGAAATTTTATTCTGGATAAATAGGATCTTCTAGCAAGATATGAGAAGGTGTAGCCCTGATGTCTGGCTGTAACCTCCTTGGTCTGCTGATTACATTGTTTTGATTTGCTTTTCTGGAAAAGCACTTTTGCTAAAAGCGGTACAGATTTTTTCTTTTGAACCTAGCAGTACTTTATATAGTATAGCTTTGTGCCACGCAGTGCTTGAAGACTCAATTTAAAAATATTATTAGGCCAGGCGTGGTGGCTCATGCCTGTAATCCCAGCACTTTGGGAGGCCGAGGTGGGCAGATCATGAGGTCAGGAGTTCGAGACCAGCCTGGCCAACATGGTGAAACCCCGTCTCTACTAAAAATACAAAAATTAGCCGGGTGTGGTGGCAGGTGCCTGTAATCCAAGCTACTTGGGAGGCTGAGGCAGGAGAATCGCTTGAACCCGGGAGGCAGAGGTTTCACAGCCGAGATCACACCACTGCACTCCAGCCTGGGTGACAGAGCGAGACTCCATCTCAAAAAAATAAAAAAAGAAAAAATATATATATGTATATATATGTGTGTGTGTGTGTATGTGTGTGTATATATATATACGCACATATATATAATTAACCTGTTGCTGACTCTTTTTAATTCCTATTTCAACATGTGTTTCCCTGAAGAATTCAGGATACAACTTCTTGTGTATGACAGGTTTCCTTCACACATTGTTTTTGTGAGTGTGTACATAGCTGATGGGGAGAATTTTAAAAATACATCGCTTTAGAAAATTGGTTTAAAACAGACCTTCTGTCTGTTACATTTTGTGCTCTTAATCAATTGAAGAAGCCAATGGCATTTTTAGTTTTATATTGTGTTTTCCACTAGTATATCCCTGTTGATTCATTGCTACTTTTTATTAACTGACATTTTCTAAAATGTTTTTCAATAAAAGGAAAGAAGATGTGGGGGAGAAAAAAAAACCTTTCAAGAGTTTTAAGCAGAAGACGGACATGATTCTGTCATTGTCAAAGTACCCTTTACCCAACGTGTTTACCAGTTCCCTCTATTTATTCACCTGCTTTCCACATCCAAATCAACATTGAAGTTCTAACTTTTCACAGTATTTCAAAGTCAATAATTTACTTCCCTGAAATGTCTGCAAGTGTATACTCGCAGAAACAGCAAAAACACCAGTGGATGCTGGTTTCACAGACGGTACCAAAAGGAAGACAAATATATGTGAGGTCCCCCAGCTGATTCTCTCTACTTTGGTTTTTCTCCATGCACAAGCCCAACCTCAGCCCTGGCCCCATCCTCATGGGCCCTAAAACCCTTTACATAAAAATCCTCCTGGTCCTTGTACTAGTGGATACGTGAATGCAGGCTAATCAGCAAGTTTGCTTAATGGAAGTAAATAGTCTGCTGTGGGAAATACAGAGGGATGGCTCTGAAATAAGAGAAAAATATCAGAGTTGAAACCATTTAAGAATTTTAGTGCTGCAGAGATTTTCCATGTTTGCTACAATAAGTAGTAGGAAAACCATAGTGGATTTTCTTTTTAGATTTTTTAAAAGATGTATTACAGTAACAATTTAATTCCCTATGAAATAAGGTATAGACCATGAGACATTAATAGGAAGATTTATTTCAAAGAATAAATCTCAGGATCTTGGAGAATTTGCTATTATTAAAAATCAAAGAATAAATCAATAACAGCATTATTTTAAATGCAAATAAAAATGAGTTAACATTTTTCAACTACCAAGTTAGTAGAGGTTTTCTTTGTCTTTATTGTGGCAAAATGTAAACAACAAAAAATTTACCATTTCAACCATGTTTAAATTGTACAAGTTAGTGGCAATAAATACCATCACTTTTATCAATTTTCAGAATTTTTTCAACATCCCAAACAGAAACTCTTGCGACTATTAAACAATAGCTCCCTGCCTTCCTCCTCCTCCCAGCCCCTAGTAACCTACCTCTATTCTACTTTCTGTCTCTGTGAATTTGCCTATTGAAGATACCTCATATAAGCAGAATCATACAATATTTGTCCTTTTTTGTCTGGCATATTTCACTTAGAATAGTGTTTTCAAGGTTCATCCATGGATAGCATGTATTAGAATATCATCCCTCCTTAAGGGTGAATAATATTCCATCGTACATGTAACTACATTGTATTTATCCATTCATCTGTGGATGGACACGTGGACTTTTTTTTCGAATACCTCAATTCACTGTCAAGAACACAGGAGACTTCTAACTGATGAGAGAAATGAGAAAAATGATGTTTGAGGAGGATGACTTTGACAGCTGTGTTTTTCCAAATCAGATCTCAGAATATATGACCTGTTTTTTATAATTTGTGAAGTTAATTATTTGAACAGTTTCAGAAAGCTATGAAAAATAAAATGAAGTTTTATATGTAATGAATCATCAATGCTGAAAAAGAAAAAGTACATATAATGGGGATGCTTAGAAATTCAGAGAAAAGTTGCAGATTTTCTGAATAAGAGGTAGGGAAGGATGAACCCTTCTTAATCTCAAGCTTCAGCAAAGTCAACAAACTCAAAACCTCTTTCCATTTTTTTTCCAAGTCCAAGAACCCAGAGCAGCCTTTGTCCAGCAGGGACAGACTGGTTCCAGATGAATGTCCTGTGCTGCTGCTTCTGTCCTAGAGAATATGTTTTTGCAATGAATTTAGGGAGATAATATCTTTCCCCCAAGCAGCATTTCCAAAGGTACGAATATCAGCCAGGGTAGCCAGCTGGGCTGCTCCTCTGCAAGCTTTTGCTTTCTGACTGGTGACCCAGATGGTTGCTAACACCAGGGGTGAAATGGGGTTGCTGGCACCCACTGCTCGGCTCTTGCGATGTGCGTCACTTGCCTGATTTTCTTTTTGGTGTGGAAGAAAAGTCCCAGCCCAACTCCCCTTCCCACGATTGGGAATAGGCTGCAACGAAACCCCAAGGATGCCCTTGCATCTCTCTCCAAGATAAGGGGCTTTGATTCCAAGGCTGGTCATCTCTAGGCCAGGTTCTGCGTCTCAGACCACTGCAGGCCAGCAGTCTTACCTCAGCCTTTCTTAGTTCTTCACATCACGGAGCTACTTTTGGTTGTTTATTACTGTCATACAAGACAGATATCCTCTGGCTTTAGGACTGGAGCACTGCAGAGCAGGTAGTGAGGGTGTTGACCTAACTTGAGTTATTGGCTGAATTCTAGTGAATGAGAAAATCCTGGGGACAGAACATATTTTAATTGGAAAGCTTCCAATGCCCCCATCATATAACACCAAAAAGCAAGCCGTAGAAATGTAAAAATGTAATAAATTGGATCACCTGAGGTCAGGAGTTCGAGACCAGCCTGGCCAGCACGGCAAGACCCAGGCTCTACTAAAAATACAAAAATTAGCCTGGTGTGGTGGCACGTGCCTATAGTCCCAGCTACTCAGGAGGCTGAGGCAGGAGAATTGCTTGAACCTGGGAGGTGGAGGTTGTAGTGAGTCGAGATTGCACCACTGTACTCCAGCCTGGGTGACAGAGCAAGACTCTGCTTAAAAAAAAAAAAAAGTAATAAATGCCCTTGGATATTATTACTATTATTTTACACTAAGTGATCCATGGGAGGCTTTGTGATCCTCCTTCTAGAGAGTGATCTCCACTCCTCTCCGCAACACCCAGCTCTAATGCAGCCCAGCTTGGCTACCCTGGCTGATATTCGTACCTTTGGAAATGCTGGTTTGGGTGAAAGACGTCGTCTCCATAAATTCATTGCAAAAACATATTCTCTAGGACAGAAGAAGCAGTACAGGACATTTATCTGATGGTAAGCCTTAGCGCTAATTTCTTAGATAAACATTCCATGAGCCATATTTTTTGACAGGGTGCCCTTTAGAGTCTGGGAGCATTGCCATGAACAAAAGAGGAGGAAAAAACCCTGCCCTTGTATAACTTAAACAATTCTAATAAGGAGAGTGAGACAAAACCAAAACAAGTCAACACATGTTAAGTATTCCTTATCAAAATGTTTGGGACCGGAAGTGTTTCAGATTTCAGATTTTTTCAGATTTTGGAATATATATATATATATATATTCCAAAATATATATATAGTGTGTGTGTATGTATGTGTGTGTGTGTGTGTGTATATATATATGTATATATAGTGTGTGTGTGTATATATATGTATATATAGTGTGTGTGTGTGTGTGTATGTATATATATATGTATATATAGTGTGTGTGTGTGTGTGTGTGTCGGAGTCTCACTGTCACCCAGGCTGGAGTGCAGTGATGTAATCTTGGCTCACTGCAACCTCCGCCTCCTGGGTTGAAGAGATTCTCCTGCCTCAGCCTCCCGAGTAGCTGGGATTACAGAGGTGCACCACCACATCCGGCTAATTTTTGTATTTTTAGTAGAGACGGGGTTTCGCCATGTTGCCCAGGCTGGTGTTGAACTCCTGACCTCAGGTGATCCACCTGCCTCAGCCTCCCAAAGTGCTGGGTTTACAGGTGTGAGCCACCGCACCCGGCCATGATTTTGGAATATTTGCATATACATAATGAGATATCTTGGAGATGGGCCCCAGGTCTAAACATGAAATTAATCTATGTTTCATATGCATCTTAATGGGCCTGAAGGTAAACTTTATATACTGTTTTTAATAATTTTGTGCATAAAACAAAGTTTTGATTGCGTTTTGACTGCAACCCATTACATGAGGTAAAGTGTGGAAATTTCCACTTGTGGTGTCATGTAGGCATGCAAAAAGTTTTGAATTTCGGAGCTTTTCAGATTTCAGATTTTTGGACTAGGGATACTCAACCTGTAATACTGTAATATACATATATATGTTATATATATATATCATCATAGTATTATAAATGCTGTAGAAAAAATAATGCAGAGAAGGGGAACGGAGGTAATTTCTTTAAAAATAGATTTTACTTTTTAGAACAGTTTTAGGTTCACAGCCAAACTGAGTGGAAAATACAGAGAGTCCTCATATACCTCCTGCCCCAACACATGTACAATGTCCCCCACGACTGACCTCTCACACCAGAGGGTCCATTTGTTACAATTGATGAACTTGCATTGACGTGTCATCGTCATTCAGAGACAATAGTTTACTTAGGTTCTCTTATAATGTTGTACATTCTGTGGGTTTGGACAAATGTGTATGACCAGGTACCCACCATTATAGTGTCAAACAGAATAGTTTCCTGCCTTGAAAATCGCCTATGCTGTGCCTGTTTATCCCTCCCTCCCGCCAAGCCCTGGCAAACACCGATCTTTTTTGCTGTCTCCATACTCTGGCCTTTTCCAAACTGTCATATAGTTGGAAGCATACCATCTATGACCCTTTCAGATTGGCTTCTTTCACCTAATAATATGCATTTAAGTTTCCTCCACGTCTTTTCTTGATTTGATAGCACATTTCTTTTTAGCACTGAATAATATTCCATTATCTAGATGTACCATAGTTTAGTTATTCACGTACTTACCGAAGAACGTCTTAGTTGCTTCAGTTGTAAAAATGCTGCTACAAACATCCACGTGCAGGTTCTTGTGCAGACGTAAGTTTACAGCTCTTTTGGGTAAATACCAAGGAGTGTGATTGCAGATCACATGGTGAGAGTATGCTTACTTTGTAAGAAACACCAAACTGGGCAAGGTGTGGTCAATTATACCTGTAATCCCAACACTTTGGGAGGCCAAGGTGGGAGGATGGCTTGAGGCCATAGGTTCAAGAAAAGCCTGGGCAATATAGTAAAACCCCATCACTACAAAAAAATCTAAAAATTAGCCAGGTGTGGTCCTAGCTACTTGGGAGGCTGAGGCAGGAGGATCACTTGCGCCCAGGAGTTAGAAGCTGCAGTGAGCTATGATCAAGTCACTGCACTTCAACACAGGCAACAGAGCAAGACCTTGTCTTAAAAACAAACAAACAAAAAAACTGCCAAACTGTCTTCCAAAATGGCAGTTTCATTTTTTGTATTCCTTCCTAGCAATGAAGGAAAGTTCCTGTTGCCCCACATCCTCATCACCATTTGGAGTTGTCCATGTTTTGGATTTTGGCCATTCTGATAGATGTGTAGTGGTATCTCATTGCTGTTTTAATTTGCAATTTCCTAATGACATATGATGTAGAGCATATTTTCATATGCTCATTTGCCATCTGTCTTATTCTGTTTTCTGCTGCAGTAATAGAATACCACAGACTGGGTAATTTAGAAAGAAATGAAGCGTTTTTTTGGCTCATGGCTCTGGAGGCTGGGAAATCCAAGATTGAGGGGCCACATCTGATGAGGGCCTCTTGCTGTATCATAACACACAGCCAGAAAGCACGCACGAGAGACACAGCAAAAGAAGACCGAACTTCACCCTTTTATCAGGAGCACAGTCCTGTGATAACTAACCCAAGCCCACAATAACACTAATTCTTTCAGGAGGGCAATGCCTTCATGACCTAATCACAAGTCTTAAAGGTCCTGTCTCAGCACTGTTACCATGGCAATGAAATTTCAGCCTGATTTTTGGAGGGGACATTCAAGCTATAGTACCATCTATAGATCTTTTGTTGGTGACATGTCTCTTCAGATCTTTTGCCCATTTTTATGTTTTATTTTTGAAACAGAGACTCGCTCTGTCACCTGGGCTGGAGGGCATGTTTCCATAACATTATATAACCTCCTGTAACTAATTTCAAGTGGTTGCTTTGAATTTAATTGCATGAATGTAAAATAAGTTTCAAAACCAACCCCTAGTTGTTGGATACTTTAGTACCACATTTTCCTCCTTGAACACCACCACCATAAATATATGTTGGTTTTTTTCTTTTTTTTTTTTAGAGATGAGATCTCACCATGTTACCCAGGCTGGTCTTGAACTCCTGGGCTCAAGCTATCCTCCCACCTTGGCCTCTCAAAGTGCTGGGTTTACAGGCGTGAGCCACTGTGCCTGGCCAATATATGGATATCATCCTTGAAATAGTTTGTACCTGCATAGTGAGCTCTCCCTGAACCCCTTATCCTGGCTGCTTCCTCCTCACCTTTAGTTTTAACTTAAATACTACCTCCCCATAAATGCCTTCTCTTACTTATTTTATTAAGTTCTCCCTTGGTCATCCAACACAGTATACTCTTTATCACTTTATAGAATTATGCTCAATTTGTATTGCAAATGTAATTTGTTTGGCTGTTTATTTCCTGTCATTTTCACCAGACTTTCCATGAGGAATCCTGGGCTGTGCACACTGTCTGACATAGCATAGATGCTTAGTAAATATTTGCTGAGTGATTGCATATATAAATGAAGGAAAGAATGAATGCAAGTCAATGCCTCAGGTTGAATTCCTAAAGTGGAACTGATGGAGCAAAGGCTAAGCCACATGTAAAATTATTACTTAATTTCTCCCCAAACCTTCAACAGATTTCACACTAGCACTTACACAGGTGCTTGCATCTCTTTCCAGTTGGCCAAAGAGTACAGCTCTGTTTACACCCTGTACTTTGGATCCTGGCCCACCATGGTCTTCCATGGATATAAAGCAGTGAAGGAAGCTCTGATTGATCAGGGTGATAAATCCCTTGGCAGAGGACATATTCCAATTATTGATGATGCCCAGAAAAGATATGGTATGTTTCAAATCAAAATACAGGTTAATTTTCTTTGGCACCTGAATATTTAGCAAAAAATGTTGATTAACTAATTCAACGGTGTCTGTTCTGCACTAAGCAACTGACTAGATGCTACCACACTGCAATGCAATTTTGATACTAACTACCCAGAGTTAGCATAGACTCCATAGATCAAGGACACAGTCCCCAACAAGACTACCCTCACCTCAGATGCCAGCTGCAAATTCAAGGGTCCCCAGGTCACCCATATTTCTTATCAACTGACTAAAAAAAAATTCAGAGTTTCCCATGACCCTTTCAGATATGATAATTTGCTAGAACAACTCACAGAACTCAGGAAGTTGCTATACTTACAGTTTTATTCTATAAAGGATACAAATAGAGAATCCCATAAGGTGAGGTCTGGGAGGCTCTCAAACATAATGTGTTACCCCCCTGGCACACCAATGTGTTCAGTAGCCAGGAAGCTCACCTGAGCCTCAGTGTCCAGAGTTTTTAGTAGGGTCTCATTACATGGGCATGATTGATCGAATCATTGGCCGTGTCATTGAACTCATGAACTCAGTCTCCAGCCTCCTCTCCTCCATGGAGGTTGAGAGTTCAGGCTGATATCACTTGGCTCAAAGCCCCAACCCTCTAAACATATGGCTGGTCTTTCTGGCATGGCTGGCCCCCATCTTAAAACTATCCTAGAGCCCACCTGAATCATCTCATTGGCACATACTCAGGTGTGATCCCAGGGATCCGCTATGTTCCAAAGACACTTTTTTTTTTTTGAGATGGAGTCTCGCTCACTGCAACCTCCACCTCCCAGGTTCAAGTGATTCTCCTGCCTCAGCCTCCCAAGTAGCTGGGATTACAGGCATCTGCCACCATGCCCAGCAAATTTTGTATTTTTAGTAGAGACAGGGTTTCACCATGTTGGCCAGGCTGGTCTCAAACTCCGGGCCTGAAGTGATCCACCTGCCTTGGCCTCTCACAGTGCTTGGATTACAGGTGTGAGCCACTGCGCCCGGGCTACCAATGGCACTTCTAACACTCAGGAAATTCCAATGGTTTAGAAGCTCCCACAAACTATGAACAAAACATATATAATTGTTTGTTTGTTTGTTTGTTTGTTTAATTATATGACAACAGATGCTCTGGTAGCTCCACTGAGATGAACATCAGAAACAGACCCCAAGTGTCCTGCAGGTTCATGCTGTGAATCTAATTGAGATAAAAACAATCTGAGAACCTTTGAAATAAAGAGTTGTTACCCAGAGGTCTCAGGGTTGAGGGAGCTGGAGCAGTCATGCTTGGGGTGTAGTTTCCCATGACACACAGGATGCAGTGGCACTGTGGCCACTGCTGTGGCCACAACAGCAGACAATGACTAGACATAAAAATCACTGTGCTTTCAATGACAGCCTGGGCACCAGGGGGATGGAGAGGAGGAAGGGTCAAATCAGGGGTGTCACGCACAGGGAGCTACAATGGTACCAGCCATGTTTTAGTTCTTCAGTTGGATAATAGGCTCACAAATAATTCCTTTTGTTATTATGCTTCAAAATTTAGATGTGTTACATATATTCCTTTATATGTATCAAGTAACACGCAATACAAAAAATTTAGGACAGTCTGAAAGTCTCCTCTAAACCACTTAAAATTATAAAATTGCAAGTCCTGGAAAAGTAGAAACTAAATCCTTTCAAAGCATATTTATGAATCATTAGTTAAATACAATGCAGTGTATTTAGTGCTACAAGAGAAGTGAGTTTTGGTCTCTCTCACCTAAGATCAAGGTACATTTGTTTACTAAAGAAGCACCCAATTCTTACCACTGAGTTTATGAAAAAAGAAAAATAAAAAAAGAAGTAACCAAGCTCTCCTTCTACAACCTCCCTTTTTGAAAAACAAGTTGATTATATTGGGTATGCATGACCTTTTACATTAATTTTAAAACTGGAGATGGAGGCCACTGGGCTAGATTGCTCTGAAAAGGGGGAAAATTGTTGGTCTAAAACTCGCAGTTTGGGTAACTCTGAAAAAATTGGTTTCCAAACTTTCCTTAAAATTCTTGTTACCACTCCTTACTAGCCTGTAATGGGAACAGATAATTCAGCTCTTCCTTCCACTAACCTTTCTATTTTAGAAAATAACAGAGAAAAGAGCCATTCATTGATATTTTAGTTTTCCTTCTCTATTAGTTCCCTAGGGCTGCCATAACAAAGTACCAAAAATTTGGTGGCTGAGAACAACAGAACTTAATTGTCTCACAGCTTGGGAGGCTGGAAGTCTGAGATCAAGGTGTCGGCAGGGTTGGTTCCTTCTGAGACCTGTGAGGGAGAATCTGTTCCGTACCTCTGCCTTAGCTGCTGGTGGCTTTCTGGCAATTTTTGGAGTTCCTTGGCTTGTAGGTGCATCACCCTGAGCTCTGCCTTCATGTTAATGTGACATTCTCCCCGTGTGCATGTCTGTCTCTGTGCCCAAATGTCCCCTTTTTATAAGGACGGTCATATTGGCTTAGGGCCCACCTGTGACCTCATTTCAACCTGACCTCTGTAAAGATCCTGTTTCCAAATAAGTTCACATTCACAGATATTGGGGGTTAGGGCGCCAACATTTTTTTGGGGGGGAAACAATTCAATAAGTAATACCTTAGTAAATGGAATAACTGCTAAAATACTAAATAGCTTTCTGAGATCTTTAATTTTTTTTTGTTATTTATTTATTTATTTATTTATTTATTTATTTATTTATTTAAGAGACAGGGTCTTGCTATATTGACCAGGCTGGTTTCACAGTCCTGGGCTCAAGCAATCCTCCTGCCTCAGCCTCCCGAGTAGCTGGGACTAAAGGCAAGTGCCACCACACCTGGCTAATTTTTGTAATTTTTGTAGAAATGGGGTCTTACTATGTTGCCCAGGCTGCTCTTGAACTCCAGAGCTCAAGCAATCCTGCTGCCTTGGCCTCCCAAAGTGCAGGAATTACAGGCATGAGCCACCATGCCTGCCCTGCTTTCTGACATCTTTAAATAGCTATAACATAGTGCTGCATATTCCTGGAATATATGTCTAACTAATCAAGTTGTTGAAACCTTTCCTGGTAACTATTGACTCAATATTTTGCCTCATTTCTTTTTTTTTTTTAAGTTGAGATTGGGTCTCACTATGTTGCCTAGGCTGGTCTTGAAGTCCTGGGCTCAAACAAGCTTCCTACCTTGGCCTCCCAAAGAGCTGGGATTACAGGTGTGAGCCACTATGCCCGACCTCTCATTTCTTAATCTTTACATTTTTATCTCATTGACAGATGGCAACAGATCAAACTCTTACTTTATTTTATTCATCTGAGCCACATACCAATATTAGAAGCTATTGTTCATTCACTGAAATGCAAAGTTTAAAATAACTTAGTGTTCTTAGAGGCATGGACAAACAGCCCCTCATGCCTTACCTGAGGGAGCACAGATACTATAACATTTTTGGAAAGGAATCTAATAGTATCTATTGACGTATAAATTGTAGAGATCTATGGGAGAATCTGGCTTACATAAATAGGAACAACCCACTATGCAATTATGCAACCCATCCACGCACTTCACACTGACACACTAGGGTGTGGAGGGCATTGCTTCCTTGAAAAGCACCAGAATTACAGGGACGCAGGTGTGAGAGAGAGAAGTAAATATACTTAAAAATAGATATATTTACATAAATACATAATATGTTACAGCATATATTTACAATTTATAATATATAAATATTATAATTATATATTATATGTATTATATATTAATAACTATAATAATATAAATATATGATATACAAATATATGTTACATAAATTTTATTTGATTTTTGAGACAGGGTCACCATGGCTGGAGTGTAGTGGCACCATCATGCCTCAGGTGATCCTCCCACCTCAGACTCTCGAGTAGCTGGGACTACAGGCACCACGCCCAGCAAATTTTTGTATTTTTAGTAGAGACGGGGTTTCACCATATTGCCCAGGCTGGTCTCGAACCCCAGGACTCAAATGGTCTGCCTGCCTTGGCCTCCCAAAGTGCTGGGATTACAGGCGTGAGCCACTGCGCCAAGCTAAATAAATGTATTTTAAATGTGTACATATAAATTCACAAGTTTCTCCATAAAGAGTGAGGAGACATGGGAGAGCCTTCCAAGTATCTCTTGTTATGTGACAAACCTCCCCAAACTCTGTGATGTAAAGCAACCAGCATTTTTCATCCTTATAAGTTCTGTGGGTCAGGAATCTGAACGGGGTACAGTGAAAATGGCTTTTCCCTGATCCACTAAGCCTGGGGCCTCGGCAGACATCCAATTTTTTCCACCCTGGACAGCTGCGTGGATTCAAATGGCTGAGGGCTGGAATCCCGCTGAGGCTTCTTCACTTACAAGTCTGGCTTCTGAGCGGGGATGACCCCAAAGCTGAGGTCAGCTGGGAGCATCAACCGGAGCATCTTTATGGCCTGCCCACCTCATGGCTTGGTGCCTGGAACCCGGGAGGGAGCCTCCTGGGGGACATCTAGAGAGCGAGGCAGAGGCTGCGAAGCTTCTGCCTACCAAACCTCAGAATGTATGGCCACAGTCTATTCATTGCAAGCAACTCCCAACAGCCAACCCAAATTCACAGTGAGAGGAGTAAGGCCTCTCCTCTTGATGGGTAGGTGGTGTCTACACCGCAGGAGAGCAGGAGGGACGGGATATCGCTGCCAGGCAGATGAAGGGGCCCTCTGAGCAGCCTGGGAAAGACCAGCCCCAGCGGTGGGAAGGACAGCGGGAGACGGGGAGACTCAGAAGCCAAGGAAGAAGAGTTGTCAGTTGGGTTCATGGACCATAGATGTGGATTTGGCCAAGGAGGTGGTGTTCACATCCTTAGCAGGAGCCATGTCAGTAGAAAGAGGGCAGAGCTGGGCTGCAGTGGGATGAAGAATGAATGGGAAGACTTCTGCTCCCATGCACAAGGTATGGCGGAATGACCTTTTCATTGAAACTACTATTACATTTGGATAAAATATTCTTTCCATGGGCAGAAAACTTTGTTTTGTTTTGTCCTTTGGGATGGGGTCTTGCTCTGCTGCCCCCTGCTGCAGTGGTGCATTCATGGTTCACTGAGGCCCTGACCTCCTGGCCTCAAGCCACGCTCCCAACTCAGCCTCCTGGGTAGCTGGGACTATAAGCATGTGCCACCACACCTGGCTAATTTTTTATTTTTATTTCTAGAGATAGTGTCTCACTATATTGCTGAGGCTGGTCTCAAACTCCTGGCATCAGGCTATCCTCCCACCTCAACCTCACAGAGTGTTGGGATTACAGGCATGAGCCACTGCACCCAGCTCAGGCACAAAACCTTTAATATTTATGAGTGTTACAATAAATATAATTTGAGGACTTCCAGTTTTAGCTTGGAGAAGTAAAAAGCTAGAAAAGCATTGCTCTACCCGTATAAGAAAAAAAAAAAAAAAAACACCTCAACAGTAAATTAACTTTTCTTGAATTCATCAGAGAACTGAGGGTTCAGGGAAAGGTGTTACCCGAAAGCTAGGAAAGACAGGCGACACAGGGCTGGAACACGTGCTGGCCTGGGACAAATAGCACTCTCGCACAGTATAAGGTGATTCAACTAGAAATGTTTCATGAATTGCTAATGGCCAAGTGAGGGCTGGCAAGAATATGTGAAGTCCTAGGCAGGCGAGCAAACCTAAGGAAACAGAAGAGGCTTATCTCCTCTCGCAGCCCTTTCCTCTGGGCCCACTACCAGACTCCCACAGGGACGATCAGGGACAACCTTGAGAGGCTTGCCATGGTGCTTGCTGGGGAAGAAGAGTGGCCACTGCTGGAACTCCCCTGATTCCAGGCGGAGTCGTCTCTCCTACTTGCCCTATGGGGCAAAAAGGCTTAATAAGCTGGACAAAGGGCATCAAAGCTGCAGTCTGGGCTGGGCGTGGTGGCTCATGCCTATAATCCCAGCAGTTTGGGAGGCCGAGGTGGGAGAATAGCTTGAGTCCACGAGTTTGAGACCTGCCTGGGCAACATAATGAGCCCTTGTCTCTACAAAAAAAAAAAAAAATTAGCTGGACGTGGTGGCGAGCGCCTGTAGTCCCAGCTGCTTCGATCCTTTGAGCCCAGGAGAAAGGATCTGCTGAGGCTGCAGCGAGTCTTGATGGCGCCACTGCACTCCAGCCTGGGAGACAGAGCAAGACAATGCCTCACAACAAACAAAAAGAAACAAAAAGCAAAGCACCCTTCACATAGCTCATGATTATAGTCAGTCCCTGGAAAACACACTGTCCCCCTCTCCCTCCATCATATTTGCCTGGCATATACTCCAACCCCGGAAGAATTCAACCACCTGTCTTCTCTGTGTTTGTGCTCAGAAAATGAGCACTTCCAGGGAAATTCTCACAAGAATTAGACCAGCTTCCCTTTACATTTATACCTGCAGACCTCGACTAGTGTCTTGATCGGCTCGGTTAGTTCCTTGATTTTGCTCACTTTTCTACTCTCGGAGACTCCTTATTTCTCCTACTAACCCCCAATTATGCACTTACACTCTCAGAGCCATTGAATCATAACGGATTTAAAAGAAAAATAGGCCGGGTGCGGTGGCGCACACCTGTAATCCCAGCACTTTGGCAGGAAGAGGAGGATGGATCACCTGATATCAGGATTTCGAGACCAGCCTGGCCGACATGGTGAAACCCCGTCTCTACTAAAAATACAAAAATTAGCTGGGTGTGGTGGTGCACGCCTGTAATCCCAGCTACTCGGGAGGCTGAGGCAGGAAAATCGCTTGAACCTGGGAGGCAAAGATTGCAGTGAGCCGAGATCGTGCCACTGCACTCCAACCTGGGCAACAGAGCAAGACTCTGTCTCAAAAAAAAAAAAAAAATAGAGGCATCACCAAGGAACTCTCTCTCCTCTTCAACATTTTATCTATAGGTCTCGCTGCCTCTACACCCATATTCTCCTTTTTTCCTCTGGTTGCAACTGAAAAAGTGTACCTTCTCCTGATTGGGAGAATCTCCACCTGTGCCCTAGGTCCTGCAGCATCTCACCTGCCTGAGAATCTGACCTCTTGGGTAATGCCTTCTCCCTCAGGAATGATCCATTTTTCTCTGTGCTGACTTGAGAACCATTTCTCTCCTGTCTGTCATGGGCCCTATTTATTCAACAGTTTTAGGGTGCTGCAGGCTGGACTTCCCACAGTTCTTTAACAGCTGCCTTTTGGTAGAATCAGCCAAAGGGAGGCAATGGCAAGAGAGTGGGGAGTGGAGGAGAGAGGAGGCCAGGGCTAGCATCTCCCCCTAGGCTGTATGTCCCCTGCAGCTCCAGCTCCTTCAGGACAGACCTGCTTTGGTTCTGGCTCTTGTCAGGTAACCAAGAGCTCCAAGGATGCCAACTCCTCCTTTTGTGCCTCCACTGGGAGGTGGTAGCCACTTTCTGCTGCTAATAATCACCAGGTTGGCTTGCTGCCCTGGTGTGGCCTCTCAGTGTTTCCATCTCCTTTATGCCAATTCCCTGGATTGAGTTTCCTCTGTTTTAAATATTTAGGCCAAGCACAGTGACTCGCTCCTATAATTTCAGAACTTTGAGACGCTGAGATGGGAGGATTGCTTGACTCCAGGAGTTCAAGACCAGCCTGGGTGACATAGCAAGACCTTTTCTCTACAAAACGTTTTAAAAATTAGCTGGGTGTGGTGCCGCACACCTGTATCCCAGCTACTCGGGAGGCTAAGGTGGGAGGATTGCTTGAGCCCAGGAGCTCAAGCCTGCAGTAAGCTAGGGTTATGCCACTGCACTCCAGCCTGAGCGACAGAGTGAGATTATATCTCTTTAAAAAAGGAGGTAGGGCTAGGCACAGTGGCTCACATCTAGAATACCAGCACTTTGGCAGGCTGAGATGGGAGGATCACATGAGGCCAGGAGTTCGAGACCAGCTTGCCCGAGATAGTGAGCCCCCATCTCTAAAAAAAAAAAAAGAGAGAGAGAGAGAGAGAGAGAGAAAAAGTACTCCTGCAATCGCGTCTAACAATTTTCAGGCCAGGAGTGGCGGCTCACGCCTATAATCTCAGCACTTTGGAATTTGGGATCATTTGATCTCAGGAGTTTGAGAAAATAACAATTCTCATTATTATTATTATTATTATTATTATTATTATTATTATTATTATTATGACAGCTAACATTTATGAGTACCTTTTATGTGCCGGATACTCTACTAAGGATTTTGCATGCTTTATCATATTTAGTCAGCACGGCGGTCCCATGAGGAAGATACTATTTTTTGTTTTCATTCTTCATATGAAGTTATTGAGGCAATCGAAGTTAAATAGGCCAGGCTCAGTGGCTCACACCTGTAATCCCAGCACTTTGGGAGCCTGATTGGGTGGATGGCTTGAGCCCAGGAGTTCGAGAGCAGGCTGGTCAACATGGTAAGACCCTGTCTCTACTAAGAACTACAATAAATAAATAAATAAATAAATAAATAAATAAATAAATAACTAGCTGGGCGTGGTGGTATGTGCCTGTAGTCTCAGCTACTCGAGAGGCTGAGATGGGAGAATCACCTGAGCCCGGGAGGTTGAGGCTGCAGTGCGCTGAGATCACACTGTAGCACTCCACCCTGGGTGACAGAGTGAGACCCTGTCTCAAAAACAAACAAACAAACAAACAAAAATTAATTAACTTGCCCCAAGAAGAAAGTGCTGGAGATAAGATTTGAATGTAGTCTGATTAGTTTGAGAGCCCATACCACTAAGCATATTGCCTCAATATACTAACACATTTATTTTTATTTTTATGTACTGTCTCCCAGATATTGTCCATATACATGCATATTTTACACAGTTGTATTTATAGTATATAGACATTTTTTCTTTTCTTTCTTTTTTTTTAAATTAGAGACAGGGTCTCACTATGTTGCTCAGACTGGTCTTAAACTCCTGGGCTCAAGGAATTTGCCCACCTCAGCCTCACAAATTGCGGAAATTACAGGTGTAAGCCACCATGCCCAGCCCAGAAATTTTTGCATACTGATTTCTTCTAAAATGTTATTAATATTTCTGATATTTCTACATAGGTTTTGTAATTATCATTTTCATAGTTGGTTGTTTTCCTAATATTGGTTTATTATAATTATGCAAACTATTACCCAATTATTAGAACTTAGATTGTACACAGATTTCTTAAATTAGTATTGATGGTGTGAAAGGAAAATAAATCTTGGGACCCCAAACTCACTAAGCCAAAGGGAAAAGTCAAGCTGGGAACTGCCTCCCATTTTGGTTCCTAAATAAGATGGCTACAAAGATGAACAGCTACATACCTCCTTCACACTCTGCCCACAAGGAAATTCCTTATGGGTCCCAAGGTCTTTACCCTAAAGCGTTTCTGTTAAAGTTCACCATGGCAATGCAAATTGATAGCTTATCTTCACAGATGGGAGACACAGGACAGAACTCAAATCATCCCTGTGCCCACCTGAGACAAATGCATATCTGATTGTCTCCTCTGACCTGCTGTCTACATTATCTTATGTAAAAATACAGTTCCACTGAGCCAGACGAATGCATGAATGACTATTTTCCGCTGTCCTCCCTTACATGAAAATTGTGTATTTCTGAATATCCCACCTGATGTGGTTTGGCTCTGTGTCCCCACCCAAATCTTATGTCAAATTGTAACACATGTTAGGGGAGGGGCCTGGTGGGAGGTGATTGGATCATGGGGGCGAATTTCCCCCTTGCTGTTCTTGTGATAGTGAGTGAGTTCTCACAAGACCTGATGGTTTAAAAGTATGGCACTTCCCCTTTTGCTCTCTCTCTCTCTCTCTCCTACCACTATGTAAGATGTGCCTTGATTCCCCTTCGCCTTCTACCATGATTGTAAGTTTCCTGAGGCCTCCCCTGCTGTCTGGAACTGTGAGTCAATTAAACCTCTTTTCTTTATAAATTACCCAGTCTCAGGTAGTTGTTTATAGCAGTGTGAAACAGACTAATACAGTGCTCTTTCCCTTTTAAATACTGAAGCCCTCAAAATCATCTTTGGAGAAAGGCATAGACCTGTCTCCTGCGCACACGTCCTTGGGCAAATAAACCTGCTAAAATGATTTGAGACTTGCCTCAGTCATTTTCCTTGATTGATAATAGCATTGTAGTGTACATCTTGTATCTTTTGTTGAATTATTTCTTTTTGGTTTTTTTTGAGATGGAGTCTCGCTCTGTCACCTAGGCTGGAGTGCAGTGGCGCAATCTCGGCTCACTGCAAGCTCCGCCTCCCAGGTTCACGCCATTCTCCTGCCTCAGCCTCCCGAATAGCTGGGACCACAGGTGCCCGCTACCACACCTGGCTAATTTGTTTGTATTTTTAGTAGAGATGGGGTTTCACCATGTTAGCCAGGATGGTCTCGATCTCCTGACCTCATGATCTGCCCGCCTCGGCCTCCCAAAGTGCTGGGATTACAGGCGTGAGCCACCATGCCTGGCCTGAATTATTTATTTGTATAAATTCTTAAGACAGCAATTAATGGATCAAAGATAATTTTAATGGTTTTTGCTGTAAATGTTGCTTTAATTTCCAAAATCATTTCCAAAATATATAGCGATATGCAAAGTGACCAAATGAATGCATCAAATTTGCCACAAGCTTGATTTCTCTGGGTACTATAATTTTAAGTGCTTGCCAATTTTGTAGATGTGGGATGAATTTCTTTTTTTTTTTTTTAGATGGAGTCTCACTCTGTTGCCCAGGCTGAAGTGCAGTGGTGCAGTTTCAGCTCACTGCAACCTCCGCCTCCCAGGTTCAAGTGATTCTCCTGCCTCAGCCTCCCGAGTAGCTGGGACTACAGGTGCGCACCATCACGCCTGGCTAATTTTTTTCTTATTTTTAGTAGAGACGGGGTTAGTGATGAATATTTTAAAAATTATGTATTGAACATCTTCCATGTGGAAGGTAAGAGACTATCATGTGTCACAGGAAATATCCTGTGACACATGATATCCTTTAACCTGTATCCAATCCTGTAACCTCATTCTAAGTTATAGGACACCAAAATCTAGAATAAGGAATTGCGCAAGTAAACAAATGATGAAAACAAGAGAGAAAATATAAATTGCATTAAAGCATTACAAAGTAAAGTTAAAGGAGAGATTACCTCCAGTACAGAAGTACAGGAAAGACTTCAAAGAGAAGGTTTTTGAGACGGCTCTTAAAGTGATAGTTAGAAACTCAAAGAAGCAAAAAGAGCAGGAGCACAACTGTAAGCACAAGGGAAAGAATGAGCAAAATGAGGACGCAAAACAGCGTGGATTTTAGTGAACAGCTATGCTTGGCCCATCACGCACAGAGTGGGAGTTGAGGGACATGCAGTAATGGCGGAAAGGCTGAGATTTTAAAGACATCAGTGTTGTCCTTGTAATTTGGTTTTCAGTAATCTGGCAACTCTGTGGAGTTAGAGGGCCGATAGAGGAAACTAGTCTGAGACAAGTGTAACTTTTTAGATTTCTGAAAATGTTAGAACCTGAAGTATAGTGGTGCAGTATGGATTGGCAGGAAGGGAAAGATGAGAATGACATTTTGGAGATGGAGTCAATCAATAAGGCTTAGCAAAAGCAGATACGTAAAGTGAAGGGCAAGAAGGATGAGAAGATGCCCCTAAGATTTGGATTTGGGAGCTCTAGACATTGATGGTGCATTAAGAGAAATAGGAGGCCCCAGCGCAGTGGCTCACACCTATAATCCCAGCACTTTGGGAGGCTGAGGCAGGAGAACTGTTTGAGCCCAGGATTTTGAGACCAGCATGGGCAACATAGTGAGACCTCATCTCTGCAAAAAAAAAAAAAAAAAAGTCTGGTGGCGTGTGCCTGTAGTCCCAGTTACTTGGGAGGCTGAGGTAGGAGGATCACTTGAGCCCAGGAGGTCAAGGCTGCAGTGAGCCATGGTGGCACCACTGAACTCCAGCCTGAGTGACAAGAGTGAGACCCTATCTCCCAAAAAAAGTACAACATTTAAAAAATTTATTTACAATTTTAAAAGAAAGAAAAAAGAGAAATAGGAAATTTAGGATATATTGTTCAAAGGAAGAAGTAAGCATTGGTATGAAACATCCTGGGTTCCGTTGCTCCACTGTTTCTTCTTATTCAGATGAGGCTAACATTAGCTATAGTAAATTCTGAGGACAATAGAAACATAAACCCCATATTGATTTGCTTTGAAGTTGTTTATCCTCTAATAGAGAAAAATCACATATAGAACTGAACTAAAGCAGAAGTTAGAAAGAGATTAAAGGTTAAAAAAAAAAAAGAGAAAGAAAAAGAAAGAAAGAAAGAGACAAACCAACCAACCAACCAACCAGCCAGCCAGCCAACCCAGGAAGTGGGTTTGTGAGATCATATACCATTTTTGACTTTTTTTTGTTTTGTTTTGTTTTGTTTTGTTTTAACAAAACCAGACAGAGGACCCTTCCTTTCTTGGGAATTTTCTCTACCTGCCAACCATCCCCCTTGTCCAGTTCCACCTTTTCTGCCTCCTTTGACCAGAACTTGGATTTTATTTTCTTTATAACAAACATTTCAACCCAAACCACAGATCCGCTGTTAAATTCCCAGCTCTTAATCCCTGGTAAGGGGCACTGGAAACTTGAGGGAAAGCTGAGCTCTATGATACAAAGTACTTTTTTGCTCATTGCTTCTCTCCTAGGGCTGTTTTTCAGTAATGGAGAGAAGTGGAAACAAACATAACGCTTCTCCCTTATGATCCTGAGCAACTTTGGGATGGGAAGAAAAACATTGAGGAGAGGGTGCAGGAGGGAGCCCAGGGCCTGGTGGAGGAGCTCAGAAAAGCAGAGGGAGAATTCCCTTGACCGTGCCCTTGGGGGCACGGGGACTTCTTACACACACTGCCCCGTCCACACTCCTCCCTGGGAAGTGACTCTATGATTACCCAAGATCTGCTCTCTCCATCACGGAGGGAGCAAGGAGTAAAGGGATGGGAGGAAGATGATCTCCAAAGCTATTTGTAACCCTAACCCTGGAATCCTTTTGTCTGGATTCATTTCCCAACTTCGGCACTTACCAGATGTGTAAATTTGGACAAACTAACTTTTCTGTTTTGTCCTTTTAAAAGTTTTTAAATTTTTATTTTTTGCTTTTTTGGACAAATTTTCCTTCCTTCCTTCCTTCCTTCCTTCCTTCCTTCCTTCCTTCCTTCCTTCCTTCCTCCCTCCCTCCCTCCCTCCCTCCCCTCTTTCCTCCCCACCTCCCCTCCCCTTCCCTTCCTTTCTTTGACGGAATTTCACTCTTGTTGCCCAGGCTGGAGTGCAATGGCGCAATCTCAGCTCACCGCAACCTCCGCCTCCCGGGTTCAAGCAATTCTCCTGCCTCAGCCTCCCGATTAGCTGGGATTACTGGCATGCACCACCATGCCTGGCTAATTTTGTATTTTTAGTAGAGATGGGGTTTCTCCATGTTGGTCAGGCTGGTCTCGAACTCCTGACCTCAGATGATCCACTCACCTCGGCCTCCCAAAGTGCTGGGATTACAGGCGTGAGCCACTGCCAACCAGCCTGACAAATTCTCCTTTTTTTTTTTTTTTTTTTGAGGCAGAATCTTGCTCTGTCACCAGGCTGGTGTGCAGTGTTGCCATCTCAGCTCACCACAACCTCCACCTCCCAGGTTCAAGCGATTCTCCTGCCTCTCAAGTAGCTGGGATTACAGGCATGTGCCAACACACCCAGCTAATTTTTGTATTTTTAGTAGAGATGGGGTTTCACCATGTTAGCCAGTCTGGTCTTGAACTCCTGACCTCAGGCAATCTGCCCGCCTCGGCCTTCCAAAGTACTGGGATTACAGGCGTAAGCCACCGCGCCTGGCCCAAATTAACTTTTCTAAGATGCATTCTTGTCATCTAAAAATGAGGGGCTAAAAACCAAACCTCAGAATGAAGATGAAATAATACAGTATTTAAAACATTTACACAGTATCCAACATATCATCAATGCTCCGTAATATTACTTGTTGCTATGATTACTATTATCGCATCCATATATGTTATTAGCAGTATAGTATAATACTACACAGCAATTGGTATCCTATGCTATAATATAGTACTGCTACTATATTTATTATTACATCCTAGGTTGGAGAAGTTTAGACGAAAATGAACTCTATATAAATCTGACAGGAGGGAAGCCCAGGTCTTCAAATCCTGATGCAAGATGATTAAATTCTAAATGTGGGGGCTGCTATTTTCTCACATCGGCTCAGCCTTTTGACTCCACGTTCATCCTTGCCTCTGCTCCCTGCAATTTACCTGCTCCTTCCTCTTCAAGGAGTGTTTCCAGTACAAGAATGAGACATTCCTCTCCCTGATGGGTTTGTTGAATGAAAATGTTAAGGCCAACTCTGGGCATAGTACTTATGAGTTAGCCATGCTCCACAAGGAGCTGCTAAAAAAAAAAAAAAAGAAAAGTAAAGTAAACTCTTTTTTTTTTTTTTTTTTTTTGGTGAGATGGGGTCTTGCTGTGTTGTCCAGGCTGGAATGCAGGTGTATGAACTTGGCTCACTGCAACCTCCGCCTCCCAGGTTCAAGCAATTCTCCTTCTTCAGCCTCCTGAGTAGCTGGGATTACAGGCACCACCTGCCTTGGCCTCCCAGAGTGCTGGGATTTTAGGCGTGAGCCACTGTGCCAGGCCATAGCCACTTTAGCCACAATGCCTTCCCAGAGAGCATGTCATAGATCAATACATTATAAAAAGTTGATTATGTTTTCACATAGAAACAATTTTGTTGTTTGAAATTGGCCCTGGATAAAGAATTCTAAAGCAAATGTATTATACATTAATCGTGGGTGTTGTTAAATGTGTTGAACAACAACTATAGCACAGTCACCGGTCCTTAGAATACAATTGAGCATTAAATGTCAGCTGGACAGAAGAAAAACATGTCAATGTATAAACACATATAACAACTCAGAATCTGAAAATTATACTTTGAGCTCTGTAAAATTAGCATTATTTATATAAAGTTCCCCCAAATATACATAAATGAAAGAAAACTACCACTCAACTATATCATATATATGCAAATTATAGCAAACATTTAATTCATAATAACCTGTTTACCCTTAAGCTCCCGGAGGGCTGGTTCCTTTAGAAACTCTGTCTAAGGCAGAAATGTTGCCATGATTTTGCAGTTACTTCTCACAGATTTCCTTGGAATCAGTTAAGGCATTTAAAATCATTCTACTTACTGAGGAGGTATGTGAAAATGTCCTATTCATTCTGATGGACTCTCAGAAGGCTAGATGTGTATCTGGGAAGGAGGAAAATAAAACGTAATAGCCAGGTTGTTTATTTAATCCTTCAAAATTTTTATTTAGCATCCATTGTGTATCAGACTTGCTTGGTAAAGGGAATAAAATGATGAGTCAGATAATACCCTACAAATTATCTCCCGATACTGGCAATGAAAAAAAAATTTTGTAAATGGTAATAATGGCCAGGTGCAGTGGTGCATGCTTGTAATCCTAGCACTTTGGGAGGCTGAGGTGGGCAGATTGCTTGAGCCCAGGAAGTTCGAGACCACCCTGGGCAACATGGCGAAACCCCATCTCTACAAAAAATACAAAAAAAATTATCTGGGCATGGTGGAGCATGCCTGTAGTCCCAGCTACGCAGGAGGCTAAGGTGGGAGGATTTCTTGAACCCAGGAGGTTGTGGCTGCAGTGAGCCATGACAGCACCACTGCACTCCAGCCTGGGCAACAGAGCAAGACTCTGTCTCAAAAAATAAATAGTAATAATAATAATAATACCTTGCAGTTGTCTTTCATAGCACTTGTCACTGTTTAATGATATATTATTTAATTTACTTCTATATTCTCCACTACACTATATACTCCCAGAGGGCTAGGACAGTGTCAATTTCCCACAGTGTCTATTAACAACTAGTACATGCATGGAATATTACAGGTGCACAATAAAAGAAATTTAAATAAATTTACTTATTCATTAAGAATGATACAGTTCATCAGAATGTTAAGCTAATAAAAGAGAAGATTAATAATAATACAGTCCTTGCCTTCATGGAGCTTATAGTCTAATGCAAAGATCACTAAAACAAGCGATAACAATGAAATGCTAAGAGAGGGAGTACAAGCTGCTATGGGAGGAAGTGGCAGGAACTAATGTGAGCCAGGGAGGGACTTCTAACTCAAGGCCCACTGGGTACATCCCTCCATGGGCAGTGATTGAGCTAAGAGCTGAAGAGTGAGTAGGGATCAGTGGTATGAAGATGGTAGAGAAAAATATACCAAGGAGGGGAACCAGATGTGCAAAGGCCCCAAGGCAAAGAAAGCTGGGAATTAGAGGGGGAGAAAGAAAGCCGGCGTGACCAAGGCCACGGCAGCGGGAGGTCAGTAGCCAGACCTCTGCCAAAGACCTGGGAGGCCATAGCAATGTTTCCTCTTTATCCCAATAGCAATGGAAATTATTTCCAGGGTCTAAGCCTGTAGAGAATGATCATATTTGTGATGTGGAGGACAGATTGTAGCCATCAACCGTGGATTCAGAGAGAGCAGCTAGGAGTCGTTTTAGAGCAGGTTTCCTAGTTGCAGAGCCTAAAACAGGCATTTGTATGAGTGATTTATCAAGGCAATGCAATCAGGAGAAACTTGTATGTATGTGGATGAAAGAAACAGGACAGGAAGAGGGAAAAGTTAGACATAGATGTGGTTTCATGTCAAGTCTAGCTTCCACCTGATGCTTCATTTTCTCTTGGCTGCTTCGTAGAACATCATGCAAAGGGCCATTCATTGTGGTTTTGCTTTTATAGATCAGAATTATGTCTAATGATGCTGATAAGCAGAGAGGCCTTTAAGAACTCAAAGCCTTTCGTTTCAGTTTAAAAATGGAGAGGAGCTTCTGAACCCCAAATTTTATATATGAGATGCTTGCCCAAGAGTGAGCCCTAATGGAATGGAGGACACATGGGTTCCATGCTGGCTTCTCATCCCCGGCCTGCCAGTACTTGACTGTGTGACCTCAAGCAAGTTATTTCATCTTGCATACTTCTATTTTCCCACTTTGAAAATGGACCAAACTCCCCAAAGGGGACTCTTACCTCTGATATAATTTTGAATTGAAATTAAAAAATGAAATTGTAGTCACTGGATTATCTCAAGCACATTCTCAGAGATCCGGCTGTAGGAAGCCAGTGTTTGTATTGCTCAACAAAATGGTGTTTGCCATTTCCACAAAACATGCAGGAGAGTGGGTGAAGCTGACAAGGAAGATGGCCCCACTAGAGTGAGGATTAAACACTTCCCCTCAACAGCTGCATTGCCAGGTAATGTGGAATAAGTCAGAATCCCCGCTACCCAGGTCCTCTCCTCGCCTCTGCAGGAGAACAAACCAATTAAGCCAGGAGGCTGAGGACACACCTGACCCAGTCTTCATTTTTCCTGCAACAAAGTCCCTGGTATTTGCAGCAAAATAGACAACAGGAATTCCATCAGGAGCAGAGCAATGGGTTGCTTAACAACATGTCTTTGACCTTAGGAGCCTTTTATTTTATTTTGAGGCGGGGTCTCACTTGCCCAGGCTGGAGTGCAGTGGCGTGATCATGGTTTACCGCAGCCTTGACCTCCCTGGGCTCAAGTGATCTTCCCACCTCAGTCTCCCTGGTAGCTGGGACTACAGATGTGTGCCACCATGCCCAGCTAATTTTTTGTGTGTTTTTTGTAGATATGGGGGTCTCCCTATGTTGCCCAGGCTGGTCTCGAACTCCTGGGCTCAAGTGGTCCGTCCGCCTCGGCCTCCTGGGATCCTTTTCTAGGCCACTTTCTGTCACACATTGCGAGCACTTCCAGAGCATTTCCAAGTCACATTCATGATTCATGTCTCTGCAGACAAAGTTCATGAAGAAATTGATCATGTGATTGGATGCAATCAAAGCTGCTCCGTGAAGGACAAGACGAAGCTGGGCCAGCCTGCATGAGATACAATGATAAATCACTCTCCTTCCTTCTACTCTGCCCAGTGCTGTGGCCCAGGGCCTATTCAGACAGTGCACCATCCCTAAGGTGAGATGAGCCTGGGAAATCTGACTGAGATAGAAGGGGTGCTGGGGTCCGTTGCTGGGGCCTCTGAGAAGTTTCTCAGTTCTGTTGCTGCAAGAGAGGCAGTTAGAGTCACAGAAAGAACATAAGGCCAGAGCAACGTGCCTGGGTTTGAAATCTGTCGCAGTCATGCAGTGCACTTTCAGGCCATTCTGTCACCTCTGGGGCCGTGTCTCTGTCTTCCTAGAATGGAGGAGGCTGACTTGGGGCTTCCAAGGCCCCTTCCCACTCTCATCTCAAATGTATGAAGGGAGGCCTGATTTCCATTCATAAGAATCTCATAGGAACGGAAATCTGATTTTTCATGGTGCATTAAAAAAGGGGGCAAGAGATGGAAATGGTACCTGCAGCTCTAGGGTAATCAAGGCAACTCTCACCTCCTTTAATCTTAATACTCTCCTCTCAGGATCACTTGTACTCCGACATTTGGGATATTGCTGCCTCTGACAGTTAACATTTGTAAAGCACATAGAATTTACCAAAATGTTTACATGCACACTGGGGATGTAGTCAGTCTTACATAGTGATTAAGGGTTTGGGCTTTACATTTAAACAGTTCCAAAGCATAGAGGAGGAAGAAAAGATGCCAAACCTGACCAAAATACTGCAAACAGAAACAGCCGCCAGTCTCACTTACAAATATCAATGCAAAAGTCTATTGATGCATAGGTCTGGCATCATATTAAAAATGCTATACCACTGGCTGGGCACGGTGGCTCACGCCTGTAATCCCAGCACTTTGGGAAGCCGAGGCAGGTGGATCACCTAAGGTCAGGTATTCGAGACCGGCCTGGCCAACATGGTGAAACCCCTCCTCTACTAAAAATACAAAAATTAGCAGGACATGGTGGCACATGCCTATAATCTCAGCTAGTTGGAAGGCTGAGGCAGGAGAATCGCTTGAACCCGGGAGGCGGCAGTTGCTGTGAGCCAAGATCCTGGGCGACAGAGCAAGACTCCGTTTCAAAAAAAAAAGAAAAAACTACACCACTAACACAGGAATCAGGAACATAGCAGTGGTGCAATACCAGGAAATCCATCTTAAGAAAACTGACCATATAAATACAATTTTGTATAAATACAATTTATACAAAATTACATAAATACAGATTATGCAAAATTGTACAAATACAATTTTGACATTACATGATAATCTCATTTGTACAGAAAATGCTTTTAAGAATATTTGACATCCATTCTTGATTTTTCTAACCCTTAGTAAAATAGAAATAGATGAATTTCTCTTAAGTCAATGAAAACACATCTCCCAAATTGTGCTTTTTGGTGAAAGACTGGAAACATTCTCATTAATATTGAGAATAAGATGAGGCTGGCTTACACCTGTAATCCCAGCACTTCGGGAGGCGGTGGCAGGCGGATCACCTAAGGTCAGGAGTTTTAGACAGCCTGGCCAACATGGCGAAACCCTGTCTCCACTAAAAATCCCAAAAAAAAAAAAAAAAAAAAAAAATTTAGCCGGGCTTGGTGGCCCGCGCCTATAGTCCCAGCTACTCAGGAGACTGAGGTAGGAGGATCGCTTGAGCCCAGGAGGTGAAGGTTGCAGTGAGCCAAGATGGCACCACTTGCACTCCAGCCTGGGCGACAGAGTGAAACCCCGTGTCGTAAAAAAATAAAATAAAATAAATAAATAAATAAATAAATAAATAAATAAATAAATAACAAGGCTATTTACCATTACAGTATAGTTCAACTGGAATCAGAAAAAAGTAACAAGAAATAAAACATTTAAAAGATGGAAGCAAAAACTTTAGTTGCTATCATCGTGCCTGAAAAACCCAAGAAAATTGACTCCTATAGTCAGTAGGAACAAATCCCCAAATCAACAGATATCGTGCAAGGGCGGGTGACCTCATCGCCCCGACGGCAGCCGGGCCGGGGCTGGGGGTTGGCGGGGGGTGCGGGGCGGCCCCGGTGCAGGCAAAAGTTCAGGGGCCGAGGCGCGGCCGTGCAGCTGTCGTCCGAACCCGGCCGGGTCCGGGGCGCCCGCCGCAGGCGGTGAAACGCAAGATTCAGGCCCTGCCGCAGCAGGCGGACAAGGCGAAGACTGCGCGCAGGGCCTGCAGCGGCAGCTGGACTGGGGGCGCGAGCGGGGGGCGCGAGCGAGCGGCGCGAGAAAGCTGAAGGCGATGTGGCTGTCCTCGACTGACGCATCCAGCTCTTTTTTTTTTTTTTTTTCTTTTTTTATTATTATTATTATACTTTAAGTTTTAGGGTACATGTGCATCCAGCTCTTTAAGGAGGAGTTGGACGGGGCTCGGGAACGACTGGTCACGGCCCTGCAGAAGCTAGAGGAGGGGGGAAAAGGCTGCAGATGAGCGTGAGAGAGAATGAAGGTGATAGAAAACCGGGCTATGAGGGATGAGGAGAAGATGGATTCGGGAGATGCAGCTCAAAGAGGCCAAGCACACTGCGGCCGGAGGCTGACCGCAAATAAGAGGAGGTAGCTCGGAAACTGGCCATCACAGAGGGCGAACTGGCCAGAGCAGAGGAGCGTGCAGAGGTGTCTGAACTAAAATGTGGTGACCTGGCAGAAGAACTCAAGAATGTCACTAACAATCTGAAACCGCCGGAGGCTGCATTGGAAAGTATTCTGACAAGGAGGACAAATACGAAGAAAAAATTAAACTTCTGTCTGACAACTGAAGGAGGCTGAGATCCGTGCTGAATTTGTAGAGATAATGGTTGCAAAACTGGAAAAGACAACTGATGACCTGGAAGAGAAATTTGCCCAGGCCAAAGAAGAGAGCGCGGGCTTATATCAGACACTGGATCAGGCACTAAATGAACTTGACTGTATATAACCAAAACGGAAGAGCCTTGTTCCAGCAGAAACTCCGGAGCTCCGAGTGTCTTTCTCTTCTCTTGTAAGAAGTTTCTTTTGTTATTGCCATCTTTGTTTTGCTGGAAATGTCAAGCAAATTATGAATACATGACCACATATTTTGTATCAGAAGCTTTGAGCACCAGTTAAATCTCATTTCTTCCTTTTTTTAAAAATGGCACCAGCTTTTTCAGCTCTATTTTTTCCTTTGCGTTGCATTTATTCCTAAGGTAGGCAGGGTATTTCCTAGTAAACGCAGTCTCTTAGGACAGAGGGCGGACAGTCACAGTGGCTCACACCTGTATACCCAGCACTTTAGGGGACTGAAGTGGGTGGATCACTTGAGGTCAGGAGTTCGAGACCAGCCTGGCCAACATGGTGAAACCTCGTCTTTACTAAAAATACAATAATTAGCCGAGCGTGGTGGCACACGCCTGTAATCCCAGCTACTCGGGAGGCTGAAGCAGGAGAATTGCTTGAACCCGGGAGGCGGAGGTTGCAGTGAGCGGAGATTGCACCATTGCACTGCAGCCTGGGCGACAAGAGAACAGGCAACCCCACACTTTGGAGAACACAGACTCCAATATCTAGTAATGGATCTATTTAAAACGCTGAAGAACATAACCATTTGGGTCAACCATTGGTCAGACGACAGGAGAGACCAGGGACCATCACATGGGTGGGGATTTTCCATCCAGAGGCAAAAAAAACAAAAACAAAACAAAACAAAAATGGTGGGTGGGGGTTTGCTGTTGTGGGAAGTCATAAACCACAGATAGATTAACCTAAGCATCCTGGCTCTTCTCCACACTCCACCATGCAGAACAAACATCCTCTCAAGCAGTCAGCATGAGAATGCTTCATAATTACCCACATATTTTCTGGATAGATGCTTGATGTGATGTTCTTCTGCATATTTCTTTCATTCTAAAGTTGTTCTCTGGCCAGGCACAGTGGCTCACGCCTGTAATCCCAACACTTTGGGAGGCCAAGGCAGGTGGATCACCTGAAGTCAGGAATTTGAGACCAGCCTGGCAAAACGGCAAAACCCCGCCTCCACTAAAAATACAAATGCTGGGCATGGTGACACATGCCTGTAGTCCCAGCTACTAGGGAGGCTAAGGTGGGAGAATTGCTTGAATCTGGGAGGTGGAGGTTGCAGTGAGCTGAGATGGCACCACTGTACTCCAGCCTGGGTGACAGAGTGAGACACTCCATCACAAGAAAAAACAAAATCAAAAGTTGTTCTCTGAGGAGCAAGTGTCTCATTCCAATAATGACCCATCCACTCAGCAGGAATATGGTGGAGTTCAGTCCAATTCAAGTCAGCCATATTCAAAAGACTACAAGGCATTAATAAATTGAGCAAAAGAGCTTTGTTCTATTAGCAGAAAGGGCCTCTCTGGCAGCAGAGATTAAAAACTGGCCCAACTTCATTTCCATACTTCAGGAATAGCAAATTGAAGTTTCACTTATGTAGAACTTGAATTCCTTCTTTAGGACCAAGTTGATAAAAGACCAAGAAACTCCTGATTAAACTGGATAATGGAGGATTTTGAAGACGGGGCTGCACATTTTGGCTTCTTTTTACTTTGTTTTCTCAGTTAACATCTCAGAGCTGAAACATTTCACATTCCCCAGCAGCGTGTGGGGGCCAACTCAAGTTTTCAATTCTGACTAAAAATCACCCTGCTTCTGGCTTATCTGAATCCCCTATCCACCCCACCCCACCACCCTACTCCTATTTATTCAGCATCACACTATCCAGGAAATACACTAGCAAATTGTGCTATTGAATAAAATCCATACTTTTCTTAAGATTCTTACAACTGTATCATATGTAATAGTATCACTTTTTCTACATTTTGGTCAAATAAATTTTTACATAAACTAAAAAAAAAAGTGCAAGGGAAACAAAGTTAAAATTTGAGTAAAAGTAATTCAAGGTGATTTTCAAACATAAAAATATACTAACAAAATAAAATATGTTAAAATAAAAGTTGTAAAAGAACATGTTTTTATTTGTCATAATTTGTTGGTAGGATGTTAAAAAAAAAACCCATATTCTTGCCAATATTGTAAATTGATATAACCTCTAGGGAAGGCAATGTGGCAATATTTATCAAAATTCAAAACACATACAACGTGAAGAGTAGTTTCACTACTAGTGTTACTGACCATGGATTCTTGGGCTCTCAATGCAATAGAAATTGACATGAAGTTGAAAGAGCTTTCCCAAACAAGGCCTCATTGGAACTTATGCCCAGACATAAGGAAAGCAGCATGAGTGAGAGAATTCCCTGACTGACTTCCAGAAAAGAGCCGTAGGGCTTTTTTATTAGGCAAAGCGCAGGAATTGACATCAGTGATAGGGTATGGAGGCTGGGCTGGGCAAGGCATGTGAGGGGCAGGAGACACAGGTCAGCGTGATCTGGTTGCTATGTTTATCTTGAGTAAGGGCCACCTGGTGGTCTGGTCGGAGGCAACAAGGCTGTAAATCAGTCGTTCAGCATTCCTTTCTGAGGACAACCTTGGTTATTTCCTAAGGCCACTTCCTGGAATTCTTTAAGGAAAAACACAGGGGATTGGCCGGGCGTGGTGGCTCACGCCTGTAATCCCAGCACTTTGGGAGGCAGGCGGATCACCTGAGGCCAGGAGTTAGAGACCAGCCTGACCAACATGGAGAAACCGCGTCTCTACTAAAAATAAAACATTAGCTGGGTGTGATGGCACACGCCTGTAGTCCCAGCTGCTGGGGAAGCTGAGGCAGGAGAATCGCTTGAACCTGGGAGGCAGAGGTTGTGGTGAGCCAAGATCGCACCATTGCACTCCAGCCTGGGCAACAAGAGCGAAACTCTGTCTCAAAAAACAAAACAAAACCCAGAAAACGTGATGGCATCAGTGAGGTAGTGGAGTAGGTTTTGTGATCAGTGGGGATGCATGAAAGAATGCTCTAGTGTGGCGGGCTGAAGCCAAAAGAAGCCAAGCCCTGTTCCTACTCTCTCACTAGTTTAGCAGTTTATCCTTCATGTATGTTTTCCCCAAAGAATATTTATTACAGCAATATTTTTGACATTTGCTTTTTTTTTTCTTTTTTTTTTTTTGAGACGGAGTTTCGCTCTTTCACCCAGGCTGGAGTGCAATGGTGCGATCTCAGCTCACTGCAACCTCCGCCTCCTGGGTTCAAGCAATTCTCGTGCCTCAGCCTCCTGGGTAGCTGGGATTATAGGCGTGTGCCACCACGCCCAGCTAATTTTTGTATTTTTAGTAGAGATGGGATTTCACCATTGTTGGCCAGGCTGGTCTTGAACTCCTGACCTCAGGTGATCTACCCACCTCAGCCTCCCAAAGTACTGAGATTACAGACATAAGCCACCACGTCCGGCCTAACATTTTTGATGTTTGAAGACTGGACTATCCTTGAATGTCTATTTAAAAAGGACTGCAAACATTCTGATATTTCTATAACATGAAATACTAAGCAAGCTACAGAACACTATAGGATGCTACCATTTATGTGAAAACAATGGCGGCTGTATATGTGTGTGTGTGTGTGTGTGTGTGTTTAATCCATAAGATATCTCCCATGGGATATAAACTGGTAACTGTGACTACATCAAGAAGGAAACCAGGTGTCAAGTATACTGTATAGGAAAGGGATGTCAAGTATACTGTATAGGAAAGGGAGAAAGACTTATTTTCTTGTTTTTGGGTTTTTTTTTTTTTGAGACTGAATTTCTCTCTTGTTGCCCAGGCTGGATTGCAGTGGCAGGATCTTGTTGCCCGGGCTGGAGTGCAGTGGCAGGATCTCGGCTCACTGCAACTTCCGCTTCCCAGGTTCAAGCAATTCTCTGCCTCAGCCTCCTGAGTAGCTGGGATTACAGGTGCCTGCCACCACGACCAGCTAATTCTTGTATTTTTAGTAGAGATGGGGTTTCACCATATTGGCCAGGCTGGTCTCGAACTCCTGACCTCAGGTGATTCACTGGCCTTGGCCTTCCAAAATGCTGGGATTACAGGCGTGAGCCACAGCACCCAGCTAGAAGACTTATTTTCACTTTTTACCCTTGTGTACATATTTTGGTATTGTATACGATGTGCAGATATTACCAACTCTAATAATTGTACAGATAATGTTTAAGGAAATACAAAATGAAGTTGAAATGGAAAAAGGAACTTTTCACTTAAACAGGAGTGCTTTATAATCAGATAGAACTTGGTTTGAATTCTAACTATGCCATGTGACAAAAGCATAATTTCAAGCAAGGTATTTTCTCCTTTCTGAGCCTTGGTTTTTCTCATTTATATAATGTGAAGAACAACAAAAGCAGCTACTGGATATAGTTTATGTGAGAATGAAATGAGATTTATAAACAACTAGGCAGTGTGATATGGTTTGGCTTCATGTCGCCACCCAAATCTCACCTTGAATTGTAATCCCCATAATCCCCACTTGTCAAGGGTGAGACCAGGTGGAGGTAATTGGATCATGGGGGTGGTTTCTCCCATGCTGTTCTCGTGATAGTGAGTGAGTCTCACGAGAGCTGATGGTTTTATAAGCACCTGGCATTTCCTGCTTGCACTTGCTCCCCTGCTGCCCTGTGGAGGAGGTGTTTGCTTCTCTTTTGCCTTCTGCTATGATTGTAAGTTTTCTGAGGCCTCCCCAGCAATACAGAACTGTGAGTCAATTTAACCTCTTTCCTTTATAAATTACCCAGTCTTGGGTATTTCTTCATAGCACTGTGAGAACAGACTAATACAGAGTGTCAGGCAAATGTAAAGCATCCAATATTATTTGGTCATTTAAGCCTCACAAAGATTGTATGAGGCAAGGAGGAAAGCTGGCTGCTGTTGTCATAATTATCATGGTTGTTACCCTACCCCAATTTACAAGCGAGGAAAGTAGAGTTTGATTCAATAGCATCAAGGTTCCAGATCTCATTTTCTTTCATTCACACCTGAATCCAGAAAGAAAAAAAACAGTAAAAAAAAAGTCAGTTCTTATGATTTAAGGCAGCAATTCCAGTAAAGCTGCTTTCTAGACAGTATGGTTGCAAACTCCAGTTTTTCACATTGACCATAATAATACTTTTCCTGCAGAGAACCATCTGATTACTAGATAAAAGCTATTGTATGACAGTGTGTGTAAAATAGCCATAAATTGAGACCATCACTCACAGGCAAGCTTAAGAATGCTCAGTCCTGTTAAATCCACTATAATTAAGAGTGTTGGCTGGGCGCAATGGCTCGTGCCTGCCAACACTTAGGGAGGCTGAGGTGGGCAGATCGCTTGAGCTCAGGAGTTCAAGACCAGCCTGGGCAACATGATGAAACCCTGTCTCTACAAAACATACAAAGATTAGCTGGGTGTGGTGGCACTTGCCTGTACTTGGGGGGCTAAGGTGGGAGGATCACTTGAGCCTGGGAGGTCGAGGCCACAGTGAGCCAGACTGCACTCCAGCCTGGGAGACAGAGTGAGATCTTGTCTCAAAAAAAAAAAAAAGTGTTAAGCCAGGTGTGGTGGCTCGCACCTGTAATTCCAACACTTTGAGAGGCCAAGGTGGGAGGATAGCTTAAGCCCAGGAGTTCAAGACTAGTTCTGGCAACATAGCAAGACCCTGTCTCTACAGAAAATAAAATAATTGGCCAGGCATGGTGGCACACACCTGTATTCCTAGCTACTCAGGAGGCTGAGATATGAGGATCACTTGAGCCTGGAAGATTGAGGCTGCAATGAGCTGTGATCACGCCACTGCACTCCAGTCTGGGTGACAGAGCATAACCTGTCTTTTTTTTTTTTTAAAAGTATTTTTGACTTGTTTATGAACCAAAAATAAACAATAAGCATAATAAAGTGCTCCTGTGCTCTCCATTTCTTGGCTCCAAGACTACTGTGTTGCCATTATTGTCTCTGGTCTTGTTCAGTTACAAGCAGTTTCCCAAAATGTCTTGGGTCAAACTTAGGACACTTTCTGGATAAAAATGGCTGCTTCAACAAAACAGATTACTTTTTGCCGTTTTCCCTTGGTAAATACAAATAAACCCATGCAGACCAACACCTGCACATTTTGGACAATTTTTTAGCTTCACTTAGTTTTTGGCGTAATTAAGTAATCCACTGAGAATAGCAAAGGCAATCAAACTATGATAAACTCCCAAATCTAGATGGAGCCATTTAAGTCTGTACACTAATAGAATCAGGCAGTCATCCAAAGACTGATTTGTCATTTTGTAATTGAATATAATGAGTTTTTAAAGAAACCAAAGCAAGTCAATCCAATTTAGATGTCACACATTACCAAATGACAAAGGGACCTGCTTTTGCAAACTTTCTTTTTTGATCTCCCCTTTGTAATACTGACTTCTCCAAAACAAAATGTACAGGTTTCTTTCTTTGTTTTAAATGTTAACTGTTGTTAATTTTCTGTTTCTTGGAGCCAGAGGCCATCAAAGACCCTTGGCCACTGCATCTTCCTTCTTCCCCTCTGAAATTCAGAGCCTCACACGTCCCCGCCTTTATACAAGAGCTGCTTGGCTCCAGTCACGATTTCCCAGAAGGTGGCAAAGATGATTTAAGATTGGCCAACACACATTTTTTTTCTCCCCTGTTATCTTATGCATTCATTTGATTAATATTTTCAAAAATAACATTTAATATGTTTTGTTTCTTTGAGACAGGGTCTTGCTCTGTTGCCCAGGCTGGAGTGCAGTGGTGCAATCACAGCTCACTGTAACCTTAAACTCCTGGGCTCAAGGGATCCTCCCACCTTAGCCTCCTGAGTAGCTAGGACTACCGATGTGGGCCACCATGCCCAGCTAATTTTTTTTTTTTTTTTTTTTTTTGTAGACATGGGCTCTTGCTATGTTGCCCAGGCTAGTCTCGAGCTCCTGGCCTCAAGCAATCTTCTCACCTAGGCCTCCCAAAGCACTAGGATTACAGATGTCAGCCACTGCACCCAGCCAATATGTTTTGTTTCTAATTACAATGATAATAAATATTCAATATAAAAAATGGAACATGCAGAAAAGCAACAGGAGAAAGAAGTTACCTGCAATTTTGCCTTACAGATAATCACTTAATATTTTACTGTATATACATCAAAAGATTTCTATGTATGTTACAGTAAGTAGGTAGACACGAGCAGGGCAAGAGAGCCGCCCTCCCACACCTGGAATGTCAGGCGACCATCAGGTGATGGTTAGGCAGTTGTTAACTCTCTCTCCAAAATAATAATTGGTGGCAGCCAGCGCCAGGGAAAGGTAGTCTCCCAAGAGAAAACACCTGAAGCTGGTGAAGAGCTCAGGAATTGGGTGAGTGGGCTCAAGCATGCGCACTAAGAAGCAAAATGGCTGAGTTTAACTGGCACATGACCACCTTCTGGGAACACTCGACTGGTGAGAGATCAGAACCTCAAGTGAGTATGCGCACAACTTCAGCAAACACACTGCACATGTGGCCCCTCGCAAGCGCTAGCAGGCGACTGTGCACATGCGGACAGCCCACCCCAGGGGAAGAATATGGGGAGAAAGGAGGCAATTCCCAGAAGCATGCCAATGTATAAAACCCCAAGCCGAAAGTCAAGCCACACACTTGAATCTCTCAAGTCGCCCGCTTGGCCCTCTTTGTCCCTGCTCTAAAAACTTTTTAATAAACTTTCACTCCTGCTCTAAACTTGCCTCGGTCTCCTTACGTTCCTCCTCTGTTGAATTCTTTCTTCTGAAGAGGTAAGGATTGAGGGTGCTGCATACCTGTATGAATTTGTCACTGCTAACAGGTATATATAATCTATATTTTTACTTTTACTTATCTAATTATTTTTTAGAGACAGGGTCTCACTCTGTCACCCAGAGTGCCATGGTATGATCGTGGCTCACTGAAGTTCTGAATTCCTGGGCTCAAGTGATCCCCACACCTTAGCCTCCCGAGTAGCTGGAACTACAGGTGTGTGCCACCACACCTGGCAAAATCTTTTTTTTTTTTTTTTTTTTTTTTTTTTTTTTGTAGAGACAGGGTCTTGCTATGTTGCCTGCGCTGGTTTTGAACTCCTGAGCTCAAGCGAACTTCCCACGTTGGCCTCCCAATGTAATAGGAATACAAGTGTGAGCCACCATGCCCGGCTCTTGTAGTGTATATTTTAAAAATAAAATTTGGTACATTCTGTACAATCTATTTGATATTCTGCTTTCACTTAGTATATTGTGATAAAAAACAGTCTATGCTATTAATCCATATAGACATTTTTAGGTTGTGTGTTAGAGGCACAATGATTTACAGTCTATTATAGATAGATGTATAGGTTTCATCTAATTCATCAATATTGTAAATAATTATGCAAATGATAGCCTCATAGGTAAATCTCTATTTCTTACAGATAAATTGTCAAAAGGAGAATCACTGAATTGAAGAGTGAAAATTTCTTTAGAGTGTTTTGATGTGTATTGAAAAATACTCCTCTAGAAAAACTATACTGATTTATGTCCTCCAGCAGTTTATGAGAGTCCCTTTCTGATTAGTGTTTCCAATGGCTTTTAGGGGCATATTGTATTTTAACATGAAGAGAACTAATGGAAGTGTTCCTTCCTTCCAGGAAAGCGAGCCTGTGTTGGAGAGAGCCTGGCCCACATAGAGCTGTTCCTATTTTTATTTTTTTAAAATAAATTATTTGCTCTTTGTTGTTGAGACAGGGTCTCCCTCTGTCACTCAGGCTGGAGCGCAGTGGCACAGTCATGGCCCACTGCAGCCTCCACCTCCCTGACTCAATTGATCCTCCCACTTCAGCCTCCCAAGTAGCTGGAACTATAGACATGTGCCACCATGCCCCAGCTAATTTTCTTAATTTTTTTTTTTTTTTGTAGAGATGCGGTTTCACTATGTTTCCAAAGCTGATATTGAACTTTTGGGTTCAATCCCACCTCAGCTTCCCAAAGTGCTAGGATTACAGGCATGAGCCATCCCACCCGTCTCCTTTAAATCTTGAATTATTGAATAGCAGTAAGAGCCTAAGCCTTAGGTCAATGTGGAAGCAACATGTAACCTCCAACTCTCCTCCAGGCCCTGGTCTACACAGAGCTGTCTGGAGATCTGCCCTTGCTCCTGAACCCTTGATTTTCTTAGAATTCCAATCCCCTAAATCCAGTCATTTGACTCACTAGGAAACTGAGGCCAGCATGCCAGTAGGGAGTGCCTCCACCCCTGGAGAAGATGATTCTTTAGAAAATTTCCAAAATGTACCTAGTACCAATAAATGACCTGCCTGGTTCCCTGATCTTTCCTTTGCCACGTAGAGGCTTCTGGATAATTTTGGTCCTCAGTTCACTATTGGGAATCTTCTGTAGCATCCACTCCAAATTAAGAAGATTCACACAATGAACCTAAAATTCATATGAAAATGCAAGGGACTAAGAGTAGTAAAAACAATCTTGAAAGAAGAACAAAATATAAAACTACAGTCATTAAAACTGTGTGTTCCCTGCTAGTCTAGTGACCAGGGAAAAAAACCCAAACAACTGTGTGATATTGGCATAAGGACAGACATATAGACTGAGTGTCCACAAAGGAACCCCCACATTTATGATGAAGCGATTTTCAACAAGGGTATCAAGACAACTTTATGGAGAACAGTCCTTTCCACAAAGGTGCTGCGATAATGGTGTATCCACATGGCAGAAGGATAAAGTTAGACCTCTTCCTTAAACCAAGTACAAAAATTAACTCCAAATGAATCATAGACTTAAATGTAAGCATTAAAACTATAACTCTCAGAAGATGTATTAGTCTATTCTCATGCTGTGAATAAAGACATACCTGAGACTGGGTAATTTATAAAGGAAAGAGGTTTAAGTGACTCACAGTACCACATGTGAGTCAATTAAAGGCCTGGGGAGGCCTCACAATCATGGTAGAAGGAAAAGGAGAAGCAAAAGCATGTCTTACATGGCAGCAGACAAGAGAACGTGTGCAGGCAAACTCCCCTTTAGAAAACCGTCAGATGCCACGAGACTTATCCATTATCACGAGAACAGCACAGGAAAAACTCGCCCTCATGATTCAATTACCTCCCACTGGATCCCTCCCACAACATGTAGGAATTATGGGAGCTACAATTCAAGATGAGATTTGAGTGGGAACACAGCCAAACCATATCAGAAGAAAACATAGGAGTAAATCTTCATGACCTTGAGTTAGGCAATAGTTTCTTAAAATGACATCAAAAGTAGAAATGACAAAAGAAAAAAACATAAACTGGAGTTTATTAAAATTAAAAAACTAAGTGAAAAGACAACCCATAGGATGGGGGGAAATATTTGCAAATCATATATCTGATAAGAAACTTGTATCCAGAATGTATAAAGAACTCATAACTCAACAATAAAAAGATTAATAACCCAATTTTAAAATGGGCAAAGGATTTGAATAGACATTTCCCCAAAGTAGATATACAAGTGACCAATAAATATATGAAAAGACTCTCTAAATCATTAGTCATTAAGAAAACACAAAATCATGATGAAGTACCAGTTCATACCCACTAGGATGGTTAAAATAAAAAAGATAATAACAAGCGTTGACAAGAATGTGGAGAAATTGGAATCCTCGTACATGTCTGGTAGGAATGTGATATGGTGCAACTGCTTTTGGCAGTTCTTCAAAATGTTAAGCATAGAGTTACTATATGAACCAGCAATTTTATTCACTTCCCTGGAGAAATGAAAATATATGTCCAGGCGGGGCATGGTCGTTCATACCTGTAATCTCAGGACTTTGGAACGGCAAGGTGGGCAGATTTCTTGAGCCCAGGAGTTGGAGACCAGCCTGGGCAACATGGCAAAACCCCGTCTCTACTAAAAATACAGAAAAAATTTAGCCAGGCATGGTGGCATTCACCTTGTAGTCCCAGCTATGTAGGAGGCTGAGGTGGGATTATCCCTTGAAGCTGGGAGGTCAAATGTTGGGAATAGGCCCACCAAAATCTGGCCATAAACTGGCCCCAAAACTGGCCATAAACAAAATCTCTGCAGCACTGTGACAGGTTTATGATGGCCATAATGCCCACGCTGGAAGTTTGTGGTTTTACCAGAATGAGGGCAAGGAACACCTGGCCCGCCCAAGGTGGAAAACTCCTTAAAGTCTTTCTTAAACCACAAACAATAGCATGAGGGATCTGTGCCTTAAGGACATGCTCCTGCTGCAGATAACTAGCCAAACCCATCCCTTTATTTCAGCCCATCCCTTCATTTCCCATAAGGGATACTTTTAGTTAATCAAATATCTATAGAAACAATGCTAATGACTGGCTTGCTGTTAATAAATACGTGGGTAAATCTCTGTTCAGGGCTCTCAGCTCTGAAGGCTGTGAAACCTCTGATTTCCCACTTTACACCTCTATATTTCTGTGTGTGTCTTTAATTCCTCTAGCGCTGCTGGGTTAGGGTCTCCCCTACTGAGCTGGTCTCAGCAGTCAAAGTTCATACAAAAACTTGCACAGATTGTTCATAGTGGCATTATTTATAATAACCAAAAAATGGAAAAAACCCAAATGTCCATTAACTGAAGAATGGATAAAATGTGGTACATTGATATAGTGGAATATCATTCGCCAAGAAAAGGAATGTAGTACTGATGCATGAACCTACAACACAGATAAACCTTGAAAGCATGATTCTAGCCTGGCATGGTGGCTCATGCTGGTAATCCCAGCACTTTGGGAGGCTGAGGCAGGAGGATCATTTGAGCTCAGGAGGTTGAGGTTGCAGTGAGCTGCATTTGTGCAATTCCATGTACATAAAATATCCAGAATAAGCAATTCCTTAGAGACAATGAATTAATGGGTGCCTAGGGCTAGAAAGTGACTGCAAATGGATACAGAATTTTCCTGGGAAATGATAAAAATATTCTAAAATTAGACTGCAATAATGATTGCACAATTCTCTATATTCTAAAAACCACTGAACTGTACCTTTAAATGGGTGAATTTTATAGCATGTGAATTATATCTCAGTAAAGATTATTACTAATAACACCTATCTTCCAAGGCTAGGAGGTTGGAGATTAATGATAATATATGTACAGTATTTTCCCCGGAAATTAGGAGGGGCTCATATGCAAATTCAAGTTTTTAGACATTATTTATAATTCTTTATAAGCCATTCTGTTTAGTTCAGTTTGTGAAATTCCAGGCTTAGTCACTATTCAGTCAATTAAAATTTGTTATATTTTTCTGGCATACTATTGACATGTTGGACTTCTATTTTTCTCTGAATTTAAGATGTCATCTGTTTTAAGACACACTCCAGTTTCAGAGACATAAAAATGTGAAAGAAGGAGTGCCTTAGAATCAATGAAATATAGTTGCCCCGCTACATGTTGGCCCATAGCCATTACTAACCCTGTTAATAGAGCTACTCAAAGTCTGATATGTGGCAATCCCTCCATCCCAAGTGACCAGATCATTTAGAGCCAGGCTCCTCTTTTCCAGTTAACCTCCTGCTTGATACCCTGTTATCCTCATTGATGTCATATCAGTAAACATACATCACATTAGCTTTTTTCAAAAGCAGGGAGAACCACTTCACTCCCGACAAAGAGGATTACACAGGTACAGGCTATTTGCAAATTAGGCAACACTGGTACACAGAATAGATTCAGAGTCCATGCATGCGTGGCTGCCATTGGCTAGAGGGCAGTCTGAGTCAATATGTCACTGAACCAACGACTGCCCTGTTGGAAGGAGAGTTAGTGGGGGCACATGGAAGAGCCGAGGTTTCTGGAACTCCATGTAGTCATTTCCTGCCCTGTTCTAAAAAGTCAACAAAATATAAATGCAGAGGAGACTGTTTATTCTTTGTTACTGCTTTTCAACATGAATACCTGTTATATGCCAGCTACAGAGTAGGGACTGGGAATCCAGAAACAAATAAGATGTGGTCCCTGCCCTTAAGGACCTTATATTTTAATCAAGGAAGTCACAAGCCAAAAATTATGGCACAATGTAATGTTTGTAGAGAAATATGTGCCGAGTTCTATGGAAATACAAGGGAAGGACACTAAAATCAGACACAGGGCAAATGATGGGAAAGGTTTAGAGAAAATGATGCCTGGATTTATTCTAAAACACAAATAGGAGTCAGCTAACTTCTAATTGGAGGGAGAGGAGATGTTCAAAAACTCAGAGGCTTTTGAAGACTGCAATTTGTTAGGTATAACTAGGAGGCGGGAGGGGTGCTGGAGAGGAGCAGGGCATGTAATGCTGGGAAGGCAGGAAACATCAGGGCCTGGCAGGTCTTTGCCATGTGAGGAAGTGTGGGCTTAACTGAGCAGAAAGGAGAAGCGATAAAGGATCTAAACAGTGGAAGGAAGGGGTGAGCAATAGACAAGAGGTGGTTTGCATTGAAGAAAGATCATGGTGGCGACTGCATGATGTGTGCAGTGGAAGGGGGTCAAATCCTGGCAGGAAGATAGATGATGGGAGGCAGTTACCAAGATCTAGGCAAGGATGAGTGAGAGCAGAACCGAGGCCGTGGCAGGAGATGGGGAAAGCAAGGGTCAGCTATGAGGATCAACACAGAAAACGGAGAGGGCTTAGTGAATGAGTAATCATGGGAAGTGAGTGAGAAGGAAGAATTTAGAATGGCTCCTGTGTTTTTGACTTGGGCAACAGGTGGTGCCATTTCCCAAGAGGAGCAACTATGGGTGAAGAGACACTGCATTCAGATTCAAATGGGTTGCATTTGTGGTCCCTACAAAATTGGCAAATGGGGAAATTATTCTAGCCAAGCCAATAAGAATTTAATAAATACAATGAACATATACATAGCACTCTACAGTTTATACAGAACTTTTATTGAAATGTGAGACATGACTGAAGCAGTGTGTGGTGGGGATGTGGGGGTGGTGAGTTCTAAGGGGAATTTATTTGGAGAGGAGGAGCAAGATGTTTGCAGAGAACACTGAAAATCCAGCACTGGATGCCAAGCGCGGTGGCTCATGTCTGTAATCCCAGCACTTTGGGAGGCCAAGGGGGATGGGTCACTTGAGGCCAGGAGTTTGAGACCAGCCTAGCCAACATGGTGAAATCCCTGTCTCTACTGAAAGTACAAAATTAGCCAGGTATGATGGCACACGCCTGTAGTCCCAGCTAATCCGGAGGCTGAGGCACGAGAATCACTTGAACCTGGGAGGCGGAGGTTGCAGTGAGCCCAGATTGTGCCATTGCACTTCAACCTGAGCAACAGAGCAAGACTCTGTCTCAAAAAAACCAAAACAAAACAACACAAAAAATTAGGTGCAGAAAGTATGGGAAATCCCAGAAGGGTTACAAAGCTGTGTTTAGAAGAAAACATGGGCTAGGAACAATGGGTCACACCTGTAATCTCAGCACTTCGGAAGGCCAAGGTAGGTAGATTGCTTAAGCCTTGTAGTTGGAGACCAGCCTGGGCAACATAGTGGGGCTCCATCTCTACAAAAAGTTTAAAAACTGGCCAGGCATAGTGTTGTGCACCTATAGCCCCAGCTACTTGGGAGGCTGAGACAGGTGGATTGATTGAGCCTGGAAGGTAGAGGCTGCAGTGAGCTGTGACTGTGCCACTGCATTCCGGTCTGGGTGACAGAGTGAGAATTTGTTCCAAAAAAAAAGAAAGAAAAGAAAAAAGAAAACACAAGAATATTTATTCTGGCAAATTCGAGGCAAAGATAGTGGGAAAGGGGAATTTTGAATTCACTTCCAACTCTTGAAACCAACTGAAAGCCAAGAGCAAAAAAATAAAAAAGAAACTTCTACTTTCAATAAACAGGAGAAAAGTTATAAAACAAAACCACGGAGGATGACTGCTGAATGAAATGAATTTTGATCCAAAATATGTGAGGATTCAGAGCCAACACATCCTTGTAGAGACTCTGGGAAAGAGATCAATTTCCCTAAGATGAAGTGCCGTGCTCCCGAGAAACGCATCAAGGATCCTCTGTGGGTGGACTGACAAGGTCTAAGGTCTGACTAAGGGTGGGGCAGACATGGCCACTGTTCTGCAATATCATTATCTCTATTGTAATGGAACCTATGGTTTTTAGATGGGATAAAGACTGTATTTATCTGCTTCCCTTGTACATAGGCATGGCCATAAGTTCTAGCCTATGGAATGTAAGTGAAAGTGGCATGTGAAATTATGGAAAGTGTGCCGTTTTTTAATAGCTTTATTGAGATATAGTTCACACACCACACAATTCCACCATTTAAAGTGTACAATTCAATGGCTTTTAGTATATTCAGAGTTAAGCAACTATCACTACATTTTAAGATAATTTTTATTATCCCCAAAAGAAACTTGGCACCCCTTATCCACCATCTCCCAAATCCCCCAATGTCCCAGTCCTGGGCAACCATGAGCCTACTTTCTGTCTCTATAGATTTGCCTATGCTGAACATTTTCTATAAATAGAATCATGTACTAAGTGGTCTTTTATGTATGGCTTCTTTCACTTAGCATAATGTGTTTGAGATTCATCCATGTTGTCACATGTATATTATTTTATATCTTTTGGTTGTTAAATTATATTCTGCATTTTGAATAATGGTGCTATGAACATTTGTACGAGTCCTGTGTGGACATATGTTTCCATTTCTCTTGAGTGTATACCTAGGAGTAAAATTTCTGTGTGATATGGTTCTATGTTTAACATTTTGAGAAATTGCCAGAACCGTTTTCCAAACTGGTTGCACCATTTTATGTTCCTTCCAACAGGTGTGTGAGGATGGGAATTTTGATTTTAAAGATCCTGGCTCCTTTTCTTTTTAAAATCAAAATTCCCATCCTCACACACCCATTGGAAGGAACGGCACTTTGGGAAGCTGAGGTGGGAGAATCACTTGAGCCCAGGTATTTTAGGCCAGCCTGGGCAACGTAGTGAGACCTCCGTCTCTACAAAAAGTTTTATAAAATTGGCAGGTGCACCTGTAATGTTGGTATGCACCTGTATCTCTGGCTACTTGGGAGGCTGAGGCAGGAGGATCACTTAAGCCTAGGAGTTAAAGGATGCAGTGAGCTATGATTGTACCTTTGTGCTTCAGCCTGGGTGACAGGGCAAGACCTTGTCTCAAAAATAAAAGGAGAGAAGGTGAGCTCCTTGCTGGTGGCTGAAATGTGAACATGCTGACAAGGCTGGAACCATCTTGGATAGTTGGTGAATATATGTTGAGCCTGGCAGAGCAACAAGCTAAAAGGAGACTGCACAGCAATGGCCTTGAACTGCCTGCTTCCAAACTTCATTTACGTGTGACTAAAGAAATAAAGCTACAATTATATGGGGCTTTCTCTCACTTAAAGCTGAATTCTAATCTTAACTGATATAGGTTGTTGGGGGATAGGGAACACCCCTGGAGAATTAGAGACAATAGGGAAAGACACTCAAGAAGGCAGAACCAAGAGGGAGGTGGCTAAAGGAAGAGCCAGACTGACAACACCATTTTATATCTTCCCAAACTGTCTGTCTTAGTGAGGGGGGATGAAGGAGGAGGGACTAGAATCATCAGATTACAACACAGAGCACCTGAGTAAAGCAGGTTGTTTTGAGCCACACCAATGTCCTGAACTCTAGTATCTGAGAAAAGACATAATAGCATAGAGCCCAAGAAGCATGGTGACAGGTGTTTGAGAAAACAACCCGAAATGGCATTGGGGATGACTCCTGCTCACATTCCTCACTCCGCTCTACCCTATTTTTCTTTTTCTTCCTTTTTATTTTTTTGAGACGGAGTCTTGCTCTGTCACCCAGCCTGGAGTGCAGTGGCGCAATCTCGGCTCACTGCAACCTCCACCTCCCGGGTTCAAGCGATACTCCTGCCTCAGTCTCCTGAGTAGTGGGGACTACAGGCACACACCACCACGCCCAGCTAATTTTTTTTTAGTAGAGATGGGGTTTCACCATGTTGACCAGGATGGTTTCAATCTCCTGACCTTGTGATCCACTCACTTCAGCCTCCCAAAGTGCTGGAATTACAGGTGTGAGCCACCGCGCCTGGCCTCTACCCTATTTTTCAACACATCATGATCCAGACAGAAACTCCCCTGTTCAAAGATGAGGGATAACCAGAAAGGGAGACACGTGGAGATGCTTAGGAGAAAAGAAGATACATCACAAGAGAAATTATTCCAGACAACAGAAGAAGAGTTCAGACAAAGAATCCTACTAACTCCGAAGCTACAGATATTATGATCAACTTGGGGAAACATTTTAAAAGAGGAGTAAGAGATGAGAGAGGAGATGGTGAGACATCAAAAGGAGGCCAGGCTTAGTTGGATGAGCTCAGGAAGAAAAATAAAAGAGGAAAAACAAAATCATGACAAAGAGCCCAGCACGGCATACATTGCAGAATGATTATAACAAACTAATGAACATATCCATCACTTCACTCACTTATCATTTTTGTGTGGTGAGGACGTTTAAAATAGACTAAGCAATTTTGAAATACACAAAACATTAACTATAGTCATCATTCTGTGCAATAGATGGCTAAAATCTATTTCTCCTTTCTAACTGAAACTTTGTGCCACTTGGCCATCACCCTTTTCCCCTTCCCCCACCCTTAGCCCTGGTAACCACCATTCTATTCTCTACTTCTATGAGTTCAAATTTTTTAGATTTTATATATAAGTGAGATCATGCAGTATTTATGTTTCTGTGCTTGGCTTATTTCACTTAACAACGTGTCCTCCAGGTTCATCCATGTTGTCACAAATGACAGGATTTTCTTCTCTTTTAAGGCTATATAGTATTCCTTTGTGTATATACACCACATTTTCTTTCTTTTATCTATTGATAGACACTTGGATTGATTCCATATCTTGGCTATTGTGAATAATGCCACAATGAACATGGGAGTGCAGATGACTCTTTGACATACTGATTTCAATGGCTTTTCTCAAGGACCTCAAAGGTTCTGTGAAAACCAATAGGCCTGGCGCAGTGGCTCACATTTGTACTCTTAGCACTCTGGGAGGCCAAGGCAGGGGGATTGCTTGATCCCAGGAGTTTGAGACCAGCCTGGGCAACATAGCGAGACCCTGTCTCTATTAAAAAAAAAAAGAAAAAGACCAGCAGAACAGACAAAGACACTGGCAACCTTAATTTTTATGGCAGGCTTGATCAGTGAAAAAAACTTACTCTGAAGGCCAGACAAATGCAAAGGTCTCACAAGATGAGGATTTTTTTCATATTTGAATTATATTCTATGGAGCTCTTTTTCCTTCTCTATAGATTTTCTGTTTCATATTTAATGATGGGAAACAATAAAATTAGCTTCTCCTCTGAAAGAAAACACAGAAGGGAAGGAAGGAAGAAAGGAAGGGAAAAAAGAAGAAAAAAGAAAGCCCAGTTAAAAAAAATGATGATAATCTGTCATTTCAAAAAATAAAAGCTAAACAACAGTGAGATTTATGGACACAGAAATGTTATAATGCTGGAAATGTACAAATGATGTGACTAACATAATCTGGAGACATTAGATTGCAAAGGAGGTTTTAGGAGAAGAGAGAGCCTATTTCACGCCATTGCCCCATTTAAAGCCATCCAATGGCTTCCCATTACTCTTGGGTTAAAATCTGAACTCCTTATCAAGACCATCCTGGCTAACACGGTGAAACCCCGTCTCTACTAAAAAATACAAAAAATTAGCCAGGCGTGGTGGCAGGCTCCTGTCGTCCCAGCTACTCGGGAGGCTGAGGCAGGAGAATGGTGTGAACCTGGGAGGCGGAGCTTGCAGTGAGCTGAGATCGCGCCACTGCACTCCAGCCTGGGAGACAGAGCCAGACTCCGTCTCAAAAAAAAAAAAGAAAAAAAAAAGAAAAATCTGAATCCTTGTCAAGAGAATGAGTTATGCACTCACCTCTTCGTCTTCCTCTCACACACGGCCTCCCTGGTCTCTGAGCTCCCATACTGGCCAGCCCTCCAGTCCTGAGCCAGGCCTGCCCTGCTCTGAGCGCGTGTGCTCTCTCTTCCTTCTGCCTGGACGGCTCTGTCCCCAGAATGCTTTGATCATTCAGGTCTCAAGTCAAATATCACTTGCTCAGTTAGGCCCTCTCTGACCTGTAACCTGAACCAGCCACCCAGCTTTCCCTAGCCACACACTGTTTTATTTTCTTCATAAATACAATATGAAAAGATCTTATTCATTATGTATTTACTGGATTGTGTGTGTGTGTGTGTTTACTGGGTTTCTTCCTGCCCCTGTCACACACACACACACACATACACCCTATGAGAGCAGGGATCTTGCCTGTTTTATTATCTGGCACATACATCAGAGATTGATGTAAACTATTCGGTATATTTTTGTTTTATGAATGAATGAATGAATGAATGAATGAACAAAAAATCTATTACAGCATGGATTGAATAGACACCATCTAAAGACGAAATGTCTGCCTGAGAAAACATAAAAGCATGACACCCACCATCCTTTAATGATTTCTATGCTTTTTCTTTTCTTTTCTTTTCTTTTTTTTTTTTTTTTTTTGAGATGGAGTCTTGCTCTCTCGCCCAGGCTGGAGTGCAGTGGCACGGTCTTGGCTCACTGCAACCTCCAGCTCCCGGGTTCAAGTGATTCTCCTACCTCAGCCTCCCAAGTAGCTGGGATTACAGGCGCGCACCACCATGCCCAGCTAATTTTTTGTATTTTTAGTAGAGACGGGGTTTCACCATGATAGCCAAGCTGGTTTCGAACTCCTGACCTCAATTGATCTGCCCGCCTGGGCCTCCCAAAGTGCTAGGATTACAGGTGTGAGCCACCACGCCCGGCCGCCTTTTTTTCTTTAGAGTCATTAATTGGCAACTATTTTTTTTTTTTTTAATTTATTTTTTTATTGATAATTCTTGGGTGTTTCTCACAGAGGGGGATTTGGCAGGGTCATGGGACAATAGTGGAGGGAAGGTCAGCAGATAAACAAGTGAACAAAGGTCTCTGGTTTTCCTAGGCAGAGGACCCTGCGGCCTTCCGCAGTGTTTGTGTCCCTGATTACTTGAGATTAGGGATTGGTGATGACTCTTAACGAGCATGCTGCCTTCAAGCATCTGTTTAACAAAGCACATCTTGCACCGCCCTTAATCCATTTAACCCTGAGTGGATACAGCACATGTTTCAGAGAGCACAGGGTTGGGGGTAAGGTCACAGATCAACAGGATCCCAAGGCAGAGGAATTTTTCTTAGTGCAGAACAAAATGAAAAGTCTCCCATGTCTACTTCTTTCTACACAGACACGGCAACCATCCGATTTCTCAATCTTTTCCCCACCTTTCCCGCCTTTCTATTCCACAAAGCCGCCATTGTCATCCTGGCCCGTTCTCAATGAGCTGTTGGGCACACCTCCCAGACGGGGTGGTGGCCGGGCAGAGGGGCTCCTCACTTCCCAGTAGGGGCGGCCGGGCAGAGGCGCCCCTCACCTCCTGGGCGGGGCGGCTGGCCGGGCGGGGGGCTGACCCCCCCACCTCCCTCCTGGACGGGGCGGCTGGCCGGTCGGGGGGCTGACCCCCCACCTCCCTCCCGGACGGGGCGGCTGGCCAGGCAGAGGGGCTCCTCACTTCCCAGTAGGGGCGGCCGGGCAGAGGCGCCCCTCACCTCCCGGACGGGGCGGCTGGCCGGGCAGGGGGGCTGACCCCCCCCCACCTCCCTCCCGGACGGGGCGGCTGGCCGGGCGGGGGGCTGACCCCCCCACCTCCCTCGCGGACGGGGCGGCTGGCCGGGCAGAGGGGCTCCTCACTTCCCAGTAGGGGCGGCCGGGCAGAGGCGCCCCTCACCTCCCGGACGGGGCGGCTGGCCGGGCAGGGGGGCGGGGCGGCTGGCCGGGCAGGGGGGCTGACCCCCCCCACCTCCCTCCCGGACGGGGCGGCTGGCCGGGCGGGGGGCCGACACCCCAACCTCCCTCCCGGACGGGGCGGCTGGCCGGGCGGGGGGCCGACCCCCCCACCTCCCTCCCGGACGGGGCGGCTGGCCGGGCAGAGGGGCTCCTCACTTCCCAGTAGGGGCGGCCGGGCAGAGGCGCCCCTCACCTCCCAGACGGGGCGGCTGGCCGGGCGGAGGGCTGACCCCCCCACCTCCCTCCCGGACGGGGCGGCTGGCCGGGCAGAGGGGCTCCTCACTTCCCAGTAGGGGCGGCCGGGCAGAGGCGCCCCTCACCTCCCGGACCGGGCGGCTGGCCGGGCGGGGGGCTGACCCCCCCACCTCCCTCCCGGATGGCACGGCTGGCCGGGCAGGGGGCTGACCCCCCACCTCCCTCCCGGATGGGGCGGCTGGCCGGGCGGGGGGCTGACCCCCCCTCACCTCCCTCCCGGACGGGGTGGCTGCCGGGCGGAGATGCTCCTCACTTCCCAGATGGGGTGGCTGCTGGGCGGAGAGGCTCCTCACTTCTCAGACGGGGCAGCTGCCGGGCGGAGGGGCTCCTCACTTCTCAGACGGGGTGGTTGCCAGGCAGAGGGTCTCCTCACTTCTCAGACGGGGCGGCCGGGCAGAGACGCTCCTCACCTCCCAGACGGGGTCTCGGCCGGGCAGAGGCGCTCCTCACATCCCAGATGGGGCGGTGGGGCAGAGGCGCTCCCCACATCTCAGACGATGGGCGGCCGGGCAGAGACGCTCCTCACTTCCTAGATGTGATGGCGGCTGGGAAGAGGCGCTCCTCACTTCCTAGATGGGATGGCGGCCGGGCGGAGACGCTCCTCACTTCCCAGACTGGGCGGCCGGGCAGAGGGGCTCCTCACATCCCAGACGATGGGCGGCCAGGCAGAGACACTCCTCACTTCCCAGACGGGGTGGCGGCCGGGCAGAGGCTGCAATCTCGGCACTTTGGGAGGCCAAGGCAGGCGGCTGGGAGGTGGAGGTTGTAGTGAGCCGAGATCACGCCACTGCACTCCAGCCTGGGCACCATTGAGCACTGAGTGAACGAGACTCCGTCTGCAATCCCGGCACCTCGGGAGGCCGAGGTTGGCGGATCACTGGCGGTTAGGGGCTGGAGACCGGCCCGGCCAACACAGCGAAACCCCGTCTCCACCAAAACCAGTCAGGCGTGGCGGCGCGTGCCTGCAATCGCAGGCACTCGGCAGGCTGAGGCAGGAGAATCAGGCAGGGAGGTTGCAGTGAGCCGAGATGGCAGCAGTACAGTCCAGCTTCGGCTCCGCATGAGAGGGAGACCGTGGGGAGAGGGAGACGGAGACGGAGACAGAGACGGAGGGAGACGGAGAGGGAGAGGGAGAGGGAGAGGGAGAGGGAGAGGGAGAGGGAGAGGGAGAGGGAGAGGGAGAGGCTAATTGGCAACTATTATTTCACCGTGTGGAGACTTTCTTTTTTTTTTTTTGTAAATCTTTTTTTGGAGATAGGGTCTTGTTTTGTTGCCCAGTCTGGTCTCAAACTCTTGGCCTCGAGTGATCCTGCTACCTCGGCCTCCCAAAGTTCTAGGGATTAAAGATGTGAGCTGCTGCACCTGGACCCAGTATGAAGCCATTTTTCTAAAGATAAGCAACTCTTTCAGCTTTGTTTCAACTTATTTTTCTTGTTAAATATTCAATACCATTTTTATTTTTAAAGGCATAAACACTATGATCTCATTTTTGTAAAAAGTATTTCTCTACCCTTCTATCTGCAAATTTATTTATTCAACAAATGTTTATTGAGCATCTACTATGGGCCAGGCATTGTTCTAACCATCGGGGCAGAGCAGTGGGAAAAACAGACAGTAATCCTTGCCTTCATGCAACTTACATTTTAGTGGGGGATACAGACAAAAAGTTAAAAAGAAGCGAATAATTGCAGAGAATGCTTTCAGGTAATGGTAAGTATTACGAAGAAGAATTGAGTCAAGGGGTAGAGAATGATAAGGGGTAGCAGCTGGGACCGAGTTTAGGTGGAGGGGTCAGAGCCAGCTACTGCAAGATGTATTTGAGCGTGGACTTAAAGTGTGGGAAGAGGAAAGCTGTGAAAAACTTTAGAAGAGCATTCCTGGCAGGGAAAGGAGAAAATGTAAAGGCCTTGGGCAGAAATAAGCTTGATACGTTCAAGAGTAGAAAGAAGGACATTGTGACTGTTGTTTACTGGACCTTTATGTAACTGCAAGAATTTTTTATTCTATTTTATTTTTTGAGACAGGGTCTCATTTTATCACCCATGCTGGAATGCAGTGGCATGATCTCAGCTCACTGCAGCCTCAAACTCCTGGGCTGAAGGGAGCCTCCTACCTCAACCTCCTAAGGAGCTGGTACTACAGGTGCAAGCCACCAGACCTGCCTAACTTATTTTTATTTTTACTTTATTATTATTATCTTAGAGACAGAATCTTGCTCTGTTGTCCAGGCTGGAGTGCAGTGGTGCAATCATAGCTCACTGCAGCCTCGACCTCCTGGGCTCAAACAATCCTCCCACCTCAGCCTCCTGAATAGCTGGGACTATACATGCACACCACCACACCTGGCTAACTTTTTTATGTTTTGTAGAGGTGAGATCACACTAGGTTGCCCAGGCTGGTCTTAAACTGCTGGGCTCAAGCAATCCTCCCACCTCAGCTTCCCAAAGTACTGGGATTACAGGTGTGAGCCACTGCACCTGGCCAAGAATTTTTAATTCTAAATATGGTGGGAAGTCACTGAAATAATTTTGATGGGAAAGGGGATTATGTTTTTTAAAACACTCTGGCTACTGTGTAGAGAATACAACTGATGAGGCAAAAATGGAAGTGGAGAGAATATTCAGAAGGCTAATCTAAGCAAGAAATAGATGATAACCTGGACCATAATGACAGTAGTCAAGGTAAGATTCCAATGTATTTCCAAGCAGAGTCAGTATAAGTGGCTGATGCAGGGAGTGAGATAAAGAGAAAGATTGTGGATGAGTCCCAGGTTTTGGCCCAAGCAATTGAATCAATTCTGGTAATATTTGCCAATTTGGGAAAGCAGAGGAGAGAAGAAGCAAATTTTAAGAGTAACCTCTGTAAGACTGACGTTCACCGGTTGATAACGATGGTTATGTCTGGATGACAAAGTGTGGGGGTAGCAGTTTTTTTTTCTTTGTACTTTTCTATGTTTGCATTTTTATAAGAAAGGTATTTCATTTTTACATAAATGAAGTCATTTTACATAAATTAAGTCATTTAAAAAATGAACTTTTTAAAAGGTAGCCTGAAGAATGGTAACCAGATTAAAGGCAGTTTTCACAATGTATGAAGGCTGAAGTGAGGGCAGCATTACGATACTGTAGAAAGCTTCCCAGACTTTGGGGAAAGCCAATTTAGGCCGGGCGTGGTGGCTCATGCCTGTAATCCCAACACTTTGGGAGGGCAAAGTGGGTGGATCACGAGGTTAGGAGTTTGAGACCAGCCTGGCCAACATAGTGAAACCCTGACTCTACTAAAAATACAAAAACAATTAGCTGGGCTTGGTGGTGGGCACCTATAGTCCCAGCTACTTGGGAGGCTGAGGCAGGAGAATCGCTTGAACCTGGGAGGCAGAGGTTGCAGTGAGCCGAGATCACACCACTGCACTTCACCCTGGGCAACAGAGTGAGACTCTGTCTCAAAAAAAAGAAAAAGAAGAAGAAAAAGAAAGCCAATTTAATCTCCAGTTATGCTAAATATAGGATTTTTTTTTCTTTTTTCTTTTGGTGCCTTGACTCAGATATAAACAAATATAAGTTATATGATCTGGGTAGATCATTTAAATTTTAGTGGTTCCCACATATGTAAATGGGATGTACAGGTCTCTCAAGAAAAATGGACAGAGTCAGGTGCAGTGGCTCATGCCTGTATCCCAGCAATTTGGGAGGCTGAGGTGGAAGAATCGCTTGAGCCCAGGAGTTTGAGACCAGCCACCAGCCTGGGCATAGTGAGACACCATCTCTACAAAAAATTAAAAGTTAGCTGGGCATGGCGGTGGCTGCCTGTAGTCCCATCTACTCAGGAGATTGAGGTGGGAGGATCACTTGAGCTCGGGAGGCGGATGTTGCAGTGAGCTGAGATCACGCTACTGCACTGCAGCCTGGGTGACAGAGTGAGATTCTGTCTCAAAAGAAAAAAGAAAAGAAAAATGGACACAATTTGTATCTGTCAGTCTCTACTCACCCCGGGGACTGGAGGCAGATGGGCAGCATTAGGCATGGATGCCTGTTAGAAATCCCAGTGGTGATGGGAGATAAGCAGTAGAAATGAAATTCTAGAGTTCAGAGAAGCAGAAGCAAGAGAAATACATTTGAAAGTTACCAGCTTATAGTGGGATTTGTAAATGAGATCGTCTGGGAGTAGGTGCATGGAAAGAGAAAGAGAAGAAATTCAAGGACAGATCCTGGGTGATTCCAATAGGTCAGGGTGATTAGGAGGGACCACCATGCTCTTCCCTCTCAAAAACTCTCCCCATTCCACCCCAAGCTTCTCTACCCCCTTCATCTGGTTAACATTTCCTCATTAGGATCTCAGATCTCAGTTCAGACATAACTTCATTTGGTTTTTCATTTATTCAGCACATTGTACTGGGATTAAGTGGTGAACAGTAGGATAAAATAGTCTTGGCCTTCATTGAGCTTAGCTTCTACTGGGAGAGGCAGTCCATAAACAAGAAAGCGAATAAACAAGGTAATTACAGATTGGCAGCCCAATACTGACTGAAATAAGCAGGATGATCAGACAGCATGACCAGGGAAAGTTCCAGAAGAGATGATTGAGAAAGTTCTCTCAGTGTTGTTGACCGTGGTGCTAAGACCAGAAGTATGAGATGGATGGGAAAGAGAATTGGAAAGGGCTTGGTCTGGCTTGAGGACTGACTTTCCTTGCCTTCCAGACTTTGCTGGGTTCCCTTTGCTCCACCCCTCTCATAACACTTAAAATCCAAATATCTCTCAAAGAGTGATTGGTGATTTGAACTAAGCTGAACTCTTTTTTTTTTTTTTTTTTTTTTTTCAAGACGGAGTCTCACTCTGTCACCCAGACTGGAGTGCAGTGGTGCAATCTCACTAACTGCATCCTCCATCTCCCAGGGTTAAGCGATTCTCCTGCCTCAGCCTCCCAAGTAGCTGGGATTACAGGCACACGCCACCACACCTGCCTAGTTTTTGTATTTTTAGTAGAGACAGGGTCTCACCATGTTGGCCAGCCTGGTCTTGAACTCCTGACCTCAAATGATCCACCTGCCTTGACCTCCCGAAGTGCTGGGATTACAGGTGTGAGCCACCGCACCCAGCCTGAACTCTTGATTCATTTATAGGTGCAGTCAACTAACATTTATTGAGCAGGGTTAAATTATATCAAGACTTCTCTGCAGAGTTACTGCTGGGGATATAAAGAAAGAAATCTTAAAACTATGATAAGTAGAGTTCTGGTTTGGGAAGGTTGGTTCATTTGCCTACACAGGGCTGGCATTCTCTCTCTCTCTCTCTCTCTCTCTCTCGCTCGCTTGCTCTCTGTCTCTCTCTCTCTCTTGCTTGCTCTTTTGCTCTTGCTCTCACCCTCTCCCTTCCCCTTTCTCCTCTCTCCTTTGTCTAGGTCTAGGGAAAGAAGACAAAGGAAAGAGGACAATTGCCCCCATGTCCCTACTTAAGGGTAAATATCCTTCTGTCTCCTTCCAACCCTTTCCAGATTTGAACGTACTCTCTTTGCTAATCTGTCTCTGGTGGCTTCCTACCCTTGTTCCATATCTGAATTCACTGAAATGCATTGAGCAGGACGTTAGGCTAACTGTGCCAGAGTCCAGGCCCTCCTCCACCACTTACTAGTTATGTGACTCTGGGAAAATTTCTCTTCTAAAATGAAATTACGGTACCCTCCTCCTTGGGAGGAATAAATAAAGAAGTAGTTGGTACTCTGTAAGGCAACATAGAATTGTAAAGTGTTATTAATATTTGCCTAAGGCAGAATGGAGATGCATCTGTCCAGGCGGGGACAACATTGAGGACACTGAGAACCCAGAAAGAAGGAAATGCCTAAAATTAGGGTGAGGAGGAGAAGAAACAGAAAGAACTCTGATGATACCATTTGGTCCAGACCTATACAGCCATTTGCAGGGCTAGCTGCCCAAGATTTGAATCAAGACCTTGGAAGGATGTCAGACAATGAAGCTTTCTGTTCCAGCCTCTCCCCAGGAGCCCCAGTTGTGTGGGTATTTGGGGGTGTATTTGTTTCCTATTGCTGTGGTTAAAAAAATGAGCACAAATTTTAAAACAACACAAATGTATTATCTTACAGGTCTAGAGATCAGAAGTCTGCAATGGGTCTCATTGTACTAATATCAGGGTGCCGGCAGAGCTGTGTTCCTTGCTGGATGTCCCAGGGAGCATGCGTTTCCTTGCCTTTTGCAGTTTTTAGAGGGTGTTCACATTCTGTAGCTCGTGGTACTCTTCCACCATCTTTGAGGCCAGTGAGACAGGTCTCACTCTGTCACCAAGGCTGGAGTGCAGTGGCATGACCGTGGCTCACCTGCAGCCTTGACCTCCTGGACTCAAGCGATCCTCCCACCTCAGCCTCCTGAGTAGCTGAGACCACAGGTATGCACCACCATGCCTGGCTAACCTTTGATTTTTTGTAGAGATGGGGTCTTGCCATGTTGCCCAGGCTGGTCTCAAACTCCTGGGCTCAAACAATCCTCATGCCTTGGCCTCCCAAAGTGCTTGGATTACAGGTGTGAGCCACCACGTTGGGCTGCAACCTTCATTTTTTCTGCAAACTTCATTCCCCTTTGCCATGTAACATAACATTTCAGTTTCCAAGGATTAGGGTGTGGACACTTTTGGGAGGGTCACTATTGTGCATACCACAGTGGGAGACAGGACTCTAAAAATAATCTTGTTAGTTTCACTCCCGCAGATCCTCCAGCCAGCCCTCTCTGACCTCCCAAAACTAGGTGAGGTGAACCTGCTTGGTGGTCCTATGTGGTTATATTCATCACTCATCCCTCTGTGTTGTGCTTGTTTCCTTTTCTGTATCTGTGAGGAGAGAGACTGCTTTTTCACTCTTAATTGTGTCTGTTTCTTCACTGGAATATAAGCACCACATGGGCAGGATCTTTGTTGGTTTTGTTGTAGATTGAAAAAGGACATTATATGTAAAGCCTTTGGCTTTTAGTAGTAAAGACTTTACTATATTTGTTGAATGAATGACTTTTATCCCCATCACCTGGCATGGTCTCTAGCACAAAGTAGATGCTTAATGATGTTGTTGCTGCTATTTCTACTACTACTAATATTTATTGAGCCCTTGCTATGTGCTAGGCACTGTGAAAAAGGCCTTACATACAACATCTTATTTAATCCACACAACAACCCATAGGGAGGAGCTATATTTCCCTATCCTATACAGAAAGAAACTGAGGTTTAGGGAAGTTAAGTCATTTGCCCAAGGTCAAATGGCCTAAGAAAGGGTTGCACTTGGATTTGAAATCATATCCCTCTGACACTGAAGGCCATGAACCTTTTACTTCTAGTTGCTTTGAGAGGCGATGTATGCCCTCTGGCTTGCAGGCATCACTCTGGTACTCTGTGGAATTCCAGGGAAGGCATAGCTACCTCATCCCTGATACTTCTCATTGACAGAGGATATTCCCTGTTTACAAGAATCCACTGTGCAAACAGGTAGAGAGGGTGCATTCCTCTCCCGGAGAATGGGATTCATCTGTTTGGCATGAGTGAGGCCCCATAAAGAACCATAGGCACACTGGGGAGTTACTAAGCCAAGCCCTCAGTAATGACAGTAGATACTGTCCTAGATCAAAGGCTTAATGTGTGACAGCCTTAGTGATGCCTTGATTCCTACCTTTACCACCTGGGGGGACAGGCTCTCCTCAGAAAATTATGGGATTTGAGCTGTGGGTATAGGCAGCAGATGTTTGGTACTGCCAGTTTAGTTCTTATCAGGGCCAACCCTCTGTGACTATCTGGGCCACCTCTCTGTGAGCCGGACTGGCCTGGCCACATAGTGTTCACCCAGTATATCCAAGATGGAATCGCTGTCTTTACTGACTGGTTATAAAAACATAGGATTTTCTTGGGAAAGTTTGCTAAAGACGGAGCAGCAGGATGCAAGGGGGAAAGTCAATAATGGATTTGTGTGTTCATTCATTCACTCACTCATTCATTCAACAAATGTTGAGCACCTGTGCCCAGCTCTATGCTAGGGGGCTGCAGATCACCCTGGAGAGCAAGAGCAGTGTGCCAGCAGGGCTGCACTCTACCCTGACACCCAACACCTAACATGGTGAGTAGTGCATAACAGAGAAAGTGATAGGAATTGGAGGTACAAAGACTGATTGTAGCAGCAACTACAAGGGGAGGTAAGGAAGACCCAGAATTTGAGCTGGATTGAGCTACCTAGGGAAATAGCATGAGTGAAAGCAGGAAGGCAGGGGCATTCTCCAAAGATAGTAGGTGGAGCAACAGTGCTGCACTAGAATGAGGGACAGGATGACAAGTTACAACTGGACTTGGTAGCAAGGACAAAAAGGCTATCTGAGGCATTTGAATTTTACACGACAGTACATGAATGTTCATTGAAACTTTGCTTTTTAAAAACAACAATTTTAGGCCAGGCGCAATAGCTCATGCCTGTAATCCCAGCACTTTGGGAGACCGAGGTGGGCAGATGATCTGAGGCCAGGAGTTCGAGACTAGCCTGGCCAAAATAGTGAAACCCTGTCTCTACTAAAAATACAAAAATTAGCTGGGCGTGGTGGCGGGTGCCTGTAATCCCAGCTATTCTGGAGGCTGAGGCAGGAGAATCACTTGAACCCAGGAGGCAGAGGTTGCAGTGAGTGGAGATTGCACCGTTGCACTCCAGCCTAGGTGAAAAGAGTGAGACTCTCTCTCAATAAATAAACAAATAAATTTAAAAAACCAATTTTTTAAGGTCTGATTTACATACCACAAATTTCACCCTTTTTAAGTTTACAATTAAATGATTTTTTTTTTTTTTTTTTGAGATGAAGTCTCTCTCTGTCGCCCAGGCTGGAGTGCAGTGGCATGATCTCAGCTCACGGCAACCTCCGCCTCCCGGGTTCAAGAAATTCTTCTGCCTCAACCTCCTGAGTACCTGGGATTATAGGCGGGTGCCACCACACCCAGCTAATTTTTATATTTTTAGTAGAGATGGAGTTTCACCATGTTGGCTAGGCTGGTCTAGAACTCCTGATCTCAAGTGAGCCACCTGCCTCAGCCTCCCAAAGTGCTGGGATTACAGGCGTGAGCCACCGTACCCGGTAAGTTTATGATTAAATGATGTTTAGTAAAGTTATCAAGCTGACCAACTATTACCATCACCCAGTTCTAGAACATCTCCATCACTCCAATAAGATCTTCCTTGGATCCAGTTTGAGTGGCTGATTCATCCGTTAGAAAATAAATCCCTCATGCCCATTTACAGTTAATTTCCATTCCCATCCCCAACCTCAGGGGAACATTATTTTACCTTCTGTCTCTATAGGTTTACCTTTGCAGGACATTTCATATAAATGGAATTATACATTATGTGTTTTTTTCATGTCTGGCTTCTTTCACTTTGCATAGTGTTTTTGAAGTTCATCCACATTGTAGCATGTAGTCGCATTTTATTCTTTTTTTTGCTGAATAGTGTTCAATTGTATGGTTATATCATATTTTATTTATTCACCAGTTGATAGACATTTAGGTAGTTTCTACTTTTTGCCTATTATGAATAATGCTGCTGTGAACATTCTGTGGGCAAGTTTGTTCTATTGGGTACATACCCAGGAATGGAATTGTTGAGTTGTATGGTAAATTTATATTTAATTCTTTCAGAGGGCTGTACTTATTTTTTATTCCCTTTTAAAAACAGCTTTATTGAGATACAATTTGCATATCATAGAATTCATCTGTTTTAAGTATGCAATTCAATGAATTTTAGTATATTTATCGAGTTGTATAGACATCACCATCACCACAATCTAATTTTAGAACATTTCTATCACTCTAAAAAGAAATTTTGTGTCCACTTGTGGTGTTTTGGGTCTGGCTTCTTTTACCAGGCATGTGTAAGATTCATTCACATTGTACAATATATTAGCACTCCACTCCTTTTTATTGTCAAATACTATTTCATTGTATGGATATGCCATATTTTGTTTATCCGCTCAGTGGTTAATGGACATTTGGGTTGTTTCCACTTTTTGTCTCTTGTGAACAATACTGCTATGGACATTTATGTACAAGTTTTTGTGTGGATGTGTGTTTTCATTTCTCTTGCATAGGTACCTAGGAGTGAAACTGTTGTATTATATAGTAAGTATATATTTAACCTTGTAAGAAACTGCTAAACTGTTTTCCAAACTGGCTGTACTATTTATTTGTTTATCTTTATTTTTTATTTTTTTTGAGATGGAGTCTCGCTCTGTCACCAAGCTGGAGTGCAGTGGCGTGATCTCAGCTCACTGCAACCTCCTCCTCTCAGGTTCAAGCAATTCTCCTGCCTCAGACTCCTGAGTAGCTGGGACTACAGGCGTGTGCCACCATGCCCAGCTAATTTTTGTATTTTTAGTAGAGAGGGGGTTTTGCCATGTTTGCCAGGATGATCTCGATCTCTTGACCTCGTGATCCACCTGCCTCGGCCTCTCAAAGTCCTGGGCTACAGGCATGAGCCACTGCACCTGGTCTGGCTGCACTATTTATGAGGGTTCCAGTTTCTCCCTATTCTCACCAACATTTGTTATTGTCTGTCTTTTTTATTGTAGCCATTCTAGTGGAGGTAAAGTATATTTCATGTGTGATTTTTGTTTGTTTGTTTTTTGAGATGAGGTCTCACTCTGTTGCCCAGGCTGGAGTGTAGTGGCATGATCATGGCTCACTTCAGGCCCCACCACCCAGGTTCAAGTGATTCTCTGCCTCAGCCTCCCTAGTAGCTGGAACTACAGGCATGCCATCACACCCAGCTAATTTTAAAAATATTTGTAGAGGTGGGGTCTTGCTATGTTGCCCAGGCTGATCTCAAACTCCTGGGCTCAAGTGATCCTCCCAATTTGGCCTCCCAAAGTGCTGAGATTATAGGCATGAGCCACCATGACTGGATCTCATGTGGTTTTAATTTGTATTTCCTTAATGACTAATGACACTGAACATCTTTAAATGTGCTTATTAGCCATTTGTATATCTATTTTGGTCAAATGTTTTGCCCATGTTTTAATTGGGTTGTTTGTTTTCTTATTGTATTGTAAGGATTCTTTACGTATTATGGGGGTATTATCGGATACATGATTTACAATTGTTTTCTCCCAGTCCGAGGCTAATCTTTTCCTTTTCTTAATGGCATCTGTTGAAAGATTTTTGAGGAAAAAAAGGACAAAATACAGCCATGCTTCAGAAAGATAGGCAGGCAGCAGTACGTGGGATGGATCAAAAGGGACAGAGAACTCTTTTTGAAAGTTGTAATAAAAGGAACAGGCACAGGCCAAGTTTTAAAAAATTCTCCAGGAATCAAAGGGTTATAAGCAGCTATTTATTGAAGCCTGTTTACAGTCCAGTTAACCAGTAAACCAGAATCAGTGAAACTACCCATCTGGGGAAGTGCAAAAAACCTTTCAAAAGGCTTTCCTGGATTAGAGAAAGAAAGGGAGTGAGGGAGGAGAGATGAGTGGCTATTCCAGAACGACATAAAGAATTTCCAGCCTTGGACGGACAGCTGGGAACGTCTTCCAATTTGGACTGGTGTTTACAAGCGGGAAGCTAGGTGGACCTTGGATTTTGGCGGGTGAAGAGGCTAGGTTGTTTAAGGAGGTGGGGCGCGTTTCAGTGGCTCTCTTTGAAAAAGCCCAGCAAGATGTCAGACCTGCTCTCAGTCTTCCTCCACCTCCTCCTTCTCTTCAAGTTGGTTGCCCCGGTGACCTTTCGCCACCACCGCTATGATGATCTTGTGCGGACGCTGTACAAGGTGCAAAACGAATGCCCCGGCATCACGCGGGTCTACAGCATTGGGCGCAGCGTGGAGGGGAGACACCTCTACGTGCTGGAGTTCAGCGACCACCCTGGAATCCACGAGCCCTGTAAGTTCTGAACAGCTCTTGAGGGTGTGTGGGGCAGGGCCTTTCCCTTGCAAATCCAGTAATTGGAGTGGTTTCTGGGGTGGTCCGTGGACGCCTCCGCCTACAAGGTATTATCTCTTTCTCAGCCTGTGCTATTTCCCTCTTAGCCCTCAAACTGCCACTGCCTCTGGGGAGCTATAACCCTCCTTCAGCCTTCAGATCTTTCCTCCTTTTTGGGTTCTGTTTGCTCAAAACTTTAATGGTAAAAGATGAGTCTTCTTCCCTGCTCATGTCCCATATCCCTTCATTTCCCCCATTTCCTTTCTTTTCCCCTTACTATTGTTCTGTCTTTCCCCACCCAATGGCTCAGGAGACATAGGCAAAAACAATGAGCCCTTCTAGTTCTGCCAGGAAACTTAGAAGGGTATAGGGGAATCTCTTCGGGGAGTGACAGTGTGGTATTCCAGAGAGAGTTTGGGGACTTGGGTGTCAGTTTTATTTACTGGATTCTTTTTTATTTTTTATTTTTTTGAGACGGGGTCTGGCTCTGTTGCCCAGGCTGGAATGCAGTGGCATGATCTCAGCTCACTGCAGCCTCCACCTCCTGGGCTCAGGTGATCCTTTCCCCTCAGCCTCCTAGGTAGCTGGGACCACAGGCATGCACCAATACGCCCGGCTAATTTTTGTATTTTTAGTAGAGACAGGGTTTCATCATGTTAACCAGGCTAATCTCAAACTCCTGGGCTCAGGCGATCCACCCACCTTGGCCTCCCAGTGTTGGGATTACAGGCGTGAGCCACCGCACTTAGCCTGGATTCCTTTTTTTAGTTTGTTTCTACTGTAAAAGCAATCCATGTTTGGATTAAAATTTAGAGATTAGATAAGGAAAAAAAATAATAAAACTCACCCCAAATCCCACCACTGTTAATGTATTGATGTATATCCTTCCAGACTTTTTTCTATGCATATTTAAACCCTGACTCAAACACATGTAATTGTTTCTATAAAAATGAAATTGTATTATAACTGCCCTTCTCATTTCACAATCTGTTATGGATAGCATCCATGTCTATAAGTGCAGATCTACATCACTGTGGTTTTGGCTGTGTAATAGCTCATTGCATGACTATGTTTAACTGTCCATATATTGATGGACATTTAAGTTGTTTCTAATTTCTCACTTCTTTCCTTACCAGTTCCTCCTTCAAACTCAACTTCAAATCTCCCTTTACCTCTTCGCTTCCACATCCCCTGCCCAAGTCCAGACTCCATCACAAGCTGCCTACATGATTGCACTGAACTCCCAACTGGTTTCTAACTTCATTTTTTTTTTTTTTTGAGATGGAGTCTCACTCTGTTGCCCAGGCTGGAATGCAGTGGTGCAATCTCAGCTCACTGAAACCTCCACCTCCCGGGTTCAAGCAATTCTCCTGCCTCAGCCTCCCAAGTAGCTGGGATTACAGGCGTGCACTACCATGCCTGGCTAATTTTTTTTATTTTTAGTAGAGACGGGGTTTCACCGTGTTGGCCAGGCTGGTCTCAAACTCCTGACCTCAAGTGATCCACCCGCCTTGGCCTCCCAAAGTGTTGGGATTACAGGCGTGAGCCACCGTGCCCAGCCAGGTCTCTAACTTCGAACTGCTGCACTCTGAATCTTCCATTTGGTACACAGATGCCAGAAAAATTTTCCTAAATCTTGACATAATCCCACTTTCCTACTTTAAAAGCCTCACACTCAATGGACTGGCCATGGGATTCAGAATATTGCATGGAGGAGGCTCATAGAAGGCCATGGGGTTACCTGGGATAATTGCCTCGCTTTGAAACTGCACTTCCATAGCAAGCAGCCTGCTGTCAATCAGATCATATGTTCACTGTGGAAGCTCGTGAGTGTTCATGGACATCATGGGGTTAGCCCCCCAACACTCCAAGCCCCCTTGTTGGTGCTCCTGTACTTTCTAGCTTTCAAGGCCTTCTTTGAAGCTTTTTCACAGGACTCTAGCCCTCACTGTTCCCTCTTTTCTCTGAAGCACTATAACTGCTATTCACCCATTCATTCCTTTAATTCATTCATTCCACAAATATTTACCAATCACCTACAATATGCAGGCACTTTTGTAGACTCTGGAAGTACAGCAGAGAATAAAACAAAGACCCTGCCCTCATGGGCCCGAATTCTAGTGGGGTAAGACTGACAATAAATGGGTAACTACGTAAATACATATTACATCAGATGGAAATAAGTGCTGTAGAGAAAACTAAATCAGGAAAAAGAGATAAGGATGGCATGGAGGAAGACAAGGAGGAGCAGGAGAGGCACTCAGGAGAGGCGTCTCCACTGAGGTGGCTTTGAACAGAGAGCTGAAGGATGGGTGTGATGGCACATGCCGTGCTGATATTGAGGAGGAAAAGATGACGGGCAGAGGGAAGAGCAAAGGCAATGCTCTGGAGCATGCTTGGCACATGTGAGGAACAGCAAGGGGGCCAGTGCGGCTCCAGCCGAGTGAATGAGGGGAGAGCAAGAGAGGAGGTCACAGCCATGTGATGGGGACACCAGGCAACAGGAGATCACGCAGGGCCTCATAGGCCCTGGTAAAGATCTGGGCTTTTACTTTGAGTCAAGTGAGAAGCCACTGGAGGGTTTTTTAAGCAGAAGGGGGAGACGATCTGTCTTAAATTTTGTAAAGATCACTCAGAACAGGGGTCAGCAAACTACAGCCCAAGGGCCAGCCACCTGTTTTGGTAAATGAAGTTTTATGGGAACATAATCACGCCCATTCACTTTTATCTTGTCCATGGCTGCTTTTGCTGGAAGAGTTGAGTAGCTGTGACAGAGACATCACGGCCCACAAAGCCTAAAGGATTTACTCTCTAGTTCTTTATAAAAAAGTTTTGCCAACCCCTGACTCTGGATAATAGACTTTAAAGGGGCTAGGCAGCTGCAGGGAGACCAAGTGGGAGATTTATTGCAATAACCTAATATTGCCAATAGTACCAAGCTTGAAGGTGCAGGGGCTTGAACCAAAATGGTAGCAGTGATTGTTATGAGAAGTGGTTGTGTTCCAGATATATTGAAAGTAGAGGCCAGCTGTGGTGGCTTATGCCTGTAATCCCAGTACTTTGGGAGGACTGCCTGAGGCCAAAAGTTTCAGACCAGTCTGGACAACATAGTGAGACTTGTCTCTGTAATAAATTTTTTTTTTAGAAAATTAGCCTCGTGTGGTAGTGTGCACTTGTGGTCCCAGCTCCTCAGGAGGCTGAGGCGGGAGGATGGCTTGAACTGAGAAATTCGAGAGGCTATCCTGAGCTATGATTGTGCCACTGCACTCCAGCATGAATGACTGAGCAAGACCCTGTCTCTAAATTAAAAAAAAGAAAAAGAAAAAAGAAAAAGGAGAGCCAAAAGAATCTGCCATTAAGCATCTGCTAAGTGCATGGCACTGTCCAAAGTTCTACAGGGCAGTGGTTCCCAGACTTACAGATTTCATAAAGAAGTTAAAAAAAGTGTTGTTGTTGTTTTTTTTTAAATAAATAGGAGACCGGAGGGAACTAAAACAGATCTTCCAAATTTTATTTTACTGAATAAGGATGTGAAGAAAACTACCTGTCATCTACTATATCCATCCTTTTCTAACAGAAAAGACATTTTAACACCAAGAAAAGTAAGAAAGACATAATCTATGATTTAAAAAAATACACTAAGATTAAAGAATACTCGCTATGGAAAATCCACCACATGATCCTTATGGATTATAAGCATTCCTTTGAGAAAAACTGCTGTAGGTATACTAAGATAAATAATAATGGATGGTGTCACAAGTTAAAAATTATGTACACTGCTAAGGCCAGGTCCGGAAAAGGAAATAGAACATATATAAAAATAGGTAAAACCCAGCCGGGTGCAATGGCTCACACCTGTAATCCTAGCACTTTGGGAGGCCAAGGCGGGTGGATCACCTGAAGTCGGGAGTTTGAGACCAGCCTGGCCAACATGGTGAAACCCTGTCTCTATTAAAAATATAAAAATCAGCCAAGTGTGGTGGCAGGCACCTGTAGTCCCAGCTAATTGGGAGGCTGAGGCAGGAGAATTGCTTGAACCTGGGAGGTGGAGGTTGCAGTGAACTGGGATTTTGCCACTGCACTCCAGACTGGGTGACAGAGTGAGACTCCATCTCAAAAAAAAAAAAAAAAAAAAAGGTAAAACCGGGGAAGTCAACAGAGAGCTCTCTCTCATCAAGGAGAACCCAAGATGACTTCACAGAGTATCATGTGAACTGGGCCTAGAAGGGTGGTGAGAAGGATTTGGAAATGAGAAGATGAAGAGGTACAGAACCAGAAAAGTCATGGACGCAGGAAAGTATTGGGTGTAAGAAAAATCATTTGGCAAGAGCTTTTCTCCTTCCTCTTAAAAGAGGGCAAGAATGATTTTCTTTAGGTGACCCCAGAAACTTTCAGATCCTCAATTCTTACCTCAAGTTGAACAGTTAACATGGCCCAAGAGAAGACTGAGGAATGAGACATAGCAGGTGCCTTCCTATTCTGTGCCTTCAGATTTGGCCTGCTTAGATTTGAAGGAGTGATTTTAGTTTTCCTGTACTTCAGTGGGGACAATGGAGAACGAGCTCAGTCCTGCCCCCAATCCTATTCTTCATGGTAGGTGGGGTGGGAGGGAGTGGGGAAAACCCCTGCCAGCCCACTGAATCTTAGATCCATCGCTGCGGAGCTGGTCACCTCTGCTCACCTGCTGTGTTCTTGTTCAGATGGAGCAAGAAACTTTTCAAGTGCCAAGAAAACTAAGTTTTCAACTGGGATCATTAGCGGCTGTTACGCTAAAACCTAGAGTACTTCATGAAAACAGGTTCTGGGGAACATCCTTATCCTGAAAGATTTGTCTCTGAGAAGCAGCATGCTACTGTAAATGGCACTGTAAGTGCCACCTGGGCTTGGGCCTCTATAGAGCCATTAGCTAGGCAACCTCAGACAAGTTACTTAACCTCTCCCATCCTTATTACCCTCACCCTGAGGCTATTAATGCCCACTTTACAAGTTTTCTGTGAATTTTAGCAGTATTGAACATAACTGTCTAGTACACTATGGGGGTTCAATACATGGCACTCATTATCATCCCTGGCATGAATTTTTGTAGGTTTTGTAACTGTAATTGGTTAGGAAGGGGCTCAGGGATTATTGCAAAAGACCCAATGAAAGCATGAGATTTTCTTTCATTCGTTACTGAAAAAGAGAAAAAAGGTCCTTCTGCAAGGTTAGGCATCAATGACACTTCCAAGCTTCCCCCATCTTTTCTCTTCCTTGCAGTGGAACCAGAGGTCAAGTATGTGGGGAACATGCACGGCAACGAAGCGTTGGGCCGCGAGCTGATGCTGCAGCTGTCGGAGTTTCTGTGCGAGGAGTTCCGGAACAGGAACCAGCGCATCGTCCAGCTCATCCAGGACACGCGCATTCACATCCTGCCATCCATGAACCCCGACGGCTACGAGGTGGCTGCTGCCCAGGTACGAGGTCCAAGGGAGATGCCGGGGAGAGATCAAGGCCTTCTTAGGAAATAAAGTCCAGTGGACAAGATTCCCTCTCTGTCCCACTGTAAATATCACAAATGTTAAAAGTAAAAGATGAAATGGCCAAGAGAAAAAATCCATCAGAAATATAAGAAAGGATGAAGAGGTGGGTTCAGTCCTACAGCACCTCAGGCAATAAACATGGGCTCTCTCTGAGCCTGCATTCCCTCAACACCTTTCCAGATGACCTCAGGGTTTTATTGTGAGGATTAATGTGGCAATATCTGTGATAACACTTTGTAACCTGGAAAATACTCAACAGATGTGGAGGGATATTGCAAAATAAAGCTCCTTTCCTGGACTTTCAGCATCAAACCCTACATACCTTTCTTTCTTCCACACTACATTTCCATTTGCATTTGTGGAGAAAATAACAAGGACAACAGGCTTTCCCCAGAACTGGGGGTAGGGGGCTAATTCTACATTCTTCATACTTTATTATATTTCCATAGAGTTGTTTCCTCTACTAGTATAGCACTTAGTCTATTGATTCTATATTTTAGAGTTATATTTGCAGTGGGACCGATAAGAAAAAATGTCTAAGGGCTTTCTTTTTTTGGGATAGAGTCTTACTTTGTTGCCCAGGCTGGAGTGCAGTGGTGCGATCTCGGCTCACTGCGATTTCTGCCTCCCAGGTTCAAGCAATTCTCCTGCCTCAGCCCTCGAGTAGCTGGGTCTACAGGCGTGCGCCACCATGCCCAGCTAATTTTTTGTAGTTTTAGTAGAGACGGGATTTCGCCAGGTTGGCCAGGCTGGTCTTGAACTCCTGGCCTCAGGTGATCCACCCACCTCAGCCTCCCAAAGTGCTGGGATTACAGGCGTGAGCCACCGTGCCTGGCAGGACTTTTTACTTTATTTTCTAACATAAATTCAAAATGTCAGCGTGCCTAACATTTGTCTTATTATTATTAGTAACATCTTAAGTGTTTCAGATCGATATGCGTAACTTTAAATCAATGGTTCTCTTCTGTGGCTGTGCATCAGAATCACAGATGAAGATTTTGAAGTACAGATTCCCAGGTCCCACCGCAGGCCTACTGAGTAGTATTGTCAAGGGTGAGGCCAGGCATCGATCTGCCTTATGCAATGGAGATGTTCCTTTAAAAGCTGTGTTTAAAAGGCAGGGTTTTCGGCCGGGCGTGGTGGCTCATGCCTGTAATCCCAGCACTTTGGGAGGCTGAGGTGGGTGGATCACCTGAGGTCGGGAGTTCGAGATCAGCCTGACCAACATGGAGAAACCCTGTCTCTACTAAATATACAAAAAATTAGCCAGGCATGGTGGCATATGCCTGTAATTCCACCTACTTGGGAGGCTGAGGCAGGGGAGTTGCTTGAACCCAGGAGGCGGAGGCTGTGGTGAGCCGAGATCGTGCCATTGCACAGTCCTGCCCACATCCTTTGCAGTAGGTGGGGTGGGAGGGAGTGGGGAAAATCCCTGCCAGTCCACTGAATCTTAGAGCCATCTCTGGGAAGCTGGTCACCTCTGCTCACCTGCTGTGTTCTTGTTCAGAGGGAGCAGATCTTGAACCTGAACCCGAGAGGACCCATCAGGTTCTCAGACTCTCAGAGATACCTGCCATGCCCAGAGGCAAGCTGTCTGCGTGGCTACACAGAGAAGAACTTCCTGGCCACCAGACTTTGAAGCCACTTGTAGGTGGCCAGAATAATGCCCCCCACCAAAGATGTCCATGTCCTAATCCTCAGAACCTATGAATATGTTATGTTACTGGGCAAGGAGGAATTAAGGTTGCAGATGGAACTAAGGTTGCTAATCAGTTGACCTTAAAATAACCTGGAGTATTGTGGGGGGGGGATGGGGCCCAGTGTAATCAATTACGAGGGTCCTTTAAATGTAGAAGAGGGAGGCCAAAGGTCACAGTCAGAGAGAGCTCTGAAGATGTTACACGGCTGGCTTTAAAGATGGAAGAGCCTTGGCTGGGCGCCGTGGCTCAGGCCTGTAATCCCAGCACTTTGGGAGGCTGAAGTAGGAGGATCACCTGAGGTCAGAAGTTCAAGACCAGCCTGACCAACATGGAGAAACCCTGTCTCTACTAAAAATACAAAATTAGCCAGGCGTGGTAACACATGCCTGTAATCCCAGCTACTCGGGAGGCTGAGGCAGGAGAATCACTTGAACCTGGGAGATGAAGGTTGCGGTGAGCTGAGATCACGCCATTGCACTCCAGCCTGGGCAACAAGAGCAAAACTCTGTCTCAAAAAAAAAAAAAAAAAAAAAAGATGGAAGAGCCAAGGAATGTGAATGATCTCTAGAAACTGGAGAGACACCTTGCTTTTAGGCCTGTGAGACCCGTTTTAGTCTTCTGACCTCCAAAACTATGAGACAATACACTCGTGCTGTTTTAAACCACTAAATTTGGGGTAATTTGTTACAGCAGTAATAGGAAACACAACACTAGCCCTGTTTATGAAACCTTCTGTTAGGGGAAGCCCCTTCCTGCCAACTTAACTATTGACCAGTGTGCAGGGAAATCAGTGGATAATGCCCATAGCTGTTTATGCTGACAGTCAAGAGTTGCCTTGATATAAATAAGCAAGCAGTGACAAGCCCCTGGAAGCATAAAGAAAATCATTATGTCACAGAAGTGTACACCAAAATGAAAGATCCAATAAATGTTTTCCACTGGAACACAACTGATGTAGGAAACTTAAAGGAACTTCAAAACAATTATGTTTTCAATAGGATCTAAAAATGAAATACAAGCAGGGTGCCATGAAAAGAGGAGAAATCTGAGAATAATACTGAATTCTTAGAAAAAAATGTAATCTGCCGCATTTTATTGGTTAGAAAAGGGAAAATATGAGAACGGCGATTCATCTGTGAGATTGTAGCTTCCCGGCATCCATTCATTCACTTCCAGGAACAGCCAACAATTTGGGCTCCACCTTCTCAGTCTACAGGGACCCAGTTGGCACTATTTCCCTTCTCCAATGCCACACAAAACATTAAATGGAATTTCAATTTTGAATGAGCCTTTTAACATATCTCTATTCTATCACTCTATGTATTTAATTATTTATGTGTGTGTCCATCTCCCCATGTGTACTATGAATTCCTAGAAGGCTAGACTACAATGTCTCACTTATCTCTTTCCCCAGTGTCTATCTGAGAGCTCTGAATAGAGAAGGACTTAAGTAAATGTTGGTTGACTAAATAGATGACCTAATGAGTGAGTGAATACATGAGCAAATAAATGATAAAATCTGAAATATGGACAGAGAAATTAAGGGATCCAGAAAGTTGATATTGCTCAAAAGAAAGATAAGTAAGCATCCTAAATTTTTTGAAGGGGGGAGGAGTGAGTTTCCATAGTGTAACCACTTTGAAAAACAGTTTAACAGTTTCTCAAAAAGTTAAACATAAGGCCGTAGTGGCTCACGTCTGTTAATCCCAGCACTTTGGGAGGTGGGTGGATCACTTGAGCCTAGAAGTTTGAGACCAGCGTAGGCAACATGGCAAAACCCCATCTTTACAAATAATTTAAAATTAGCCAGGTGTTGTGGCGCGTGCCTGTAAACACCAGCTACCAGGAGGCTGAGGTGGGAGGATCACCTGAGCCCAGGAGGTTGAGGCTGCAGTGAGCCATGATCATGCTGTTATACTCCAGCCTAGGCAACAGAGTGAGACCCTGTCTCAAAACAAAAACAAAAACAAACAACAAAAAACAGTTAAACATGGACTTAGCTTATGACTCGGCAGTTCTACTTACAGATATCTACCCAGAGGAAATGAAAACATACATCCACACAAAGACTTGTACGTGGATGTTCAAAGCAGCATTATTAACAATAGCCAAAAGGTGAAAACAACCCAAATGTCCATGAATCTCCCCCTACCACCCTTCGCCAAAATTCGCATTCACCTGAAATCTGTGACTATGATCTTATTTGGAAATACATAGTCATCCTTCAGTATCCGTAGGTGATTGATTCCAGGGCCCCCCACCAATATCAAAATCCTTGGATGCTCAAGTCCCTTATATAAAATGGCATAGTATTTGCACATAACTTATGCACATCCTCCTGTATACTTTAAATCATCCCTAGGTTACTTATGTTACCCAGTACAATGTAAATGCTATGTAAACAGTTGTTATAATGTACTGTTTAAGGAATAATGACAAGAAAAAAGTATGTACATATTCAGTACAGATGCAACCATCATAGGCCTAACTACATTTTCAATCAGAGGTTGGTTGAATCCACACATGTGGAACCCATGGATATGGAGGGCCTACTGAGGGTCTTTACGGATACAATTGAGATGAGGTCACCTAGAATCAGGATGGACTCTAAATCCAGCATAACTGGTGTCCTTGTAAGAAGAAAGAAATTTGCGAATAGAGATGCAGACAGACTGGGGAGGAGGCCATATGAAGATGAAAGCAGAAATTAGAGTGATGGGTCTAAGAGCCAAAGAATGCCAAGGACTTCCTCTGGCCACCAGAACCTGGAAGAAACAAAGAAGGGGACCAGAGAGCGTGCCGCCCATCCAGTTGACTTGATTACAACTTCTAGCCTCCAGAGAATAAATTGGAGAATAAATTGCTGTTGTTATAAACCACCTAGTTTGTGGTGATTGTTATGGCAGCCCTAGGAAACTAACACAGTTTCCTAATACTAATAGTATTAAACTAATACTAATACTGGTGAATGGATAAACAAAATGTGATAAATCCACATAATGGAACTATTCAGCAATAGAAAGAAATGAAGTACTGATACATGCTACAACATACATGAACCTCACAAACATTATGCCCAGTGTGGGGGAAAAACCCACAAAAGAACAGATAATGTATGACCCACTTATGTGATCTGTCCAGAAGAGGCAAGTCTAAGGAGAGATAAAGTTATTACCTACGCTAGGATGAAAATGAGAAGTGACTGTAAATGGGAATGAGGTGTCTATTTGGTGTGACAGAAATGTTCTAAAATTAGATTGCAATGATGATTATACAACTCCGTAAACATACTAAAATTCATTGAATTGTACATTTAAAATGAGCAAATTTTATAGTATGTGAATTATATCTCAATAAAGCTGTTCATAAAACATTGGGGTTCCCATGATCCCGAAACACCCTACTCTTATTAGAACTTCTCTTGAGATATGTACCTCTTACACGTGATCTGCAGGGAACTTGAAGTCCACCACTGTGACTTTGGATAAGTCAAAGTAGAAAATGATTCATCTTCTTGTGACGGGGACTAAAGGAAAAAAAATGCTACATCATTTGATTAAGCTAATATCTAAGAACTATACAATGTGCTTCAAATATAGGATTCATGGCTGCATGTAGTAGCTCTTGCCTGTAATCTCAGCACTTTGTTTGGTTTGTTTTTTTTAGACAGAGCCTTGCTCTGTCACCCAGGCTGTAGTGCAATGGCATGTTCTTGGCCCATTGCAACCTCACTTCCTGAGTTTAAGTGATTCTCGTGCCTCAGCCTCCCAAGTAGCTGGGACTACAGGCACACGCCACCACACCCAGCTAATTTTTGTATTTTTTAGTAGAGATGGTGTTTCACCATTTTGGCCAGGCTGATCTTGAACTTCTGACCTCAAGTGATCCACCTGCCTCCGCCTCCCAAAGTGCTGAGATTACAGGTGTGAGCCACTGCACCTGGCCTCTCAGCACTTTGGAAGGGCGAGGTGGGTGGATCACTTGAGCCCAGGAGTTTGATACCAGCCTGGGCAACCAGCCTCATCTCTACCAAAAAAAGAAAAGAATAAAGAACAATTAGCGGGTGTGGTGGTGTGTGCTTGTAGTCCCAGCTACTCAGGAGACTGAGGTGGGAGGATTGCTTGAGCCCAGTAGGTAGAGGTTGCAGTAAGCCAAGATTGTACCACTGCACTTCAGCCTGGGCAACAGTGTGAGAACCTGTCTCCAAAAAAAAAAGTTAGAAAATATAGTATTCAATCTGAAACCTTCATTTTTCATCTTTTCATTTTCCTTTAGGGCCCAAACAAGCCTGGGTATCTAGTTGGCAGGAACAATGCAAATGGAGTGGACCTGAACCGCAACTTCCCTGATCTCAATACCTATATCTACTATAACGAGAAGTACGGAGGCCCCAACCACCACCTGCCCCTTCCAGACAACTGGAAAAGTCAGGTAGGAGATGAAATTTGCAAACAAAGCAGGTAAATCAGCATCTGGAATTTCTTGCAGAAAGACTGCTAAGCCATCTTTACATCAACTAAACAAGCAAGAATTAAGCATCAACTCAACTCAGTATTAACCCATCTAGAGCAATAATATATATTTCTTCCGTGTCTTTGTATTTATTTTCTCCTCAGCATAGAGCCCTCCATGGAGCACACACTAAGTGATTTTTTTTTTTTTTTAAGACAGAGTCTCGCTCTGTCGCCCAGGCTGGAGTGTAATGGTGCGATCTCAGCTCACTGCAGCCTTCGCCTCCCAGGTCCAAGAGATTCTCCTGCCTCAGCCTCCTGAGTAGCTGGGATTAAAGATGCACACCACCATGCCCAGCTAATTTTTGTATTTTTAGTAGAGACGGGGTTTCACCGTTTGACCAGGCTGGTCTCAAACTCCTGACTTCGTGATCTGCCTGCCTCAGCCTCCCAAAGTGCTGGGATTACAGGCGTGAGCCACCGTGCCTGGTTAAATGTTTGATATTAGTGGTGATTGTGGTGAAGGATATGAAAGCAGTATCATTTGGTTGCATGGTTCTTAACAATTTTCCAGAATTATTTCACAGCCAGTTTCAGTTGATCATGACATCATGTGAAATGCACCAAGCAGTGTTATCCATCTCTGTTTTATAGCTATTACACTTAGAGAGAAAATAATTTACATTCTCACAGGTAGTGATTGATGGAATCGGGATGAAGATGCAGGCCTTCTGATTCTTATTCCAACATTCTTTCTACTACACTAGACTGTGGACAGAAGCATTCTATAGAGACGTCTGTCTTACTCGTGATAAGCTGTGTGCTTACCAACAATTAGCTATAGAAAGAGGCTCAGGCTGGGTGTGGTGTCTCACACCTGTAATCCCAGCACTTTGGGAAGCTGAGACGGGAGGATTGCTTGAGGTCAGGAGTTTGAGACTAGCCTGGGCAACACAGTGAGGCCCCATCTCTACAAAATAAAAATACAAAATTTAGCTGGGTGTAGTGGCACATGTCATAGACTTAGCTATTTGGGAGGATCCCTTGAAGGAGTTTAAGAGTTCAAGGTTACAGTGAACTATTGTCCTGCCTGCTCCAGCCTGGGTGACAGAGCAAGAGACCCTGTCTCCAAAACAAACAAACAAAAAAAAAGTTCAAGGAATCTAACCCTTAGTTTTCGGGACTGGGCGCGGTGGCTCACGCCTGTAATCCCAGCACTTTGGGAGGCCGAGGCGGGCGGATCACGAGGTCAGGAGATCGAGACCATCCTGGCTAACATGGTGAAACCCCATCTCTACTAAAAATACAAAAAATTAGCCAGGCGTGGTGGCGGGCGCCTGCAGTCCCAGCTACTTGGGAGGCTGAGGCAGGAGAATGGCATGAGCCTGGGAGGCAGAGGTTGCAGTGAGCTGAGATAGTGCCACTGCACTCCAGCTTGGGTGACAGAGCGAGACTCCGTCTCAAAAAAAAAAAAAAAAAAGTTCAGGGAATCTAACCCTTAGTTTTTTCTTTTCCCTTTCTTTCTTTTTTTTTTTTTTTGAGACAGAGTCTTGCTCTTTTACCCTCCAGGCTGGAGTGCAGTGGCACAATCTTGGCTCACTGCAACCTCTTCCTCCTGGGTTCAAGCGATTCTCCTGCCTCAGTCTCCTGAGTAGCTGGGATTACAGGCACGTGCCACCACCCCTGGCCAATTTTTGTATTTTTAGTAGAGACAGGGTTTTACCATGTTGGTCAGGCTGGTCTCGAACTCCTGGCCTTGTGATCTGCCCACCTCAGCCTCCCAAAGTGCTGGGATTACAGGTGTGAGCCACCACACCTGGCCCCTTTTCCCCTTCTATATGACCTTTGACTACTTTATCATTACTATACCCTCCCTGATTTCCCTTACTCTTCCAATCAGAGGATCCCATTCCATATTCCTAGGCCTCACTCTCCAAGAGGCCTATAATGGAAGTCCTTGGTAATGTGAGTGGTTTCACCCTGCTGGTGGGCCTGCTCCTGAAAATAACTAGGCATTCTCTAAGCATCACTGCCACCCCTGGTGATCACGCTGTGTGGGATAGTTTGAAATGTTCTATTTGTGAATGTCTAAATTTAGAGACTGGGGAAAGAAAAGCAAAGCAGGTGTAAGCCTTTTAATTGGGAGTTTCCCAAATGGAGTATTCTGGGGTTTTTTTCTCCCTTGAAAATGAAGCAAAAGCCATGCTGACATGTTAGATTTCAAACAGCAACTATCCTCTTGGTTCAAGTAAATAGTAAATAAAAAATAACTTTGTAAGGCTGGGCGCAGTGGCTCACACCTGTAATCCCAGCACTTTGGGAGGCAGAAGCGGGCAGATCAGCTGAGGTCAGGAGTTCGAGACCAGCCTGGCTAACATGGTGAAACCCCATCCTACTAAAAATACAAAAATTAGCCAGCTGTGGTGGTGGGCGCCTATAATCCCAGCTACTTGGGAGGCTGAAGCAGGAGAATTGCTTGAACCCAGATGGCGGAGGTTGCAGATGGCATCACTGCACTCTAGTCTGGGCGACAGATCAAGACTCCATCTCACAAAAAAACCAAAACCAAAACCAAAAAGCAAAGAACTTCGTGTTAGTCAGGATATCCAACCAGAAGAATGTTCTGATGTAATAAACTTGTTTCTCTAAGTAAAATAAGGTAATTGAATCAATGATAACTAGGCTCCCACTCAATCCTCTGTCTAAATTTTAGGGGGAAAAGCAAAGAGGTTTCCCTCGCTCCTGATGGAATATCCTTGAGGAAGAGGAACAGTGAAAAGCTGGCCTTGTTCTGATAGAGGCTTAGGACACAAAGACAGAACTGCCCCAGAGGGTCTGAGCCCTGGTCACAGACCAAGACTGGTGCCCTCGCAATTATATTCATTCTGATTAAGACTCAACCCTATTTATCCAGTCCCCTTGGGATGGAAAAGATGGAGCCTGTAGAGCTGACCTTGGTCCAGAAGGAGCCATTAACACAGTAACACTACATAATCTCTAAACTTGTTCATCCTGAGAGGAGGAAAAATGCTGTAGACTGTAAATTATTTACTTACACTGCAAGTCCCAGTGGATTCAAGGCTTTCTTTGGAATATTGTCACTCACTAGCAATATAATATGCAATAGAAAGGTGGAATTTCACTGCTTAGCCAAGACTGGCCCATCTGACAGTATGTCTAACCCATGAAATTTGGATTTGACCACAGGAGTGTGTTCTACATGTCAATATTACAGCAGGGAGGAAGGAGGTTGAAAACCATCACTGTAAACTAGCATTTTTAAGATTGATTTATTGGAGTCCTAAATTTCTGCTAAGATGACTTAGAAGTCACTGGAGCAGTGGGTAAAATGGGAAACCCTTTTCTAGGGTCCAGAGAGAGGCCAAGTTGGGGCTCTGAGCTCTCCAATCATGATATCTCTTCATACAGAACTTCTCTTTTTTGGCTGGGAATGGTGGCTCACGCCTGTAATCCCAACACTTTGGGAGGTGGAGATGGGCACATTGCTTGAGGAGCTCAAGACCAGCCTCAGTAACATGGCAAAACCCCATCTCTACAAAAAATACAAAAATTAGCCAGGTGTGGTGTTGCATGCCTGTAGTCCCAGCTACTAGGGAGGCTGAGGTAGGAGGATCGCTTGAGTCCGGGAGGTGGAGGCTGCAATGAACTGAGATTGCACCACTGCACTCCAGTCTGGGTGACAGAGTAAGATCCTGTCTCAAAAAACAAAACAAAAAAAAAAACTTCTCTCTCTCTCTCCCTTTCTCTCTCAACAGACTTTATTTTTTAGGGTAGTTTTAGGTTCACAGCAAAATTGAGCAAAAAGTACAGAGTTCTCATATACTCCCCACCCCACTCCACCCACCCCACCATCAACATCCCACCCCAGAGGGGTGTGTTTATCACAGTCAGTCATGAACCTACCTTAACTCACCATGAGCGCTCCCAGTCCATACTTACCTTACTGCTCTCTTGGTATTGTGCATTCTATGGGTCTCAACAAAGGTATGATGATATATAGCCACCATTATGGTATCATACAGAATAGTTTCCTTGCCCTAAATGCTCTCTCTTTACCTCTTTTGTATATTGGGATTCCACATAAGATTTCATTTTGAAAAAAGTTCTATACACGCCATTGTTGAAACCATCATTCCAAAGGTCAACATTTCCCCATCTCCACTTTTCATATCCGCCAGGACGCTCAATGTTTCATTCAGACATTTTATCTCCTCAGGCCACTTCCTGACAGACTTACTCTAACCGCCGTTTGTTTGGTAGCCCCAGTTGGCCCTTCACCGCCAACCTCTCGCCTCCTCCCAGGTGGAACCCGAGACCCGGGCGGTGATCCGGTGGATGCACTCCTTCAACTTTGTTCTTTCAGCCAATCTCCACGGAGGGGCGGTGGTGGCCAATTACCCGTATGACAAGTCCTTTGAGCACCGGGTCCGAGGGGTCCGCCGCACCGCCAGCACCCCCACGCCTGACGACAAGCTCTTCCAGAAGGTATGTGGAGAAGCAGCTTGTCCCGCCAGGGGAACTTGGGGCTCAGGAGGTGAGCTTAAGGTCAGTAACACAGAACCCTTTTCAGTGCGAGGCCACAGAAAATAATTGAAAATACCGCTTGTTTGTGAGGAGCTTACAGTCTAGTAAATGACATTTGGTTTTGAATGATAAGCCATAGATTCATAACAAAGTAAATACAAAGAAAGCTTCATAGTAATTACCACGATGCAGAAAATACTTAGGCTAATGATGAGCAAGAAATATGCCCGAAGACTAATAGCACGAGTGTCATTAAATGTGAATTTTTGGGGGGGTCTAAAGTAGAATTTTATGATAATAAATCCATATTAATGAAAAATAGACTGTGATAGTATTAGGTGGGGCCTTAAAGAAAAAAAGAAAAATAGACTACATGAAAAAGGTTTAAATAACAGTTCAAAACGATATGTTAACATTAATTTTATATTAATATATAAAATGGCATAATATAATAAATTTGTAATTATTGGCCTGGTGCGGTGGCTCACGCCTGTAATCCCAGCACTTTGGGAGGCCGAGGCAGACGAATTGCCTGAGGTCAGGAGTTTGAGACCAGCCTGCCCAACATGGCGAAACACTGTCTGTACTAAAAATAAAAAAATTAACCAGGCACGGTGGTGGGTGCCTGTAATCCCAGCTACTTGGGAGGCTGAGACAGGAGAATCACTTGAAGCTGGGAGGCGGAGGTTGCAGTGAGCCAAGATTGTGCCACTGCACTCCAGCCTGGGTGACAAGAGTGAAACTCCGTCTCAAAAAAAAAATTATATACTAATATATTAATATATAATATATCTATATAATTTAAATAAACATTAATGATATTAAGTATTAATCATTAATGAACTACATGGTGAATAGCACATTGTTTTTTTCTCCATTGATCTCACTTTGTCCACTGTATAGTAAATAGTAATGAAGGAGAATTATAGAGTTCAAATATATTCCTCTCCCTGCAACGCACGACTCTCACCCCCTAAATATGCATTACTTTTACTGGAGAAGTCTTGCCTTACTTACTCCTTGATTTCTTTGACAAAATTCGGCTAGAAAATGGCACAAAAACAAGGGACCTTCAATATCATCTAGTGCAACTCCTCACTTTGCACAAGAGAAAACTCAGCCCCAAGATAGTGACAAAATCAGAATACAGATCTCCTAACTCTAGTCTACCACACATACACTCTCTTAGACACACAGTCACATTCACACACATGCATTCACACATACCCACCTACATATACACACATACACACACACATACACACGCTGTTTCTATCCCTGATCCTATTTTCTTTCACTAAAGCAAATAATCCACTGTTTATATACCCAGCAGGGCTTCTTGGCTTCAACCTAGTTGTGAGTAGGAGCATTGCCATTTGAGTTGGGAATCATCAAGGTCGTTTTCCTCCTGCTTTTCCTCTAGCTGGCCAAGGTCTACTCCTATGCACATGGATGGATGTTCCAAGGTTGGAACTGCGGAGATTACTTCCCAGATGGCATCACCAATGGGGCTTCCTGGTATTCTCTCAGCAAGGGTAAGGGGAGTCCTGGGAACTGCTCAAGCTGAAGTGGAATAGTGCTCATTTCTCCTTCTAAATTCCCAGTTTTCTCAGGGAAACAATGGGAATAGCATAGAATTTTGCACTCAAGTTGAGATCTGGAAAATGAGGAAGTCTCAGGTTGGCATTTAGTGATCATATTGTGATTCTTTAAAACTAAGGTGGGGATGGCTGGGCACAGTGGCTCACGCCTGTTATCCCAGCACTTTGGGAGGCCGAGGAGGGTGGATCACGAGGTCAGGAGATCGAGACCATCCTGGCTAACACAGTGAAACCCCGTCTCTACTAAAAATATGAAAAAATTAGCCGGGTGTGGTGGCGGGCGCCTGTAGTCCCAGCTACTCGGGAGGCTGAGTCAGGAGAATGGCATGAACCCGGGAGGCAGAGTTTGCAGTGAGCCATGATCGCATCACTGCACTCCAGCCTGGGTGACAGAGTGAGACTCCGTCTCGAAAAAACAAAAACAAAAACAAAAAATAACTAAAGTAGGGACACCTTTTGGTCCTGTAAAACTGGTGGTTTACACAATAGATTAGGGCATAGGAGGAAAATAATGTAGTCATTTGTGGTATCTGAGAGTAGATTGGGTTGAAACTCTCATGCCCATTTACTAGTCATGTGGCTCTGGGATGGATAATTACTTATTCTCTCTGTGCTTTGGTTTCCTCATCTGTAATTAAGAATAATAAGGCCAGGCATGGTGACTGATGCCTATAATCCCAGCACCTTGGGAGGCCGAGAAGGGAGAATCTCTTGAGGCCAGTTGTTTGAGACCAGCCTGGGCATCATAGCAAGACCTCATCCCTACCAAAAAAAAAAAAAAGAAAAATTAGGTGGGCATGGTGGTGCACACCTGTAGTCCCAGCTAATGGGGAGGCTGAGGTGGGAGGATCACCTGAGCCCAGGAAGTCAAGGCTGCAGTGCAGTGAGCCAAGATTGCACCACTGCACTCCAGCCTGGACAACGGAGTGAGACTCCAAAAAAAAAAAAAAGAAAGAATACTTGCCTCGTAATTTTAATATGAGTATTAAATAAAATAATACACATAAGGCATTTGGAAATGCCTGGCTTATAAATGGTGTAACTGTATTTTAAAAAGTAGCACAGTAGTATGCCTCACACAACAACAGATGAGCAGAGGAGCTGGCCTGGGCACAACCAGTTCCCCTGAGATACATTCCCTGGACCCTAACTGCCAGGCCCCCACAAGCAGGGGTTTGCCATGGACATTGGCCATTGATAATGTAACCTTCAAGAGCAGAAACCTCCACAAGAGACTTCTGTCTCTATCCCCTGGGCCTTCCCCATGACCAGGGGTCAAGATAGAACCTCCGTTTATGAGCCTTCACTGGATTGAAGAATAGAGAAGAGTCTGGAGCAAGAAGCTGAGTTCTTTTAGGAATCATTCTCTAGCACCTGTCTTTCCCCATCCTTCAAATCTGACCTGGCCATGGCCCAGGCAGCAGATTGGTGAGAACTGAGTTGGTGGCTGGTCCTGTGGAGAGTAGAGAGGTGCAAAACTGAGGAGTTGCCATGTACTGGGAGGGTAGACTGGGGACAAAAACTCGCTTGAATACAAGGCACGGCTGGGCGCAGTGGCTCATACCTGTAATCTCAGCGCTTTGAGAGGCTGAGGTGGGAGGATGGCTTAAGGTGGGAGTTCAAGGCTACAGTGAGCTATGATCATGACACTGCACTCCAGCCTGGGCAGCAGAGCGAGACCCTGTCTCTGAAAAATAAATAAATAAATACATCCGTAATTTTAAATGTTTTTTTAAAGTTACTTTCTTTAGTTTGCATTAGGAAAGCAAAATATTTTTTGCCCTCCAAATTGAAAATAACCAATATACTTTTTCAAATTATGCTTGTTCTTTTTTTCTCTCTCTCCTCCCTCTCCCTCTCCATCCTCTGAGAGAGCAAGGCCCATGCCTCCACTGAGAATCATTGCCCTAAATTAAGCTGGTACAATTCCAAAGTCATTAAATTTATCAAAATGGTTCTTCCAACAGTGTGGTCTCTTGATTAGCATATCAGCATGAGCTGGGAACTTACTAGAAATGTACATTTCTAATAAGTGGTACCCCACCTCGTACCTACTGAATCAGAAACTCTGAGGGTGAAGCCCAGCAAGCTGTATTTAGCCAGAAGTTTCAGCCTTCTAGGTGATTCTAATGCATGGAGAGAACCAATTTACTTATTTATTTTATTCAAGCATTTTTTAATTTTTATGGATACATACGAAGTGTATATATTTATGGGGTATATGTGATATTTTAATACAGGCATGCAATGTGTAATAATTACATCAGGGTAAATGACATGTCCATCCCCTCAAGCATTCATTTCTTTGTGTTACCAACATTCCAATTGTACTCCCTCAGTTATTCTAAAAGTTACAGCAAATTATTGCTGATGGTAGTCACCCTTTTGTGCTATCATTCATTCTTTCTAACTATTTTTTGTATCTATTAACCATCCCCATTCTCCCCACCCCCACCATCCTTCCCAGCCTCTGGTAACCATCCTTCCTCTTTATTTTCATGAGTTCAATTATTTAAATTTTTAGCTCCCACAAATGAGAAAGAACATGCAAAGTCTGTTTTTCTGTGCCTGGCTTCATCCCTGTTTTTGCAAATGACAGGATCTTATTTTTTTTAATGACTGAATAGTACTCCATTGTGTATATGTGCCACATTTTCTTTATCCATTCGTCTGTTGATGCACACTTAGGTTGCTTCCAAATCTTGGCTATTGTGAATAGTGCTGCAGCAAACAAGGGAGCGCAGATAACTCTTCAACATACTGATTTCCTTTGTTTTGGGTATATACCCAGCAGTGGGATTGCTGAATCAACTAGTAGTTCTATTTCTAGTTTTTTGAGGAACCTCCATACTATTTGGAGAGAGCCAATTTAATAGGCTGTAGTTATTATTCTTCAACTTTCCCCATTCTTTCTGTAACAGCTGCTTGCATTCATCAGCTTAAAAAGTAAGTGATAATTTTTTTCATCTTCATTTATTTATTTATTTTGAGTTGGAGTCTCTTTCTGTCACCCAGGCTGGAGTGCAGTGGCTCCATCTTGGCTCATTGCAACTCTGCCTCCCGGCTCAAGCGATTCTCCTGCCTCGGCCTCCCAAGTAGCTGGGACTACAGGGACCTGCCACCACACCTGGCTAATTTTTGTATTTTTAGTAGGGACGGGGTTTCACCATGTTGGTCAGGCTGTTCTCAAACTCCTGACCTCAAGTGATCCGCCCGCCTCAGCCTCCCAAAGTGCTGGGATTACAGGCATGAGCCACCATGCCCAGCTTCATTTTTATTGTGGTAAAATATACATAACATAAAATTTACCATTGTAATAATTTTTAAGCATATGATTCCGTATTATTAAGTACATTTGTGATGTTGTACAGTCATCACCAGCACTCATCTCCAGAACTCTTTTCAGCTTGTAAAACTGAAACCCTATACCCATTAAACAATAACTCTCCATTTCCCCTTACCCCAGCCCCTGGCAACCACCATTCTACTTTTTGTCTTTATGATTTTGACTGCTCTAAGTACCTCATATAAGTGGGATCATGCAATATTTGTCTTTTTGTGAATGCCTTATTTCACTTACCATAATGTCCTCAAAGTTCATCCATGTTATGGCGTTTGTCAGAATTTCCTTACTTTTTAAGGCTGAACAATATTCCATTATACGTTTATACCACATTTTGTTTCTCATTTATCCACCAATGGACACTTGGGTTGCTTTCACATTTTAGCTTTTGTGAATAATGGTGCTACAAACCTGATGTGCAAGTATCTCCTTGAGACCCTGATTTCTGTTCTTTTGGATATATAAACCCAGAAGTGGAACTGTTGGACATAAGGTAGTTCTATTTTTAATTTTTTTGAGGAACTACCATACTGTTTTCCATAGAAAACACCACCTGTGCACGGGAGTTTCAATTTTTCCACATCCTCACCAACTCTTTTTTTTTTTTTTTTTGATAGTAGCCATCCTAATAAGTTCAAGGTAATATCTCACAGTAGTTTGATTTGCATTTCTCTAATGATTAGTGATATTGAGCATCTTTTCATGTGCTTATTGGCTATTTATATACCTTCTTTGGAGAAATGTCTATTCAAGTCCTTTGCCCATTTAAAAAATCAAGTTGTTTGGGTTTTGTTGTTGTTGTTATTGTTATGTTTTAGGAGTTCTCTGTGTATGCTGAATATTAATATCTTATCAGATATATGTATCACAAATATTTTTCCCATTCCATGGTTGCCTTTTTACTCTGTTGACATTGTATTTGTTTGTTTGTTGGTCAGTTTGATTCTGTCGTCACCTATTCTGTCCTAGAGATACTGTCTTTTGATGAACAAAATTTTTCCATTTTCATGAAGTCTAATCTGTTATTTTTTTTCTTTTGTTGCCTGTGTCTTTGATTTTATATCCAGGAAATCATTGCCAAATCCAATGTCATGAAGCTTTTGCCCTATATATTCTTCTAAGAGTTTTATAGTTTTGGGTCTTACGTTTAGGTTGCCAATCCATCTTGAGTTAATTTTTGTATATGGTGTTAGGTAAGGCTCCAGCTTCATTCTTTTGCATTTGGATATCCAGTTTCTCCAGCACCATTTGTTGACATGACTGTCCTTTCCCCATTGAATGGTCTTGGCATTCTTGTCAAAATTGCTTTGACCATATATGCAAGGGTTTCTGGGCTGTCTTCCTTTCCATTGATCTATATACCTGTCTTTACACCAGTACCACATTGTTTTGATTACTGTAGCTTTGTAGTAAGCTTCAAAATCAGAAATTGTGAGTCTCTAGCTTTGTTTTTCTAGCTTTGTTCTTCTTTTTCAAGATTATTTTTGCTCTTCTGGGTTGCTTAAAATTCCATATGAATTTTAGGATGGGCTTTCTATTTTTGCAACAAACATCATTGGGATTTTGATAGGGATTGCATTGAATCTGTAGATCACTTTGGGTAGTACAGACATTTTTAAGTGGATAATTTTTAACCCAAATGAAATTATAATGTAAATAACCATCCTAATAATGAGAAACATATTAAAAAGTAATTGATTCAATTGAATAATGTGGAAGATCAGAACAAGCAAGTATTTTATAGAAAAAGAAGAAAATATAGCTGTCTTCTGCTTCTTCAGGAGTCTGTTTTTCTGGGATGGGTATTTTCAGATTAATATTGTGTTCTTAGATAGGAGAAGGGATGTGAAAGCAAAATATTAATCTCATTCCTAACCTCCCAGGTCTGAAGAACATTGTAGTTTAAGGAGAAAAATCTATTCTTTTAAAAACAGGTCATGTGCATAGTCTATAGTAAGGCACAGCTAATATGCAGACTTTGGAAATGTTAAAAGGGACAAGAAGTGAAATTCAGTCATGAAATGGAAAAAAAACATAAAGGATGAAGATGACAAAAGGGGCATTTATGAAGAGAGGAAACGAAACTGCAGAGAGAGAGGCATGTGAACTGGGAACTTGGGAAAAATGTTATGGAGGAAAGAAAGAAATAGAGGTCAAGAGGTAGAATAGAAGTTGATGAAGAAAAGAAAAAAAGAAGGTAATGAAGGGGGTGCTGGATGTTTCCAACACAAAGAAATGATAAATGTTTGGGAGGATGGATATTCTAATTAGCCTAATTAGCCTGATTAGCCCTCGCCAGAGTTCACTGTAAAGCTAACCCAGCATTAACCTTTTAAGTTAAAGACTAAGAGAATCATTATCTCTTTACAGTGAAATGCCACAGCTAAATACCACTGTATGACCTGCTATCATCACCCCAATACTCCTCACGTTATTTCTCATCACCCAACTAAAAATACTAAACACACACTGCCATCTGCCCACCTCACCAAAATTTATTAAAATAAAAAACTACAGTAAGCCCTGAGAACCAAAATGAACGAAAATTTATTCGCTTCATTCATTACCCCTACAGTACTAGGCCTACCCGCCACAGTACCAATCATCCTATTTCCCCCCTTACTGGTCCCAACCTCCAAATACCTCATCAACAACCGACTAATCACCACTCAACAATGACTACTTCAACTCACCTTAAAACAAATAATAACGATACATAACATTAAGGGACGAACCTGGTCCCTTATACTAATTTCCCTGATTATTTTTATTGCCACAACTAATCTCCTCGGACTCTTGCCCCACTCATTTACACCAATCACTATACATGTGTCTATTGAAACGTCACTATGTGTGCCCCATGAATATGTACATATTATTATGTGATGTACATGAATATGTACACATTATGTGCCAATGAAATAAATAAAATTAAAAGGTAATTCCCAAATAAATAAAAACAGAAAATTTTAAAAAGAGAGAGAGAGAGATGAGATGGGGCATTGGGTGGGAACCTGGTTATGGAAATCTGCTGCTGCCCTCTTTCCCTTAGGAATGCAAGACTTTAATTATCTCCATACCAACTGCTTTGAGATCACGCTGGAACTGAGTTGCGACAAGTTTCCCCCCGAAGAGGAGTTACAGCGGGAGTGGCTGGGTAATCGGGAAGCCCTAATCCAGTTCCTGGAACAGGTAAAATCTCATTTGTTAACTCTCATGTTTGCAAAAAGAGAAGTGCTTCTCAATGGCAGGCAAGGTGTTTCACTGGTTCAGGTCTGACTTTTGCTCTGACTCAGTCCAATAGATCTGGGCGTCTTCTTCCATTGAGATTTATTCATTCAACATTATTGAGCAGCTGAACGCAGTGGTTCTCACCTGTAATCCCGGCAGTGTGGGAAGCTGAGATGGGAGGATCACTTGGGCTCAGGAGTTTGAGACCAGCCTGGGCAACATAGCTAGACCCCATGTCTACTAAAAAAAAAAAAAAGATAGCCAAGCATGGTGGCATGCTCCTGTAGACCCAGCTACACAGGAGGATGAGGTGGGAGGATCGCTTGTCTTGTGCTGGGAGGTCAAGGCTACAGTGTGCTGTGATCATGCCATTGCACTCCAGCCTGGGCAGCAGAGCAAGAGCCTTCTCAAAAAAAATTATCAAGCACAACTATTTGTCAGAAACTGTACTATATGCTGTGAATTATGAATAAATAAGCAAATATCCCTGCCCATATGGAACTTACCTTCTAGTGAGGAAAGACAGGCAGTAAGCAATAAATTGTATAACATGTTAAAAGAGAAATGCTATGAAGAAAGTCTTACAGAGGAGGTGACATTTAAACAAAAATTTCAAGGAGGTGAGGGACAGAAACATGCAGATATCTAGGGGACAAAAGGGTTCCTTGAAATGGACACAACTGCAAATACAAAACCAACAAAAAGAATATGAAAAATGCTCAGCACCACTAATCATTAGGGAAATGCAAATTAAAACTACAGTGAGATTCCACCTCAAATTGATTAGGATGGCTGCTATCAAAAAAACAGAACTTCACAAATGTTTGCAAGGATGTGGAGAAATTGGAACCCTTGTGCACTATTAATGGGAATGTAAAGTGGTACAATCATTATGAAAAACAGTTACTGGCAATTCCTCAAATAATTAGAATTCCTATGTGCTCCAGCAATGCCACTTTTGGGTATATATTCAAAAGAACGGAAATAAGGGCCTCAAAGAGATATTTGCACATCCATATTTGTAACAGCATTATTTACAATAGCCAAAAAGTGGGAGCAACCCAGTGTTCATTGGTGGATGACTGTATAAACAAATGTGGTATATCCATACAGTGGAATATTATACAGCCTTAAAAAGGAAAGAAATTGTCTCTAGGCGTGGTGGCTCATGCCTGTAATCCCAGCACTTTGGGAGGCCGAGGCGGGCGGATCACCTGAGTTTGGGAGTTTGAGACCAGCCTGACCAACATGGAGAAACCCTGTCTTTACTAAAAATACAAAATTAGCTGGGTGTGGTGGCGCATGCCTGTAATCCCAGCTACTTGAGAGGCTGAGGCAGGAGAATCGCTTGAACCCGGGAAGTGGAGGTTATGGTGAGCTGAGATTGCGCCATTGCACTCCAGCCTGGGCAACGAGAGCGAAACTCCATCTCAAAAAAAGGAAGGAAATTCTGACACATGCTACAACATGGATGAATCTTGAGGACATTATGCCAAGTGAAATTAGCCATCCACAAAAAGACAAATACTGTATTATTCCACTTATATTAGGTACTTAGAGTAGTCAAAATTATAGAGATGAAAAGTGTTGATAAAATGGTGGTTGCCAGGGGCTGGGGGGGGGGATAATGGAGAATCATTGTTTAATAGATATAGGGTTTCAGTTTTTTAAGATAAAAAGAGTTATGCAGATGGGTGGTGATGATGGTCGCACAACATTACAAATTTTTTTTTTTTTAGATGGAGTCTCACTCTGTTGCCCAGGCTGGAGTGCAGTGGCGTGATCTAAGCCCACTGCAACCTCCGCCTCCTCAGTTTAAGCGATTCTCCTGTCTCGGCCTCCTGAGTAGCTAGGATTACAGGCGCCCACCACCACACCTGGCTAATTTTTGTATTTTTAATAGAGACGGGGTTTCACCATGTTGGCCAGGCTGGTCTCAAACTCCTGACCTCAGGTGATCCGCCCACCTCGGCCTCCCAAAGTGCTGGAATTACAGGCATGAGCCACTGCACCTAGCTAAATGTATTTAATAACACTGAACTGTACACTTAAAATGGTAAATTTTATTTTATGTGTATTTTACTATAGTCTGTCACAGCAAATAAAAAAAATTAAAAAAAAAAAAAAAAAAAGAAAGAAAGAAAAGAAAACCAGGACACCAGTGTGGCTGGACTGATCTCAGAAGTAAGGGAGAGAAAAGGTGGTTGGAGATGGGATCAGAGAGCTAACAGGTAGCTTTACAGACAGACCATCACAAGAACTTTAGCTTTTGCTCAAAGTGAGTTAGGTTTTGAGTAGGATAGTGACATGATTTGAGTCAGGCTTTAACAGGAACGCTCTGACCACTCTAATTGCGAAGAGATTAATTGGGGCAGGGAGAGAGGCAAAGAGACCAGTTAAGGGACTATTACCATCATCTTTGTGAAGATAAAATACAAAAACATAAGAGAAAGGGCTTTGAGACTCTAAAACACTGTACAAATGGTACAAATGTTTTATGATCATAACTATATACTTGTTCCTGCAGGTTCACCAGGGCATCAAGGGAATGGTGCTTGATGAGAATTACAATAATCTCGCCAATGCTGTCATTTCTGTCAGTGGGATTAACCATGATGTCACTTCAGGTAGGTGGTCACTGCTTAGGGGTAAGAAGGAAGCGTTAACTCCTGCATCTTCTTCAGCATAATCAAGGGGCCAGTTTGTAAGCTAGTGAAACCAGCAGGGGTGTCAAGGATGCTGGGAGTGGGGGGGATGGAGGAAAGAAGGGCAATGAAAATGGAGACAGTAAATTAAGAGGCTGAATCAAACAACCAAGATGTTTTAATGGAAAATCTTTTGCTTCTGATGCAAGCAATCCCTGAGAGGTCAGGACCAGGAAAGACTGATGTAAATGTAACTTCTCATCAGCATTCAGGAGTTGCTACCGCATACAATTTTGTTAGGGGTATTTTCTGGGCTTAAGCCTGTTAATAGCTCACATACTGGTGTGAAATCGGGTAGAAAGAGGACTGTGAAACAGATAGTTAGCCTTGTCGCTGACTTGGCATTTCCCTACACCTCCATTGGGAAAGTTAGCAAGATTCTTTCCATCATAGGCTTACTGTGGGGGCAAGATTGATGGTGGAGGCGGATCTTAGAGCTACCTGGAACCTCCTAGAAGGGTACAGAATTATCTCACAGCAGAATGGTGTTGTAAGCTGACTCAGCCCAGCTTGATCATGCACAACTTGTAGGATTTTTTTTTTGTTTTATTTTGCTTTTAATGCATAACAGTGGCTACAAATGGTTATGGTTACAGGTAGGTGAGATTTGCCTAAATCCCCACCTTTTTTTCTTTTTCTTTTTTTTTTTGAAAAGGAGTCTCATTCCACCATCCAGGCTGGAGGGCAATGGTGTGATCTCACTGCAACCTCTGCCTCCTGAGCTCAAGCCATCCTCCTAACTCAGCCTCCAATGTAGCTAGGACTACAAGCATGCAACACCACATCTGACTAATTTTTTGTGTTTTTTGTAGAGATGGGGTTTCACCATGTTGCCCAGGCTGGTTTCAAGCTCCTTGGCTCAAAAGCCTCCCAAAGTACTAGGGTTACAGGTGTGAGCCACCACACCCAGCCCTCCACACAACCTTAATACTAGCAAGTCTCACCTGAATTTTACTACACTAACATTTATTACCAAGCAGCCATTTCACAATTCCTACAATCTGTTTAAGCTGGATGAACTCTCAGCTTTCTGTCCTTTAAAGTGATCTCAGTGCATCTTACATGAAAGGTTCATTCAAGGCAAAGGTAATGTCTAAAGGCAGAATCCTGTAGCCTCACAGTGAAGTATCAGACAACCAGAGCCTATTAGCCAAATGTCTGGACACAGGACTGTTTAGGAATCCAAACTCAGGAACCATCCTTTTTATTTGTTTCTTCTTTTTCCTTTTTTTACAGAAATGTTTCTGAGTCGTAGGAATCATCCTTATGAGCACAGCCTTCTTCAGGGCTTGCTAGATTCTTTCTAGCAAGGTGATGGGGTCTCACTATGTTGCCCAAGCTGGTCTCAAACTCAAGCAATTCTTCTGCCTCAGCCTCCCAAATAGCTGGATTACAGGGTCTCACTCTATTGCCTGGGCTGCAGTGCAGTGGTGCAGTCAGGGCTCACTGCAGCCTTGACCTTCCAGGCTCAGGTGAGCCTCCCTCCTCAGCCTCCCAAGTAGCTGGAACTACAAGTGCATACCACCATGCTCAGCTAATTTTTTTATTTTTTATTTTTATTTTTTTACAGAGACAGAGTTTTGCCCTGTTGTCCAGGCTGGTCTCGAACTCCTGAGCTCAAGTCATCTGCCTGCCTCAGCCTCCCAAAGTGCTGGGATTCCAGGAATGCACACCTGGCTTTTGCTAGATTTTATGCTCTATCCAAGCAAGTGTGGGAATGTCTGTAAAACATTCCAGCCAATCAACATATATTGCTGGGCACAGTGGCTCATGCTTGTAATCTCAACAGTTTGGGAGGCTCAGGTGAGAGGAACACTTGAGGTCAGGAGCTCAAGACCGGCCTGGCCAACATGGTGAAACCCCTGTCTCTACTAAAACTACAAAAATTAGCTGGGTGTGGCCAGGAGCGGTGGCTCACACCTGTAATCCCAGCACTTTGGGAGGCCGAGGTGGGGGGATTGCCTGAGCTCAGGAATTCGCAACCAGCCTAGGCAACATGGTGAAACCCCATCTCTACTAAAATACAAAAAATTAGCCAGGTATAGTGGCGTGTGCCTGTGATCCCAGCTACTCAGGAGGCTGAGGCAGGAGAATCGCTTGAACCCAGGAGGTGGAGGTTGCAGTTAGGCAAGATCATGCCACTGCACTCCAGCCTGGGTGACAGAGTGAGACTCTGTCTCAAAAAAAAAAAAAATTAGCTGGGTGTGGTGGTGTGGTCTGTAGTCCCAGCTACTCGGGAAGCTGAGGCACAGAGGCATGAGAATCATTTGAACCCGGGAGGTGGAGGTTGCAGTGAGCCGAAATCACGTCACTGCACTCCAGCCTGGGCAGAGTGAGACTCTGTTTCAAAACAACAATAAAAACAAAACATATTAAACCCCACTAATTTTTCCAATAAGTGCCACTTTCACCAGCCATTGTGTTAATTAACAAATTATTAGGCTGGGCACAGTAGCTCATGCCTGTAATCCCAGCGCTTTGGGAGGCCAAGGCGGGTGGATCACCTAAGGTCAGGAGTTCAAGACCAGCCTGGCCTACGTGGTAAAACCCCGTCTCTACTAAAAATACAAAAAATTAGCCAGGCATGGTGGCAGGCACCTGTAGTCCCAGATACTCAGGAGGCTGAGGCAGGAGAATCGCTTGAACCCAGGAGGTGGAGGTTGCAGTGAGCCAGGATTGAGCCACTGTACTCCAGCCTGGGCGACAGAGCAAGACTCCATCTCAAAAAAAAAAAAATTTTTTTTCATTTCATCAGGGAAAAAACCCATTGTAAACATTCATTATATTACTTAGCAAAGCATCTAGTGTTGATGAGAGAGAAAGCTAGCTGAAGCCCTCATAGTAGCTGCATCTGGAATGGGGCCTTTCTGATACAACACTCGCTAACCACTTCAGGATTCAAGTCCCCAGTTAAGAAAATGACAACCCCTGGGGTGTCATTTCAACTATCCAACACATGTACTTTGCTGAAGTATTTTAAAGTAAATTACAGACATTTAATAGGGGGCAGAAAAAGACTTCTTCATTATTGTTTGTCTCAATGTTTATTGTATTTATTATTTCAAATATTCATTGCTATATACTTAAAATGAATTTTAAAATCACTGTCATAATTGAGTCTAAAGGGATGGAAAGTCATTAGCCAAAATGCACTTTCCTTGTTATAGAAAAACAGGCTTCTTTTGAATTTTATTTTTCCCTTGCCATACTTTTGAAGATGATAAAAGAAATTTTTTTGTTTTTTGAGGCAGAGTCTCGCTCTGTCGCCCAGGCTGGAGTGCAGTGGTATGAGCCACTGCAACCAGCCCAATAGAAGAAATATTAAAAATAAGATTCTCACTGGGCACAATGGCATATGCCTGTAATCCCAGCACTTTGGGAGGCTGAGCTGGGAGAATTGCTTGAGGTCAAGAGTTCAAGACCATGCTGGTCAACATAGCAAGACCTCCATCTCTACAAAAAATAAAAATAATAAAATTTACCAGTCACAGTGGTGTGTGTCTATAGTCCCAGCTATTCAAAAGGCTGAGGCAGGAAAATTGCTTGAGTCTGGGAGTTCAAGGTTGCAGTGAGCTATGATAGCACCACTGCACTCTAGCCTGGGCAACAGAATGAGACCCTATCTCAAAAAAAGAGATAGGACTCTCAAAATCGTATCTTTACTGGTCATGTAGTCCAGCCTTCCCATTGAATATAAGATTACACCCATATAACACCACCGGCAGCTTTTTGTCCAACCCAGGGCCTCCATGTTCAGTGGTACAGGTTTTGCACTGTACATCTGCGTGGCCTTTCCAGGCTTCTGATCTAGTCTGTGCTTGAGTGCTCACAATTGCATAAAGCAGTCCATTCCTTTTTTTGTAGCTCTGTTTCTCTCAACAGATTTGTTTGTTTGTTTGTTTGTTTGTTCTATTTGAGACAGAATCTTGCTCTGTCACCAAGGCTGGAGTGCAGTGGCGCGATCTCGGCTCACTGCAGCCTCCACCTCTCACGGTCCAGCAATTACCCTGCCTCAGCCTCCCAAGTAGCTGAGACTACAAGCATGTGCCACCACGCCTGGCTAATTTTCGTATTTTTAGTAGAGATGGGGGTTTCACCATGTTGGCCAGGCTGGTCTCAAACTCCTGACCTCAGGTGATCCACCCACCTGGGCCTCCCAAAGTGCTGGGATTACAGGCATGAGCCACCGCACCTGGCCTCAGTAGGTTTTATTTCTGTCTAGCAAAATCTGCCTCCCTGCAACTTAAACCCATACTTCTCATTCTTATTTCTTTAGATAGACATCATTTCTTCACAGTGGCCTTTCAAATATCAAAACTGTGGTCTCATGTAGTTTCTTTATTAGGCAAAACATTCACAGACCTTTCAACCTTTCCTCTCTCCTAGTGATCCTTTACTGGAGGGGAGTTTGTATTAAACTACAGGGTCTAGAATTACATTTAACATGTTCAGTGTAGAGCACAGTAAAATTCCTGCTTCGTAGGAGCTGAGGCCGTACTCCTATTAAGATAGTCCACAAATGATTTAAATCTTTACTAGTTTCATGCTATTAAGAAAAGCCAGGCTGGGGGCAGTGGCTCATGCCTGTAATCGCAGCACTTTGGGAGGCTGAGGCGGAAGGATCACTTGAGCCCAGGAGTTTGAGACCAGCCTGGGCAACATAGTGAGAACCGGACTCTGTTTATTTATTTTGAAAAAGAAAAGACGGCCGGGCTCGGTGGCTCATGCCTGTAATCCCAGCACTTTGGGAGGCCAAGGCTGGCAAATCACCTGAGGCCAGGAGTTTGAGACCAGCCTGGCCAACATGGTGAAACCCCGTCTCTACTAAAAATATAAAAATTAGCTGGGTGTGGTGGTGCACGCCTCTAATCCCAGCTACTTGGGAGGCTGAGGCAGGAGAATTGCTTGAACCCAGGAGGTAGGGGTTGCAGTGAGCTGAGATCATACCACTGCATTCCAGCCTGGGCAACAGAGTGACAGAGTGAGACTCCATCTCAAAAAAAAAAAAAAGCCAACGGGCTCAGCGGCTCACGCCTGTAATCCCAGCACTGGGAGGCTGAGGCGGGCAGATCACCTGAGGTCAGGGGTTCGATATTAGCCTGGCCAACATGATGAAACCCCGTCTCTACTAAAAATACAAAAATTAGCTGAGCATGGTGGCACGCACCTGTAATCCCAGCTACTTGGGAGACTGAGGCAGGAGAATTGCTTGAACCTGAGAGGCAGAGGTTGCAGTGAGCTGAGATCACACCACTTCACTCCAGCCTGGGTGACAGAGCAAGACCCCGTCTCAAAAAAAAAGAAAAGCCAACCTTGTAGTCAGATAAAAACCCTAGCTTATTTGGGACAGATTTTTAATCAGTAGACTGAGTTATATCTTTGTGACTTTCAGGTGACCATGGTGATTACTTCCGGCTGCTGCTTCCAGGTATCTACACTGTTAGTGCCACAGCACCTGGGTATGACCCAGAGACAGTAACTGTGACCGTGGGTCCTGCGGAACCAACGTTGGTGAGTTAGGCTGAGCTTGACGGTGCACTGTAGAGATCACTTATACAGTCTTTTTTTGGAGGACAGTGTCCTGCTCTGTCACCCAGGCTGGAGTGCAGTGGCACCACTGTGGCTCACTGCAGCCTCGATCTCCTGGGCCGAAGCAATCCTGCCGCCTAAGCCTCCCGAGTAGCTGGGAGTGAGTATAAGCACACACCACCATGCCCGCCTAATTTTTCTTTTTTTAGAAAAAGGATTTCGTCATGTTACCCAGGCTGGTCTTGAACTCCTGGGCTCAAGTGATCTGCCTGCCTCAGCCTCCCAAAGTGCTGAGATTACAGGCATGAGCCACCACCCTTGGCCCTTGCAAAATCTTAAGTGATTGCACAGCTCTAATCTTTGCCCAGCTTCTTTCTTTTACTGTTTTTTAAAGAATTAATTGCTCGCACATCCTAATTTTTGTTCTGTCACTCTCCTGTTATATCCTTCCTCACTTCCTTTTGGCTTTTCCTCTTCTGTCTAACATAGCATAGTGATTTAAAGCACTGTCTAGTTCTAAATTCAGCTCATTTGCCCACAGACCTTGGACAAATTACCTAATCTCTCTTATTCTCAGTAAATTGGTAATAATAGTGCCTCCTTCACCAGAGGCTGAAATGAGAACATGCACATAAAGCCTTTAGTATGCAGGGGCCAAATCAACTCTCAAAAGGCAGATTAATTGGAGAAAAGCCATACCAATTTATTTTTATTTTATTTTATTATTATAATTATTATTGTTATTTTGAGAGGGGGTTTCGCTCTTGTTGCCCAGGCTGGAGTGCAATGGCATGATCTCGGCTCACCGCAACACCCGCCTCCCAGGTTTAAGTGATTCTCCTGCCTCAGCCTCTTGAGTAGCTGGGATTACAGGCATGTGCCACCATACCTGGCTAATTTTTGGTGGGTTTTTTTTAGTAGAAATGGGGTTTTTCCATGTTGGTCAGGCTGGTCTCGAACTTCTGACCTCAGGTGATCTGCCCACCTCGGCCTCCCAAAGTGCTGGGATTACAGGCATGAGCCACCATGCCCGGCCTGTTTTTTCTTTTTTTGTTTTGTGTGAGCATACCAATTTATTTAACGTGTATACACAGGAGCCTTCAGAATGAAGGCCCAAAGATACCGGGGAAATTGTCCACTTTTATGTGTAGGTTCAACAAAGTAGGTACAGCTAGGTAATAAATGCAACTGGACAAAAAAAGTATCAGCTAATGCTATGCACTGAGTGAAGAAATCTAGCAAGGCCTATCTTTCCAGATTCTTCTGGGCTCTCTGACCATGAATTTCTTCCTTCTGTGTGTGGGTCAGTACCCTCTCTGGAAAGAGGGACTCATGACCTATAGTCAAACAAGGTAGGGTCTTATGACCTACAGTCAAACAAGGGAGGTCAGATATGTCCTCCTCCTCCTCTCTTTCTTCTCCTCCTCCTTCTCCTTGACCTACAGTCAAACAAGATAGGTCAGATATCTCCTCCTCTTCCTTGTCCTCCTCCTCTTCCTCCTCTTCTTCTTTCATAGAGACAGGGAGTGTCTCTGTCCCTCAGGCTGTGCACTGGCGTGATTATGGCTCACTGCAGCCTCAGACTCAAGAGATCTTCTGCTTCATCTTTCCAAGTAGCTGGGACTACAGGCACATGCCGCCATGTCCAGCTAATTTTTTTTTTTTTTCGACAGAGTCTCGCTCTGCCACCCAGGCTGGAGTGCAGTGGCTCAATCTCGGCTCACTCCAACCACTGTCTTTTGGGTTCAAGCAATTCTCCTGCCTCAGCCTCCCAAGTAGCTGGGATTACAGGCATGTGCCACCATCTTCAGCTATTTTTTGTATTTTTAGTAGAGACAGGGGTTTGCCATGTTGGCCAGGCTGATCTTGAACTCCTGACCTCAGGTGATCTGCCCACCTCGGCCTCCCAAAGTGCTAGGATTACAGACGTGAGCCACCGCACCCGGCCATTTTTATTTTTATTTTTTGAGACTAGAGTCTTGCTCTGTTGCCCTGGCTGGAGTGAATGGCACATTCTCGGCTCACTGCAACCTCCGCCTCCCGGGTTCAAGTGATTCTCCTGCCTCAACCTCCCAAGTAGCTGGGACTACAGGCATGTGCCACCACGCCCAGCTAATTTTTGCATTTTTAGTAGAGACGGGTTTTCACCATGTTGGCCAGGCTGGTCTTGGACTCCTGACCTCAGGTGATCCACCCTCCTCGGCCTCCCAAAGTGCTGAGATTACAGGCGTGAGCCACTGCACCTGGCCTAATTTTTGTTATTTTTTGTAGAGACGGGTTCTCTGTGTAGCCCAGGCTGGAGGGCAGTGGTACAGTCATGGCTCACTGCAGCCTTGAACTCCTGAGTTCAAGAGATCCTCACACCTTGGCCTTCCAAAGCACTGGGATTACAGGCGTGAGCCACTGTGCTCCCTCCGCCTAGACTGTGATCGGCCTAAATCTGATGGTTTCTTTAAGACCAGTTTTTACAGAGAAGGCAGCGGGCTTGCATTCTTCTGTGCCACTGGCAAGGACTGCCACCAGAGGGCGCTCTACCATCCCTTCTGGTGCTCCCTGGGCCCTGATCTTGCTTTCCACTCATGCCGCAAAAAGCCAGCTACTCTTCAAGATTAAACTCTCCAGGGCTTTCTTTTATAGATAGGATGAGAAGCAAAGAACTTCTTTGATTTTACAGCCTGGATCTTTTCAGTTTTGGTTGTATTAAGATCTCAGAGCTAACAGAGCTCAGAGATCGTAGACACTAATCCTCAGATTTCTCAAATGAGGACAAAATAATGAGGCAGTCCTATTTAACAGACATCTACAGATCTCATTTCCTAAAAGTCAGCCTTTCCTAGGGCCGCCTCACTCCTGTACACAACCCTTAGTAGACCCTCCCACCACCTTTCCCTATTAACACAATGCAGTCCAGTCAAGCTTGTCTTTTACTATTTATTGAATAAGTACTATGTATGACATGATATGAGAGCTTTCCAGCATTATCTCATTTAACCTTCACAACAACCCTGTGAGGTAGATGCAAGTATCCCCATTTGTGGCTTAGAGAAGATAAAAGAAACTTGTGTAATATCACATAGCAAGTGGTGGGAGTCAGGATTCGAACCTATATCAGGCTCTCTGGCTCCCTTCTTAGCCAATGTGTTACAGAACTCATACTAAGTGTACAACCTGTGTTTGTAGCTCCTTATTGTAACACAAGGATCAGGAGAAAGAACTATGCTTTAAGTCCTTTGAGAATTTCCAGATAGTTTCTTCCTCCATCCCCTCCCCTAGTCCCATCTCCTAAATAATGTAAATTACTTCTGCTTACAGTTGCAGGAAACAGAGAGTAAATCTTTCATTGCAGCCTATGAGCTGATCTGGGGTCCTCTTTCCCTTTTTTCTTGTTATATCCTAAAATTGAATGACTGTTAAGCAGCTACATATATAAGTTTTGCATTACCAGCAAGTCTGTTCAACGCCAAATTCAAACAACTGCACGTCCTCTTGAGTAACACACTCAATTTCAAAGGATTTTGCCCCCCTTTTCACATATTCTTTAAATAAATTAACATAACCCATCATTATGTCAAATATACTCAGAGGAGAAAAGATGTCTGTCATTTGGATACAATTTCCAGACACAGTAACAACTAAAAACCCATTTATTGATCACAAAGGAGTCTATCTCCCTTCCCAGTCTAAAGCAGATATCCATCTGTCTGGGAAAGAAAAAAGGAAAAAAATATTGCCCAGGTGTGGTGGTTCACACCTGTAATCCCAGCACTTCAGGAGGCTGAGGCAGGCGGATCACTTGAGGTCAGGAATTCGAGACCAGCCTGGCCAACATGGCGAAGCCCTGTCTCTACTCAAAATACAAAAATTAGCCAAGTGTGGTAGCTCATGCCTGTAATCCCAGCTCCTTGGGAGGCTGAGGCAAGAGAATTGCTTGAACCCAGGGGGCGGAGGTTGCAGTGAGCCGAGATTGTGCCGCTGCACTCCAGCCTGGGTGACAGAGCAAGACTCCATCTCAAAAAAAAAAAAAAAGATTGTTTACTACAGAGTTTCCAGCTTTAAAATGTCTCAGCTGGGTGCGGTGACTCATACCTGTAATCTCAGCACTTTGGAAGGCTGAGGCTGGCAGATCACTTGAGCCCAGGGGTTTGAGACCAGCCTGGGCAACATGGCGAAATCATATCTCTACAAAACAGTTCAAAAATTAGCCGGGCATGGTGTCATGCACATGTAGTGCCAGCTACTTGGGAGGCTGAGGTGGGAGGATCACTTGAACCCAGGAGATGGAGCCTGCAGTGAACCGTGATTGCACCACTGCACTCCAGCCTGGATGACAGAGTAAGACCTTATCTCAAAATAAAAATAAAATGAAATAAAATATCTTCCGGGGCCCAGTGTTTTCTTTGCTTTTCCCCAAGGCCTTCCACATGTCACCACTCCTTTCCTTTTCCTCTGTCCTTGCCTCATTTTCTTGTCTCTCTTCTCTCTCATTTTTTTCTGTCTAGATTCCTATGTTACTAAATAGGAATTGGTAAATAATACAGCACAGTTGGCTCTGATTCTCCCCTTCCCTCCTGGAGGAACTAGCAGAAAAACTGGCTATCAATTTTTGCGGAAGGGGCAGGAAATAACCCTACAGAGAGGCCTCTTAGTCAGTGACATGTTTTTTAACTCCCAGCTGGCTTCAGGGGCTCAAGCTGTTCCAAGGGTGGGAAAGCCCAGGCCTGCCCCAGAGGAGTGTGGTTAGGACACTGTGCCACTCCCTCTCCTTCCTCTTCAGCCTGGGATAGTTCTACGGCTCTTCCACACCCAGAATGTCCCACATTTGTCAGTGAAAAGTATCTTTCCATCTGCGTGCTGTGGCCAGAAGAGAGGTTGCAATGTAGTGCTTGAAAGGATGCATTAACACACATGGAAATTTCCAGTTTAAGAATCCAAGCAGGATGTGGTGGCATGTGCCTGTAATCCCAGCTACTCAGGAGGCTGAGAGGCTGAGGCAGGGGGATCTTGAACCCAGGAGTTTGAGTCCAGCCTGGACAACATAACAAGACCCCATCTCTAAAATTAAAAAAAAAAAGAAAAGTAAAATAAATCCCCAAGTCCATACCAACACTCTTTATCATCTCTACTATCTTTGAAGTCAAACAAGTAGGCAGAAGGTTTAGTTCTGAAGCATGGTGACACTTACTGGCATGCCTGAGCATGGCACCTGTGAGTCACCCAGGCAGCATAAAGAAGATTGTTACAGCACCGTCAATCATGGCTCTTGTCCTAAGTGGCAGTATTGGTGAAATCATATTTGATGTGTAGATATATTTTTCTTTCTTTTCTTTACTTTTTTTTTTCTTTTTGAGATGGAATCTCACTCTGTCACCCAGGCTGGAGTGCAGTGGCGTGATCTTGGCTCTCTGTAACCTCTGCCTGCTGAGTTCAAGCAGTTCTCCTGCCTCAGCCTCCCGAGTAGCTGGAACTATAGGCATGTGCCACCAGCCCAGCTAATTTTTGTATTTTCAGTAGAGACGGGGTTTCACCATGTTGGCCAGGCTGGTCTCTAACTCCTGATCTCAAGTGATCTGCCCGCCTCAGCCTCCTAAAGTGCAAGGATTACAGCCACCATGCCCAACCTAATTTTTTTCTTTTTTTTTTTTTTTTTTGAGATGGAGTCTCGCTGTCACCCAGGCTGGAGTGCAGTGGCAAGATCTCAGCTCACTGCAGCCTCCACCTCCTGGGTTCAAGCAATTCTACCGCCTCAGCCTCCTGAGTAGCTGGGACTATAGGTGTGCACCACCACACCTGGCTAATTTCTTTGTATTTTTAGTAGAGACAGGGTTTCACCATATTGCCCGGTGTGGTCTTGAACTCCTGACCTCAGGTGATCCACCACCTCAGCCTCCCAAGTGCTGGGATTACAGCCATGAGCCACCACACCCAGCCCATCTTTTTCTAATACATGTAAAATCAATGTATATTAAGTTCATCCAGTCACACTCTATCTATCACCAATGATTGCATACCAATTTTGGGGGAACGTTAGCCAAGTCTATATGACACCACCAGTGCTTCTCTGGGTCACTGCTATAATAATTTTCCCTAGTACCCAGCCCTCAGAAACTGGAACTATGGCAAAAGATGGTCCAAACGGATCTCGTAGCTCCTGCTTTTTTTCTTCCAGGTTAACTTCCACCTCAAAAGAAGCATCCCTCAAGTAAGCCCTGTGAGGAGAGCTCCCAGCAGAAGGCACGGAGTCAGAGCCAAAGTGCAGCCCCAAGCCAGAAAGAAAGAAATGGAGATGAGGCAGCTGCAGAGAGGCCCTGCCTGAAACCCACAGTGCCAGGCAACCCTTCAGAAAGGCTTTGCTCCTGCTCTCAGATCAGATCAAGCATTCTTTCTATTTTATTATCTGGGACATATTTAAATACAAACATATTCAGAACAATTCAGAATGGTCTCCATCTGTTCCAGGGGTAAGCCATCTCTAGGTCATCATGAAAAAAATTAGGATCTATTGAAAGGTGATGTGGTGGCCGGGTGTGGTGGCTCACATCTGTAATCCTAGCACTTTGGGAGGCCGAGGCAGGTGGATCACCTAAGTTCAAGAGTTCGGAACCAGCCTGGCCAACATGGTGAAACCCTGTCTCTACTAAAAATACAAAAAATTAGCTGGTCATGGTGGCATGCACCTGTAATCCCGGCTACTCAGGAGGCTAAGGCAGGAGAATCACTTGAACCTGTGGGGTAGAGGTTGCAGTGAGCTGAGATCGCACCACTTCACTCCAGCCTGGGCAAAAAAGTGAAACTCTGTCTCAAAAAAAAGAAAGAAAGAAAGAAAAGAAAGCTGATGTGGTAGTACATACATCTAGTGGTGTTTGGTAAGGTTTTTCTATTCTGAGAGTCTGGTTTAGGCTCCATGCCAGTCCACACTGCATCCAGAGACTGGTTCTGGCTGGTTGGCAGCTGCACCTCCAGAATCTAGCACAGAGTTTGCAGAAGAGTTAGTGCTCAGTGAAGATTTCTGAACCATGTCTGAAATGCTGAAGTAAGTGATCCATCATTGATGTTGTTCCCATAGCAAAATTAGGTGACCAGTTCTTCTGAAATCCCAGAGGATCATTTCAGCAATAGCCAATAGCATCTTAATAAGCAAAGAATTTGACATGCAAATACCTAGTGCCATGGCTACCCTTCTTTGTACATGGACATTTAATAAATATGCATCTTTCAAAACATTTGCTGGATATGGAAATATGTGCAGCTGCCCCTAAGGCATGGCTGCATCCTGGCTCTGTCCCCAGCACGACATAGCACTCTCCACCTCTTTGAGTTCCCCAGGAAGAACCCATTTGCACTAAAAACATTATTGAGCAAAGTAGATGTTACTAAAGATTTTGAAGGGATGTGTAGTCTTTCATCACCTACCTTGCAGCACTCAAGTTTACAAACCCTCATTGGGCATGTGGGGGTTCCTGAGTCCCCTGTGGGAAGTGGTTTTTTGCCATACACCTTGTTTCAGAGCTCAGCCTCAGTTAGACAGGGCAGGCTCCAGTTTCCTCATCTACCCCTCTCCCCACAGCACCTCTAATTAACCAGCCCTTTTCTTACCACTGAGAAATTGAACTCTACTAAATAATTACAGCCTTGTGCCACATAATGACGTTTTGGTTAACAGTGGACCGTGTGTATAATGGTGGTCTCATAAGATTATAATACCATGGTTTTACTATACTTTTCTATATTTAGATATGTTTAGATTTAGGTTAGATATGTTTAGATTTAGAATACGTAACACAGGCTGAGCACGGTAGCTCATGCCTGTAATCCCAGCACTTTGGGAGGCCGAGTTGGGTGGATCACCTGAGGTCAGGAGTTCGAGACCAGCCTGGCCAACATGGTGAACCCCATCTCTACTAAAAATACAAAAAATTAGCTGGGTGTGGTGGCAGGCACCTGTAATCCTAGCTACTTGGGAGGCTGAGGCAGGAGAATTGCTTGAACCCAGGAGGTGGAGGTTGCGGTGAGCCGAGATTGCACCACTGCACTCCAGCCTGGGTGACAGAGTGAGACTCCATCTGAAAAAAAAAAAAAAAAGAATATGTAACACAATTACCACTGTGTTACAATTGCCTGCAGCATTCAGTATAGTAACATGCTGTCCAGATTTGTAGCCTAGGAGCAATAGGCTGTACCTTTCAGCCTATGTGTGTAGGAGGCTATACCACCTAGGTTTGTACAAGTACATGCTATAATGTTTCTGCAATGATTAAATCACCTAGGGATACATTTCTCAGAATGTACCCACATTGTTAAGTGACATGGTATGGTGATCCCTTGGCACCCAGTTGGTTCCAGCACCCTCTCAGATACCAAAATCCAAGAGTGCTCCAGTTCCTTTTATAAAATGGCATAGTATTTGCATTTAGCCTAGGTATATCCTCCCATATACTTTTAAGTCATCTCTAGATTACTTATAATACCTGATACAATGTAAATGCTGTGTAAATAGTTTTGTTATATTGTATTTTTACTTGGTACTATTTTTATTGTTGCATTATTTTATTTTTTGTTTTTCTGACAGCCTCACTCTGTCACCCAGGCTGGAATGCAGTGGTGCAGTCATGGCTTACTGCAGCCTCAATCTCCCGAGCTCAAGAAATCCTCTCACTTCAGCCTCCCAAGTAGCTGGCCAACATGGTGAACACAGGCACGTGACATCATACCTGGCTAATTTTTAAATTTCTTTGTAGTGATAGGATCTCAAACTCCTGGGCTCAAGTGATCCTCCCGCCTCTGCCTTCTAAAGTGCTGAGATTATAGGCATGAGCCATGGTGCCCAGTCTGTATTATTATTTTTTATTTATTTATTTACTTAAATAGTTTTGATCCAAGGTTGGTTGAATGGGAACCTGCAGATACGGAGGGCTGACTGTATTCCCATACCCATCAGAAAACATAGGTGCTCTAGCTGTGACAACTCGCCCTCCCCTGGAGGCCATTCGGGATTAGGATTAACACATAATTCATTTTTCTGTTACCTGAGCAATCTCTCTATCTGTGGTCAAAAAGAAAACAGAAGAAAATGTATCTTTTCCCACTTAGGGAATTCACTCCTCAGGTTAAAAGGCTAATTGTTTCTTTCTATTTTTTATTTCTTCCTAATTTTAATCCCATGTTCCTTGGTGCCTTTCTTGCTGTTATAAAGAGGCCACTATTTGAGAGGGTTTCCATTTTTCAATTCAGTGAAACTTTATACCTGAGGTTGCTGCATGCACTGTTTCCCAGATTGTCTGAATATCACTTACTTTGTGTTTAGGTTCCTTGGTACGAAGTCACCTGACAGAGCTAATGTTTATGAAATACGGTCACAGTACTTTCACTGGCATAGCCACAGAATTTTATTCATTCTTCCGTTTATTCATGCAGGGAACATATTTTGAGTCCTTGCTCTCAATAAATTCAGAAAATATAAAGAGGAAGAAGATACAGTCCATTATCTCAGTGCAGCCACAGGCTACTTGGGAAGGGAAACAGATCACTCCAGTATCTTGTAATAATTGCTGGGATTCTGTTGACTCTGGGGTGAGGACAGAAGCCAGTGGCAAGGGCCTTACTCTAGTCTTGGGAAGGTCAGGAAAGGGTTCCCAGAGCTAGTGGAGTCTAAGGTGAGATATAATGAGGTCAGATAAAGAGGCATTGGCCAGGTGGAAAGAAATGGGGGAACAATAGTTAGGCTGAGGAGACAGCACAGCTTGAGGCTCTTGGAAGATTTGCAGCTTGTTCAAGAGAGCTGCATGAAATTCAGCATGGTGGCAGCTGAGTGAGATGCCAGAAGCCAAGGCCAGTGGGGTAGGGAGGGACCAAATCATGAAGGACCTTTGAGCCATAGCACAGAGTTTGGACTTTATCCTGAGAAAAACAAGTAGCCATTGAAGGGTTCTGCTGAGGGGAGTGCAGAATCAGTTTAGAATGAGTGCCTGACTGCTGCCTGAAGAGCTGGCTGAGGCAGAGGGGAGACCACTAAAAGCCAGGAGAAAAGGTGGCCTTAGCCCGGGCAGGCAGCAGGGGTGGGGAACACCAGGAAACTCCAGAGCACTTCCTGCTAGCTCCCTAGGGCTTCTCTGCTGCTTTTGGACTTCCAGTCTGACTCAGATCCACCCTGCCCACCACCTGAGGATTTTAAGTACTAAAGGAGATGCAGATTTTTAAACCAAGCCCTAAAAACCATTCTTAGTAAAATGCACTCAAGCCAGAGGTGATTATACAGACCAAGTATTATATGGAAAATACAGGGTCTGGCTATAACCACATGAAAATTTCTCTGTGCATACAAAGGGCACGAAACCAGGACTCACAGGACGAGAGTGGGCAGGGTTGACAGGATATGAAGGAAGGGCTTCCAACTTTGGCCTCAGCCCTCTCCTGGCTGGTACCCTTTCTATTTTATAGCTAGAAAGTTACTTTGAAGAGGAAACCCTCTGCTTGGAATGCCAGCCTGGATAGGTGGTGTTTCCTAAAGGGGAAGAAGCCCCTAATGAAGGGCACAGGTTTTGGACTCCGACAGACGTGGGTTTTAACTCTAGCTCTGTTCCTTATTGGCTGTGTGACCTTGAGCAAATAACTTACCTTCTCTGAGTCATAGTTATTCATCTGAAGAAAAAAAAAAAAGAAAGAATATCTGGCCGGGCATGGTGACTCACACCTGCAGTCCCAACACTTTGGGAGGCTGAGGCAGGAGGATCGCAGGAGTTTGAGACCAGCCTGGGGAACATGGCAAAACCCTCTCTACAAAAAATGCAAAAATGAGCTGGGTGTGGTGGCATGGACCTGTAGTCCCAGTTACTCAGGAGGCTGAGGCAGGAGGATCGCTTGAGCTGGGGAGGTGGAAGCTGCAGTGAGCTATGATTGCATCACTGTACTCCAGCCTGGGCAACAATGTGAGACCCTATCAAAAAAAGAAAAGAAAGAAAAAGAAAAGAGGAAAAGAAAAGAAAGAACAGAAAAGAAAAGAAAAATGAAAAGAAAAGAAGAAAAAGAAAATCTACCTCACTGTAATGGCCCATTGAGTATACCTTGCCTGCTGTGTAGACAGAGGTGATTTATCAAGACGGGAATTGCATGGAGAAAGAGTAATTCATGCAGAGCTGGCTGTGCAGGAGACCTGAGTTTTATTATTACTCAGATCAGTCTCCCTGAGCATTTGGGGATCAGAGTTTTTGTTGTTTGTTTGTTTGGTTTATTCTTTTTGAGATGGAGTCTTGCTCTGTCCCCCAGGCTGGAGTGCCAGTGGTGCAATCTCAGCTCACTGCAACCTCCGCCTCCCAGGTTCAAGCGATTCTCCTGCCTCAGCCTCCCTAGTAGCTGGGATTACAGGCACACGCCACCACACCCAGCTAATTTTTGTATTTTTAGTAGATACGGGGTTTCACCATGTTGGCCAGGCTGGTCTCGAACTCCTGACCTCAAGTGATCTGCCCACCTAGGCCTCCCAGAGTGCTGGGATTACAGGTGTGAGCCACCGTGCCCGGCTTGGGGATCAGAGTTTTTAAAGATAATTTGGTGGGCAGGGTCTTGGGAAGTGGGGAGTGCTGATTGGTCAGGTTGGAGATGGAATCCTAGGGGGTTGAAATGAGGTTTTCTTAATGTCTTCTGTTCCTGGGTGCGACGGCAGAACTGGTTGGGCCAGATTACCAGTCTGGGTGATGTATGCTGATCCGTCGAGTACAGGGTCTGCAAAATATCTCAAACACTGATCTTAGGTTTTACAATAGTGATTTTATCCTCAGGAGCAATTTGGGGAGGTTCAGGCTCTTGGAGCCAGAGGCTGCATGTCCCGTAAACTGTAATTTCTAATCTTGTAGCCAGTTTGTTAGTCCTGCAAAGGCAGACTGGTCCCCATGCAAGAAGGGGGTCTTTTTAGGAAAGGTCTATTACCAATTTTGTTACAGAGTCAAACCATGAACTGAATTCCTTCCCAAAGTTAGTTCGGCCTACATCCAGGAATGACCAAGGACAGCTTAAAGGTTAGAAGCAAGATAGAGTCGGTTAGGTCTGATTTCTTTCACTGTCATAATTTCTTCAGTTATAATTTTGCAAATGTGGTTTTATCACTCTGAGTTTGTGAGGATTAAAGGTGCCGCCCTTATAAATCAGTCAGGAGGCGGAAGGCCAACCCTCACCCCACACTCTCCTCGGAGGATTATCACTTATCTGCCAGCGACATCAAGGACTTAGGGGTGCAAAAAGGAGCTTGGAGGTGAGGCATTCTCCTGAGAGGCTGAACCAAGCCCACCCTGTCTTTTTTTTCTCTCTCTTTTTTAAAAAAACTTCAAGCCACTCAGGAGGCTGAGGCAGGAGAATCTCCTGAACCCGGGAGACAGTGGTTGCAGTGAACCGAGATCACACCACTGCACTCCAGCCTGGGCGACAGAGTGAGACTCCATCTCAAAAAAAAAAAAAAACAACAAAAAAAAACAAATTCATACACTGGAATCCAACCTTTATTAGTTCCTTATTCTTCTTGGCACTTTTCCTTCTAAGTTGAGGATTTCATGACACAGTAATTCCCCCCCTCACTTGAGGAGATAGGAAAATTGCCAGTTTTCAGGCAGCATGACACCTGATGACTTCTGGACCTGGTACTGGTTCCCACGGAGGTTTCTGCTGGTGGGTTTCCACTCCAGTAAGTTGTGACTGCCCTGTCTTTGTATCTTTATATCCCAACACTCAGAATATAAAGAAACGTATTATACATATGAACTGAGTGCACAATCTCCAATATTACTTTCACATTTTTTCTCCTTCTCACCTCTTTCACTATTTTTCTTCTTTTATCTAGTAGTAATAGTTTTGTGCATCTATTTTTTAAATTAGAAACCCTGGTAGGGAGAATTCTCACATCTTTGAATGACCCATGCACTTGTATAATTCTCCTTCCATGCATGTGGGTGGACTCTGTAAATACAAGATAGCATGTGTAAACCAAGAGTATGTCAGACAAGTCTCAATCAATTTAGAAAGTTTATCTTGTCACAGTTAAGGACATGCCCATGACACAGCCTCAGCAGGTCCTGACGACATTTGCCCGAGATGGTCAGTACACAGCTTGGTTTTACACATTTCAGGGAGACATGAGACATGAATCAGTATAAGTAAGATATACATTGGTTTGGTCCAGAAAGGTAGGACAACTCGAAGTGGGGAGGGGGCTTCCAGGTAATAGGTAGATAAAAGACAAATGGTTGCATTCTTTTGAGTTTCTGATTAGCCTTTCGCTGAATACACAAGGCACGAGTGAATACTCACTTATGCCTTAGTCTGGCTTAGTGAAACAATAGGGCAAAGGAAGCAATCAGATATGGATTTGTCTCAGGTGAGCAGAGAGATGACTTTTTGAGTTCTGTCTGTCCTTTGTCTACAAGGAATTTCCTTGTGGGCAAATTGTGAGGGGGGTATGTAGCTTTTATTATTATTATTATTATTATTATTATTATTATTATTATTATTATTATTATTATTTTAAATCTTTGTGGCCATCTTACTTAGGAATAGAATGGGAGGCAGGTTTGTCTGATGCAGTTCCCAGCTTGACTTTACCCTTTGGTGATTCTCCTTTCACATTTCTCCCCTTTTTAATATCTTTTGGAGAAAGCTTTTTAGGAGGAAATGAGCCTCTGGTCTCAGGTTATGTCTCATCTCTCATGGCTAGGACGGTTTATTCTTAGATTAGTAAGTCCCACATTATTAGAAAAGCTCATTTTTAGCAGATTGTGGAGTCTTATGTCCAACAAAGAGAAAATAGGGGAGGAAGGGAGAAAACAACAACAAACAAAAAATGAAGAACAATCCTGGAAAATCGATACAGGCCACGTTACTCTGAAGTTCTTACATCAGTAGACATGTATGAAAGTGGCTTACATATGTATTTTCTTCCAAAGTTTAAGTTGTCTAGCTTCAGTTCACAGGGCTTTAAGAAAGCAAAGCTTAATTTCTAGTGATTTCTTTTCCTTTTTTTTTTTTTTTTTTAAGACAGAGACTTGTTCTTTTACCATGGCTGGACTGCAGTGGCATGATCTTGGCTCACTACAATCTCTGCCTCCCAGGTTCAAGTGATTCTCCTGCCTCAGCCTCCTGAATAGCTGGGATTACAGACATGCACCACCACGCCCAGCTGATTTTTGTGTCTTTAGTAGAGACAGGGTTTCACCATGTTGGCCAGGCTGGTCTTGAACTCCTGACTTCAAGTGATCCACCCCCCTCGGCCTCCCTCTGGTAATTTCAAATCAGGAAAAATGGGGGGAAAAAGGAAAGGAAGTAAGGAAAAAAATGGAAAACATTATTTTGGAGACATGTAGTCAGGAAAAATTTTGGAATTCAGTTAAAACTGTGGAAAATACTAAAAATTGAAAAACACTAGGCAACACTAGAATCTAAAAACAGGTGTACTATAGTTTATTTTAAAACATAATTTTTCTCTCTCCAGTCCTGTTTTCATAAAGACAAATCACAGGACAAACTCATTTGCAAAATAAGTTTCAGTCTTATTATACTTGGCCAGAGTATTTGCATAAAGTCAGAAAGAATAATTATTTGCCATATAGGCTCCTCTTCAAAACAAAAAACAGGCTTTGCTGGAACTTTATTCCATAAAGAACCTCAGATTCTACTTTAATGCCTTAAGCCCAGCCTGTGCCTGCAAATACCAGTAATAATTGGGTGAATTCCTCACTTCAAGGTCCCAAGAAAACTTGGGGCTCCTGGGCCTGTCAGAAAGTGACATTCCATACATACCATAGGCGAGGAACCTGTGCAGGGACTATGTAGATAAGGCATGAGGCCAGCTGTCCCAAGGGGCTTTTATTGGTTCATTGGCTCTATAAGTCAACTTTGATTCCTTAAAGGAGTCTGCATCTGAAGGCATACCATTCCAGTCCAAACCTTGGTAAAATTTAACCAGTGTCTCCAATTGTGTCTTGTTACAAAAGAAAACAGATTCTTATTGCACTTATGCAAATAACTATATTGCCATAAGTTAAGAATACTCACAACTAGTTTCCAAATTTTGGAGAAATCAGGAAGAGAGAAACATGCGTAGTGAGCCCACTGTCTCTACAAAAAAACATGAAAAAGCCAGGTGTGGTGATGCATGTCTGTAGTCCCAGCTACTTGGGAAGCTGAGGTGGGAGGATCACTTGAGCCCAGGAGGTCAAGGCTGCAGTGAGCTACCATCATGCCACTGCACCCCAGCCTGGGTGACAGAGCAAGAACCAGTCTCAAAAAGAAAAAATTTCTAAAATGGTAAGGTCTCAATACAAGGAAATCAAGTTTATTTCTGTTAAAGATCCCAGAAATGAATTCACAGTGTGATATTGTGACCTATTAAAAGAAAAACCTTAGACAGGTCAAGTGTAGTGGCTCGCACCTGTAATTCCAGTGCTTTGGGAGGCTGAGTCAGGAGAACTGCTTGAGTTCAGGAGTTCAAGACCAACCTGGGCAACATAGACCTCGTCTCAATTAAAAAAAGTTTTCTTAATTAAGAAAAACCTCGGCTGGGTGCGGTGGCTCACGCCTGTAATCCCAACACTTTGGGAGGCTGAGGCGGGTGTATCATGAGGTCAGGAGTTCGAGACCAGCCTGACCAACATGGTGAAACCCCATCTCTACTAAAAATACAAAAATTAGCCAGGTGTGGTGCCTCATGCCTGTAATCCCAGCTACTAGGGAGGCTGAGGCATGAGAATTGCTTGAACCCAGGAGGCAGAGGCTGCAGTGAGCCGAGATCGCACCACTGCACTCCAGCCTGGGCCATAGAACGAGACTGTGTCTCAAAGAAAAAAAAAAAAAGAAAAAGAAAAACCTACATTTTCTGTTATTTCAAAAAAAAAAAAAAAACCTTAGATTAAATTTAACAATTTTTAATTGAGCAAAGAATGATTTGTGAACCAGGTAGCACCCAAACCAGAATAAGTTCAGGGAGACTCTGTCGCTGCTGTGTGGTCTAAATTTTATGGACAGAAAAAGGAAAGTGATGTACATAAAGCAGAAGTGGACGTACAGAAGCAGCTGGATTGTATATAGTTTGATATTTGCCTTATTTGAACACAGTTTAAACAGTTGCCCACCTTTGATTGGTCAAAACTCAATGATTGGTATAACAGTAAGGTTACAGCCCATTTACACATTTTGGTTACAGTTCACTATGTACAAAAAAACCTTTAGGCTGAACTTAAAATATGTAAGAAGGCAGCTTTAAGCTTTCATATTGAATTCTGAAGGGAAACAAAAACAAAAGTGTTCTCTTAACCCCTAAGAGAAGTCCAATGTTCTGTTTCTGACTGATTATGGACCAACAAGGGTATTAAAATTTCTTGCCCATGTTGCCTCCTTATCTTCCATGTATCAAGAGATAAGTTTGTCCATGTACAAATAAAAGTATACCCTGTGAGTGCACACAAGATACCTCTTTTTCAGTTCTATTGTTCATAGAGGCATAAGCAAGGAAAAAACTGAGAGATAACAGTCTCATGATACCAGAGGAGTCTTGATCTGTGATCCTGGGAAATAGCTGTCTACATCTAAGATGCTGTCTGCTTATAGGGAGAAACTTCCCTGGGTAGATTTCTTTCTTTCTTTTCTTTTCTTTCTTTCTTTCTTTTTTTTTTTTGAAACAGAGTCTTATTTGCTCTGTCGCTCAGGCTGGTGTGCAGTGACACAATCCCAGCTCACTGCAGCCTCGAACTCCTGGGCTGCAGCAATCTTCCCATCTGAGCCTCCCGAGTAGCTGGGACTACAGGTGCGTACCATTGTGCCTGGCTAATTTTTGTATTTTTTGTAGAGATAGGGTTTCACCATGTTGACCAGAGTGGTCTTGAACTCCTGAGATCAAGGTATTAGCCTGCCTCAGCCTCCCAAAGTTCTGGGATTACAGGAGCGTGCCACTATGCCTGGCTACTTTTTTAAAGTTTTTTTTTTTGAAACGGAGTCTCGCTCTGTCGCCCAGGCTGGAGTGCCGTGGCGCAATCTCAGCCCACTGCAAGCTCCACCTCCCGGGTTCACGCCATACTCCTGCCTCAGCCTCCTGAGTAGCTGGGACTATAGGCGCCCGCCACCACGCCCAGCCAATTTTTTGTATTTTTAGTAGAGACGGGGTTTCACGGTGTTAGCCAGGATGGTCTCGATTTCCTGACCTCGTGATCCACCTGCCTCGGCCTCCCAAAGTGCTGGGATTATAGGCGTGAGCCACCGCGTCCGGCCTTTTAAAGTTTTTGTAGAGACAGAGTCCCACTATGTTGCTCAGGCTGGTCTTGAACTCCTGGGCTCAAGCAGTCCTCCCACCTCAGCCTCCCAAAGTGCTGGGATTATAGGCATGAGCCAGCATGCCCAGCCAGATTTACATTAAGGTCCCCAAAGGGGGATAGTTCTAAGAATCTGGAGGGACCCTTCTGAGTTGTGAGATTAGGAACCTAAAGTTTAAGGTTTAGAAGTTTTGCTGCAATGTGGGTGACAAGGGCAGTCTTTCTCTAATGTTCTCAGAAGAACCCATCTTTTAGTCCTAGGTTGTGAAGAGTTTGATCAGTGAGTAGACCATGAAAAGCTTTCTTAACCTGATGAAAACACACTTTTGGCATAATGCATTAAAGTTTTTTTTTGTTTGTTTGTGGTTTTTTTGTTTGTTTTCCAGATGAAGTCTTGCTCTGTCACCCAGGCTGGAGTGCAGTGGCACGATATCAGCTCACCACAACCTCCACCTCCCAGGTTCAAGCGATTCTCCTGCCTCAGCCTCCTGAGTAGCTGGGATTACAGGTGCTTGCCACCATGCCTGGCTAATTTGTGTATTTTTAGTAGAGATGGGGTTTCACCATGCTGGCCAGGCTGGTCTCAAACTCCTGACCTCAGGTGATCCGCCCGCCCTGGCCTCCCAAAGTGCTGGGATTACAGGCGTGAGCCACTGCGCCCGGCCATAATGCATTAAAGTGTTAAAGCATTTAGCCATTTTAGAGTTTAGGAGCAGAAGATACATGGGGTTCTATGATTAAGAGCATAGGCTTTTCAGTGACTATTTCATGAGGATTCAATTTATGTTTTCCACTAGAGATGGATCTGATTGTCATCAGTCTGCAATAACTTTGACCAAGGCAATCTTTTTTTTTTTTTTTTTTTTTTTTTTTGAGACGGAGTTTTGCTCTTGTTGCCCAGGCTGGAGTGCAATGGCACGATCTCGGCTCACTGCAACCTCCACCTCCTGGGTTCAAGCAATTCTCCTGCCTCAGCCTCCCAAGTAGCTGAGACTACAGGCACCTGCCACCAATCCCAGCTAAGTTTTTGTATTTTTAGTAGAGACAGGGTTTCACCAGGTTGGCCAGGCTGGTCTCAATCTCCTGACCTCGTGATCTGCCTGCCTCGGCCTCCTAAAGTGCTGGGATTACAGGCATGAACGACCACACCCGGCCTTACCAAGGAAATCTTAATCTTATATGTGTATCTATTTTTTGAGACAGCTTCTCACTCTGTCACTCAGGCTGGAGTGCAGTGGTGCTATCTCAGCTCACTGCAGCCTCAACCTCCTGGGCTCAGGTAATCCTCCCATCTCAGCCTCCCAAGTAGCTGGGACTAGAGACATGCACCATCACACATGCCCAGCTAATATATTTTTGTATGTTTTTTATAGAGTCAGAGTCTCTATGTTGCCCAGGCTTGTCTTCAACTCCTAGGCTCAAGCAATTTGCCCATCTCCCAAAGTGCTGGCTTTCTAAAGTGCTGGGATTATAGATGTGAGCCACTGTGCCCAGCCAATTTTTTTTTTTTTTTTTTTTTGAGACAGAATCTCACTTTTTGTCACCCAGGCTGGAGTGCAGTAGTGTTATCTCGGCTTACTGCAAGCTCTGCCTCCCGGGTTCAATGATTCTCCTGCCTCAGACTCCTGAGTAGCTGGGATTACAGGTGTGCACCACCATGCCTGGCTAATTTTTTTTTTCTTTTTTTTTTTGAGATGGAGTCTTGCTCTGTCACCTAGGCTGGAGTGCAATGGCATGATCTCGGCTCACTGCAACCTCCACCTCCTGGGTTCAAGCGATTCTCCTGCCTCAGCCTCCTGAGTAGCTGGGACTACAGGTGCATACTACCATGCCCGGCTAATTGTTTTGTATTTTTAGTAGAGACACGGTTTCACCATGTGGCCAGGCTGGTCTTGAACTCCTGACCTCTGGTGATCTTCCTGCCTTGACTCCCAAAGTGCTGGGATTACAGGCATGTGCCACTGCACCTGACCTTTTTTTTGATACAGAGCCTTGCTCTGTCATTCAAGCTGGAGCACAATGACATGATCTCAGCTCACTGCAACCTCTGCCTCCCAGGTTCAAGCAATTCTCCCTCAGCTACCTGAATAGCTGGGATTACAGCCACATGCCACCAGGCCCAGCTAATTTTTTGTATTTTTAGTAGAGACAGAGTTTCTCCATGTTGCCCAGGCTGTTCTTGAACTCCTGAGCTCAAGCATGAGCCATCATGCCCTGCCTGGCCAAGTATTTTAAATACTGAAAAGAATTTTGGGCTGGGTGGAATGGTTCACGCCTATAATCCCAGCACTTTGGGAGGCCAAGGTGGGTGGATCACTTGAGTTCAGGAGTTGGAGACCAGCCTGGGCAACATGGCGAAACCTCGTCTCTACCAAAAATCCAAAAGTTAGCTGGGTGTGGTGGTGGATGTCATCCCAGCAACTTGGGAGGGTGAGGCATGAGAATCACTTTACCTGGGAGGCGGAAGTTGCAGTGAGCCGAGATCACACCATTGCACTCCAGCCTGGGCTATAGAGTGAGACTCTCTCTCAAAAAAAAAAAAAAAAAAAGAGAATTTTGAAACTGTGTCACAGGTACCCTCCCCAATGTCTTTGCTAGTCGTCTTGGGTCTCATGTAGTCATGTGGCACCCAGAGGGACTATAAAGGGCAGGGCCTGAGTCCTGAATTTATATACCAGGTGTAGAGCTCAGGACAGAAGACAGAGTGTGAAGATGATACCTGGAGGATCAAAGCCCTCCTAGAATAGGTAGGAGGCAAAGCTGGGGCAGGGAAAAGGGACCATAATTGAGTTTGACTCTGCCTTGCAGCTGGTGGTCTAGGCACTGGGAACATGTCCCCAGGCCCGCCTTTGTAATCACCCCACAGGTTCTTCTTGCCTGCTGCACAGACAAAATCAATTTATTGAGACCACCACATTGCAGTAGACAAAAAGTTTAACTGATGCAAGGCTGGCCCATTTGACTGGAGTTATCAGTCAAATCACTCTCCCTGAAGGTTTGAAGGTTAGGGGATTTTATGGACAATTTGTTGGGCAGGGGGCTAGGGAATGGGTGCTGCTGATTGGCTGGAGATGAAATCATAGGTGTGTGGAGAATCGTCCTCTTGCTCTGAGTCTGCTTCTGGGAGGGGCCACAGGATCAGCTGAGTCATAAGTCATGAGTCTAGTTGGGGTCAGTCTGAAAGATATCTAAAGAAAACCAACCTTAGGTTCTACAATAGTAATGTTTTCTATAGGAGCAATTGGGGAAGTTACAAATCTTGTGCCCTCTGGCCACATGACTCCTAAGCAGTAAGGGCTTATCGAAATTACACCTACAAACCTGGGAAACAATGTGAGACCCTGGTGATATGGTTTGGATATGTGTTCCCACTAAGTCTCAGTTTGAAATGTAATCCACAATTTTGGAGGCGGGGCCTGGTGGGAGATGTTTGGGTTAGGGAGGCAGATCCCTCATGCCTTGCTGGAATCCTTATGATAATGAGTGAGTTCTCGTGTGATCTGATTGTTTAAAAGTACACAGCACCTCCCTCCCCACTCTCTCTTGCTCCTGCTTTCATCAAGTGAAAACTCCCTGAGGCCTCCTCAGAAGCTGAGTAGAGGCCAGCACTATGCTTCCTGTACAGCCTGTGGAACCATGAGGCAATTAAACCTCTTTTCTTTATAAATTACCTAGTCTTTGGTTTTTCTTTATAGCAATGCAAGAACAGCCTAACACACTTGGCTCTACAAAAATTAAAAAATAAAAAAATTAGTAGGGCGTGGTGGTATGCATTTATAGTCCCAACTACTTGGGAGGCTAAGGTGGGAGGATCAGTTAAGCCTAGGAGTTCAAGATTAAAGTGAACTATGATTGCACCACTGCATTCCAGTCTGAGCAACAGGGTAAGACTCTGTCTCTAAAGCAAAACAAAACAAAAGAAACTATGCCTCTATCTTAGCAGAATTCAAGCCCCTCCCATGATGCTATTCTTGTGCCCTTTCATTAATCTTAAAAAGGTAGGTTTCAGTCTCTGAGCAAGGAGTGGGTAAGTTTTAGGGAGGGACTATTATCATCCTTTCTTTAAACTGTAAACTAAATTCCCCCCGAAGTTAGTTTGGCCTATGCCCAGAAATGACCAAGGACAGCTTGGAGGACAGAAGGAAGATAGAGTCAACTATGCCAGATTTATCTTACTGTCATTTTTTTTTTGACATGGAGTCTCGCTCTGTCATCCAGGCTGGAGTGCAGTGGCATGATCTTGGCCCAGCGCAACCTCTGCCTCCTGGGCTCAAGCAATTCTCCTGCCTCAGCCTCCTGAATAGCTGGGACCACAGGCATGCGCCACCATATCTGGCTAATTTTTTTTTTTTTGACATGGAGTCTCGCTCTGTCGCCCAGGCTGGAGTGCAATGGTGCAATCTTGGCTCACTGCAACCTCCGCCTCCTGGGTTCAAGCAATTCTCCTGCCTCAGCCTCCTGAGTAGCTGGGATTACAGGCGTGCACTACCACGCCTGGCTAATTTTTGTATTTTTAGTAGAGACGGGGTTTCACCATGTTGGTCAGGCTGGTCTTGAACTCCTGACCTTGTGATCCACCGTCGTCGGCCTCTCAAAGTGCTGGGATTACAGGCGTGAACCAACACGCCTGGCCTAATTTTTGTATTTTCATTAGAGACTGGGTTTCGCCATGTTGGCCAGGCTGGTCTCAAACTCCTGGCCTCAAGTGATCCACCCGCCTTGGCCTCCCAGAGTGTTGGGATTACATGAGCCACCACGCCTGGTCTCTTACTGTCATATTTTGCAAAGGCAGTTTCACCATGACCACTCATCCAGACCCCAGAATCCAGAGGCTCAAAACCAAAATCATAAGCTCACAGTCAAATCAAACAAGTATCAAAAAATATTAAGAAGCAGCAGTAGTATAACTTTAAAACATGTAGCAGAGAGAGCATACATCTGTCTGACCAGTAAATCCAGGCAAAAATATCGTGATTTACTTTCCAACCTGACTCTGCATAACATTATGAGACAAAGAAGGTCAAAATATTTTACCCTAAAATACATTTCTGTCTGACCAGTAAATCCAGGCAAAAATAACCTAAAGAGATTAACTAAATCTGAATAGGAAACATTTGTCATCTATTGCCTCTAAGGGCAGCCACTATAAGACTTCAAAATAACTTTGGTCTCCACAATCTTTATCTTAACCTGAACATTCCCTCTCTATCAATCCCAGGTCTTTAGACAAACTCAACCAATTGTCAACCAGAAAATGTTTAAATTCACCTATAGTCTGGAAGCCCTGCCCCGGTTTGAGTTGTTCCACCTTTCTGGACCAAACCAATGTATTTCTTAAATGTATTTTATTGATGTCTCATGCCTCTCTAAAATGTATAAAACCAAGCTGTGCCCCAACCACCGTGGGCAAATGTTCTCAGGACCTCCTCCTGGCTAAACTCCACTCTTAAGCCTGGAACCTCTGCCCTAAGCGAAAACAGCTGATCCTATTTTTTCCGCCCAAATGATTGCCTTTTTGGCCCACCCCACCCCCATCCTGTGTCCATAAAAACCAGACCAGTTGGCAGAAAAAAGAAAGAGCAACATGAGCAGCCGATGCAAGTGGTCCGGAACGCCAGCTGCTGAGCCTCAGGATACAAGCAGCTGAGCAGCAAGCAGAGAAGCAAGCAACTGAGCATCAGAGACTACAAATAGCTAACTTCAGATGGTGCGGCTTCAGGGAAAGATCACCTTCTTCCTGCACCATCCCCTTTCCAGCTCCACATGCTGCTGAGAGCCAGTCTTCAAACAGTCTGTGTGATCTGATTCTTCCTGCACACTGAAAAAGAACTTGGGTGTCAAAAAGGCAGGTGCAGGAGGCTGTCACCCTGACCCTTCACTGAGCTGTTAACACTTAGCCATCCAAGGACTGCAGGCTGAGTGAAACAAACCACTCCAGTTCCTGCCCACCCACGAAGGGGGTAAGGGTGAAGGGAACTATCCCATCTCATGCCAGATAGTAATGAAGCTAAAGGATGAGCAGATTTAATTCCTCTTGTTCTTCCTTTCCTTCTTTCTTCTTTCTTCTTCCTTCTTTGATCTTTCTTCTTTCTTCTTCTCAGAATCTTGCTCTGTTGCCTAGGCTGGAGTGCAGTGATGTGATCATGGCTTATTGCAGTCTTGACCTCCTGGGCTCAAGCAACCCTCCCACCTCAGCCTTCTGAGTAGCTGGGATTACAGGCACACATTACCATGCCTGGCTAAGTTTTAAATTTTTTGTAGAGACAATGTCTCACTTTGTTGCCCAGGCTGGTCTGGAGCTCCTGGGCTCAAGCGATCCTCCTGTGTTGACCTCCCAAAATTCTGGGATTACAAAGATTTAACTCTTCTTATCGTTTAGTCACATAAGCCTTCTATTTACTTTTTATAAACAGTCTTTTTTTTCCCCTTTGTTTTGTTATTTACTTTTTTTTTTTTTGGAGACAGAGTCTCGCTTGGTCACCCAGGCTGAAGCGTAGTGACGCCATCTCAGCTCACTGCAACCTCTGCTTCCATGTTCAAGCGATTCTCATGCCTCAGCCTGTTGAGTAGCTGGGACTACAGACGTGCGCCGCTACGCCCAGCTGATTTTTGTATTTTTAGTAGAGACGAAGTTTCACCATGTTGGCCAGGCTGGTCTTCAACTCCTGACCTCAAGTGATCTGCCCACTGTGGCCTCCCAAAGTGCTGGGATTACAGGCGTGAGCCACCATGCCCAGCCAATTATTTACTTTTAAACTATGTTGTTCATTGGCATTTTCACAACATATAAATATCTTTTTATTTATTTATTTATTTATTTTTATTTTTTTGAAGTGAAGTCTCGCTCTGTCGCCCAGGCTGGAGTGCCATGGCATGATCTCGGCTCACTGCAACCTCTGCCTCCTGGGCGCAAGCAATTTTCCTGCCTCAGCCTCCCAAGTAGCTGGAATTACAGGTATCTGCCACCATGCCTGACTGACTAATTTTTGTGTTTTTTAGTAGAGAGAGGGTTTTGCCATGTTGACCAGGCTGGTCTTGAACTCCTGACCTCAGGTGATCCGCCCACCTCGGCCTCCCAAAGTGCTGAGATTATAGGCATAAGCCACTGCGCCCAACCAGATCTTTTTTAAAATCAATAAAAATATTGAAATCTTTTCAGAAGCTTCTGTACATCAATAATTATCTCTGAATGAAACTAATTCTGGAGACCTCATTTTTTTGTTTGTTTGTTTTTTTTTTTTTGAGACAGAGTCTTGCTCTGTCGCCCAGGCTGGAGTGCAGTGGCGCAATCTCGGCTCACCGCAAGCTCCGCCTCCTGGGTTCTCGCCATTCTCCTGCCTCAATCTCCCGAGTAGCTGGGACTACAGGCGCCCACCACCATGCCCGGCTAATTTTTTGTATTTTTAATAGAGACGGGGTTTCACTGTGTTAGCCAGGATGGTCTCGATCTCCTGACCTCGTGATCCGCCTGCCTCGGCCTCCCAAAGTGCTAGAATTACAGGCGTGAGCCACTGCGCCTGGCCTGGGGCCCTCATTTTTTAAAACTTTTTTTTTGACACAGGGTCTTGTTCTGTCACCCAGGCTGAAGTGTAGTGGTGTGATCACAGCTCACTGCAGCCTCAATCTCCTAGGCTCAAGAGATCCTCCCACCTCAGGCTCCTGAGTAGCTATGACTACAGGTATGTGCATCACACCTAGCTAATTGTGTTGTGTTTTTTGTAGAGACAAGATCTCACTATATTGCCCAGGCTGGTCTCAAAGTCCTAGGCTCAAGCAGTCCTCCTGCCTCAGACTCCCAAAGCACTGGGATTACAGGCGACAGCCACCATGCCCAGCCTGGGGCCCTCATTTTTAAATACACTTTTAAAAGTGCAGTATTCATTTGAAATGTTGTAGTTTTGTATTATTTTTAGTAAGGTGTTGCCATTTCTGTGTTTGCTGCTTCCAGGGCCTAATTTTTTTTTTTTTTTTTTTTTTTTTTGAGACAGAGTCTGACTCTGTTGCCAGGGCTGGAGTGCAGTGGCGCGATCTCGGCTCACTGCAACCTCCGCCTCCCGGGTTCAAGTGATTCTCCTGCCTCAGCTTCCTGAGTAGCTGGGATTACAGGTGCCTACTACTACACTCAGGTAATTTTTTGCATTTTTAGGAGAGACAGGGTTTCACCATGTTGGCCAGGCTGGTCTCGAACTTCTGACCTCGTGATTTGTCTGCCTCGGCCTCCCAAAGTGCTGGGATTACAGGCATGAGCCACCATGCCTGGCTCCAGAGCCTAATATTTATGCATGTATAGGTAAGCATAGCTGGAAGGTGGAGTACTAAGTTCTTCAGTAGTAAAGGATTATTATTATTATTTTGAGACGGAGTCTCACTCTTGTTGCCCAGGCTGGAGTGCAATGGCAGGATCTCAGCTCACCACAGCCTCCGCCTCCCAGGTTCAAGTGATCTCCTGCCTTAACCTCCCTAGTAGCTGGGATTACAGGCATGCGGCAGCACACCTGGCTAATTTTGTATTTTTAGTAGAGACACGGTTTCTCCATGTTGGTCAGGCTGGTCTTGAACTCCCGACCTCAGGTGATCCGCCGCCTTGGCCTCCCAAAGTGCTGGGATTACAGGCGTGAGCCACCGTGCCTGGCCAGGGACCCCCATTTTTACTTTGGATCTTGTCCTTAACTCTCAGATCCCTTTGATTAACTTAGCTAATGCTTTTTTTTCTACCTAAGTGTGCAAGAAAAGGAAACAAAAGGAATACTACAACACAAAAATCTCTGTGAATTTCTAAAAGCTGAAGTTCACAGCCTCTGTGCTATTACCATTTACTGCCAGTTTCTCTGTGAACCACTCAGACATCTGAGGCGTCTAACTGGATCAAAGCCAGTTAACTATTGCATGTAATCTGATCCTAGACCTAGTCCAGTTTGTATCACAACTTCCAAACCCAATTCATATAAAAAATTCACTCAAACAGATAGCTCAAAACACAAACCCATAGAGCTTCAGAATCTGAGAGAGAAGATACCCACGATCCTCAGTTGTAAGAGAGAGCAATGGACAAAATGAGTCTGGTTGGTACCTCATTAGTCACTCAATGCCCCTGGTGGGGGTAGAAGCTCTACTTCAGATCCCATTTCTGACACCATCTGTTAAAAAGAAAACCTTAGGGCCGGGCGTGGTGGCTCACACCTGTAATCCCAGCACTTTGGGAGGCCGAGGCAGGTGGATCACCTGAGGTCAGGAGTTCGAGACCAACCTGCCCAACATAGCGAAACCCTGTCTCTATTAAAAAAAAAAACACAGGCCGGGCTCATGCCTGTAATCCCAGCACTTTGGAAGGCTGAGGCGGGTGGATCACGAGGTCAGGAAATCAAGACCATCCTGGCTAACATGGTGAAACCCTGTCTTTACTAAAAATACAAAAAATTAGCCGGTCGTGGTGGCGGGCACCTGCAGTCCCAGCTACTCGGGAGGCTGGGGCAGGAGAATGGCGTGAACCCAGGAGGCAGAGCTTGCAGTGAGCTGAGATCATGCCACTGCACTCCTGCCTGGGCGACAGAGCGAGACTCCGTCTCAAAAAAACAAAAAAGCTGGGTGTGGTGGCAGGCACCTGTAATCCCAGCTACTCAGGAGGCTGAGGCAGGAGAATCGCTTGAACCCGGGAGGTAGAGGTTGCAGTGAGCTGAGATTGCACCACTGCACTCCAGCCTGGGTGACAAAAGCGAAACTTCATCTCAAAAAAAAAAAAAAAACCCTTAGGCAAATTAAATTTAACAGAGAGTTTATTGAGCAAAGAATGATTTGCAAATCAGGCAGCCCCCAAAGCAGAATAGGTTCAGAAAGACTCCTGCACAGCTGCGTAGTCAAAAAAGACTTACAGGCAGAAAAAGGAAAGTGATGGACAGAAACAGTTGGATTGGTTACAGCTTTGCATTTGCCTTATTTGGACACATTTTGAATAGTTGGTCACCTTTGATTGGCTTAAATTCAGTGATTGGCACAAGAATAGGTTACAGTCTGTTTATGCATCCAATAAGGTTATAGTTCACTATGTATGGCAAAATCTTTACACTGAACTTGAACTGTGTAAGGAGGCAGCTTTATGATAAACCTAACTTAGCAGACCTATTAAGAAATATATATTTTGTCTTTGTCCCCTGGTGTACAACTTCTAAAACCCTTGTAACTTCCTGAATGACAGAGGTGATAGGAGCTCTTTTGCTACCGGTAACAAGCCCCTGAATTTGAATTACACCTGAGTTTATGTTAATGAGATGACTGGTAGCTGAAAGCCCCTAGATAGCTTCAGGATGGGTCTGGTTGCCAAAGAAACCCACCATGTGCTTATGATGGCAGCGGCGGGCCATCTGGAGTGGCTGCTGCCATCACGCCGGCTGCAGCAGGGAGGTGCAGCTGGGGCTGCAAGCTCAATAGAGCCAGCGGGAGCCAGGGACCAGCGGGAGCCCCATTCCTTCCGAGTTGGGGCAGGAGCTCCCCAGGTGCCGCTGCAACTGCCCAAGCCATGGCTATGGACCCAGGCATCCCGGTCCTCTTGGGGCCCGGGATCAGGCAGGGGCCCCATCCTCCCAGGCACAGCTGCAGCCACTCAAATAGCAAGCCCAGGAGCCCTGTGGCAGGAAAGAGCCCACCTGGTTCTAGCAACTGCATCTCTTGAACGTAAGGGGGTGTGTGTGCATGCTCAGTTTCCTGATTTATGATCTCAATGTGCTAGAAGTCTAACTCAGCATAGGTCCAAGACAGTGTAGCATCCAAACCACACTGAGTCTATTAATAAGTGAGCCAGTAAGATTCACTTTCTCCGTGGCCACAGAAAACACCCCTAAACCCAACCAGCCATCTCGAAAGCAAGGATATAGAAAGTAGGACAGCATGACTTGGTACAAATCTGCCATCAGAACTGGAGAAGTTAGACTTCCTGTGTCTAGAGCATCATCTTTACACATGTGGTACCACAATTTGTCTCATACACACACTCTCAGCACACACCCTGCAATCCACCATGCCCACCTCCTGCCTGGAATGCAGCTTCATTTCTACTTTAACACTAACTGTATTCTGGGTTTAACCATGAGTAAACATTCCCCCTGAGCAAATGCTTAAGCAAACATCACTTCTCTCCCTCCTCCCAGAAGTTAAATATCACTATTTATAAAGGCTTCCCCCTACCCCTACTGTCTCTTATTCTTTCCCTCACCACTTCATGATCCTCCCCACACTGCTACTCGTTAATCTTTCTTTCTCCCACCTTCATTCTGTTCACATACTTCCTGCACCCCTTCGCCCCCACCCCACCAGGCCCTGCTGCAGGTGGGTGTAGCATCACCTAAGAAGCACTGCCTGGAGCCATGAAGGGATAAGAGGCCAGCAGCCCGGGGAAAAGCCAAACAGAAAAAGCACTGCTTGTTTCTGCTGTTACTCTGCCTGCCTCCCCCTGCAGTCTCAGGGAGGAGGCAAAGAAAGTCACCGCTTGGATCCATGTTCACCCTGCAGGAGGAGGGAGAAAAGGCATCTTTGACTTCCTTTTAGATTGTCCCATATGAGCCCTTTGGGATGAAGTCCATCCCGGGCACTAGATCAAAGGAATTGAGTGAGTTTCCTCAAATCCTTTCTGGAATCAGATGAAGAATAAATAAATGAAGAAATAAAGTGACCACAATTTTGTTCTTTTTAAAAATATCCAAATATAGTATTTGAAACACACGGTAGTTTATAGAAGGCTTTTATTTTACAAGCCAATAATTTTTTTTAATGTCAGACATTGGTACATTACCAATGTTGTAGCAAGGTTTGAGGGAGGTACATCTCACGCATGAGCATGAAAACTCAATCATCATGCTTATGACCTACAAAATGACCTAATTTTTTTTTAATGGAAGGATAAAGGGCCCACCAACTTTCTTTTTTTTTTTTTTTTCGATAGGGTATTGTTCTGTTGCCCAGGCTGGAGTGCAGTGGCACAATCACAGCTGCCTGCAACCTTGACCTCCTGGGCTCAAGTGATCCTCCTTTCTCAGCCTCCTGAGTAACTGAGACTACAGGCATGTACCACTATGCCTGGCTAATTTTTAAATTTTTTGTAGAGATGGGGGTTTCACCATCTTGCCCAGGCTGGTCTTGAACTCCTGAGCTCATGTGATCCTCCTCCTTCAGCCTCCCGAAGTATTGGGGCTACAGGCATGAGCCACCATGCCTGGCTACTTTCTATTTTGGACTAACTTTCTAATTTTCTATTAAGGACTATTGGTAAAATACAATTGTTATCCACTATCACCATCAATTCGTAAATACTCTAACACCAAAAATTAGGAAAGGTATAATCTCAGAATAAAGAAGTCTTGTAAATGAAATTTTTCTCATCTTACTAGGAAATAGTAAATCTTCCATCTTAGACTGGCATATTGAGCCAGTAGTTTAGAGATGAGACCTTTATTGGCATATAACTAAAAATCCAGACATAGCTGGATTGAGGTGCCTAAGTTAGGTGGTATGGAATCTCTCTCCATTTCTTGATTTCATTGTCTTCAGTAGTGACTTCATTCTCACATAGTCTCTCTCCATGAGGCAAGGTGAACAACAGCTCCTTTTAGCTTATCTTCTCTCAGCTATCAAAAGACAAAATTACAACAAATTTAGATTAAAGATCGAATTGGCTTTTATTTGCAATTCTAGAATTGGGCAACAACTCATTCTATAAGATAGAATGAGTGTTCAGATGAGTTGAGCAGAGAAATTTGACTTTATAGGCAGAAGAGGGCTGAAGAACGCAGGAACAGAACAAAAACTGATTGGTTGTTACAAAGTTACTTTCCTTATAAAGGTTAAAGCAGAGGGGGCCACCTCATCATGCTTCCCAAAACAGGCCTGTTTGGGGATTTGGCTATTATCTATTTCTTGCCTGATTTCTTGGAAGATCAAATAAATAGCTTAGTTTTGGCTTGGTGGAAACTTCAGTATGAGTAACTCCATTTTGGTTTTATCTGTTAAGCCTAGTGCAAGAGCTCAGTTCCACCCAATGGCCTCCTATAAATTTCATTTAACACAGTTTAGCAACAAACTATTGATTCTTGAGCATGAATCTCAATAGCACAAACTGGATTACGTGCCTATCTCTAAAACTATCACAGTGACTCTGATTGGTCAGTCTGGGGTCATATGATCACTTCTGGGTGCTGGAATGGAAATATGGGGGACTGCGAGTATAGATGAGTTGTTTCCCATTAAAACAAACAAACAAAAAATCCCTGGGAGATCAAGACAGGCAGATCACTTGAGGCCAGGAATTCGAGACCAGCTTGGCCAACATAAAACCCCGTCTCTACTAAAAATAGAAAAGTTAGCCGGGCATGGTGGCACATGCCTGCAATCCCAGCTACTTGGGAGGCTGAGGCAGGAGAATTGCTTGACCGTGGGAGGCAGAGGTTGCAGTGAGTGGAGATCATGCCACTGCACTCCAGCCTGGGCAACAGAGCGAGACTCCATCTCAAAAAGAAAAAAAACAGGAATGATGGTTGTGGACAAAACAACAAAAGAGCATTATAATTTTGTTGAATTTAAGCATCATTTTGATTTTACTGTGACTTTTTTCTGTTTTATTTATCTTTCATTGACATATAATTGTACATATTTATGGGGTACAATATATGTATACATTGTATAATTAGCAAATCAGAGTAATTAGCAAATCCATCATCTCAAATATTTATTACTTCTTTGTGGTGAAAACATTCAGAATGCTCTCTTTTAGTTAATTTGTTTTTATTGATTCTTATTTTTTATTTTTAAATGGAATTTCGCTCTTGTTGCCCAGGTTGGAGTGCAATGGCATGATCTTAGCTCACTGCAACCTCCGCCTCCTGGGTTCAAGCAATTCTCCTGCCTCAGCCTCCCAAGCAGCTGGGATTACAGGCATGCGCCACCACACCCGGCTAATTTTTTTGTATTTAGTAGAGACAGGTTTTCACCATGTTGGTCAGGCTGGTCTAGATCTCCCGATCTCAGGTGATCCACCCACCTCGGCCTTCCAAAGTGCTGGGATTACAGGCGTGCCCCACCATGCCTGGCCCTTATTTTATTTTATTTTTTCTGGAGATGGAATCTTACTCTGTTGCCCAGGCTGGAGTGCAGTGGCACGATCTCGGTTCACTGCAACCTCCGCCTCCCAGGTTCAAGCTATTCTCCTGCCTCAGCCTCCTGAGTAGCTGGGATTACAGGTGTGCAACACCATGCCCAAGTATATTTTGTATTTTTAGTAGAGACGGGGTTTCACCATGTTGGTCAGGCTGGTCTCAAACTCCTGACCTCAGGTGATCCCCCTACTTCGGCAAAGAAAGTCACCCCTTGGATCCATGTTCACCCCGCAGGAGCGGGGAGAAAAGGCATCTTTGACTTCCTTTTAGATTGTCCCATGTGAGCCCTTTGGGATGAAGTCCATCCCGGCACTAGATCAAAGGAATTGAGTGAGTTTCCTTAAATCCTTTCTGGAATCAGAGGAAGAATAAATAAATGAAGAAATAAAGTGACCACAATTTTGTTCTTTTTAAAAATACTCAAATATAGTATTTGAAACACACTGTAGTTTATAGAAGGCTTTTATTTTACAAGCCAATGATTTTTTTTTAATGTCAGACATTGGTACATTACTAATGTTGTAGCAAGGTTTGAGGGAGATACATCTCACACATCAGCCTTCCAAGTAGCTGGGATTACAGCCACACACCACCATGCCCGGCTAAGTTTTGTATTTTTAGTAGAGACAGGGTTTCAGCATGTTGGCCAGGCTGGTCTTGAACTCTTGGCCTCAAGCGATCCACCCCACCTCAGCCTCCCAGAGTGCTGGGATTACAGGTGTGAGACATTGCGTCCAGCCATGGTTTTTACTTCTGAGTGTGAAATAATTCTCTGTTTTCCCGTAAACCAATTCAAGCTTCTGCAAGTAGATAGGAAGAGGAGTCCCTAGGCATCAATATATCAATATATTAAGAACAGCCCTGAAGATAAACATGATACAGTCTTTTCTTCAGAATACAGAAGCTTTCTTATAGGGTCTGTTCTCTTCTAGGAAGAACAAAACAAGACCTGGTCTTACTCTTGCCAACCAGGGTCTATCCCTAAATGAAACCAAATGGCCTCTGTTGTCTTCTAGGAGTTGGCCTTGTCCTAGTTCAAGTCCACCAGACAGATGCCCTCTGTGAAAACTATCCTGACTTGGCCGGGTGTGGTGGCTCCGCCTGTAATCCCAGCACTTTGGGAGGCCGAGGCAAGTGGATCACCTGAGGTGAGGTCAGGAGTTCGAGAACAGCCTGGCCAACGAGGTGAATCCCCATCTCTACTAAAAATAGAAAAATTAAACGGTTGTGGTGGTGGGCGCCTGTAATCCCAGATACTTGGGAGGCTTAGGCAGGAGAATTGCTTGAACTCGGGAGGCGGAGGTTGCAGTGAGCCGAGATCCCGCCATTGCACTCCAGCCTGGGCAACAAGAGTGAAACTCCGTCTCAAAAAAAAAAAGAAAAGAAAACCATGCTGACTTCTCCTTTGCCTGTGAGATCTGATCACCAATCTTCCTCTGTCGATCTCTTTTCAACTTGAATTCTCACCGTTCTGAACCTTGGCCATGAGACTGCCAGGTGCATTGTGTCAACATTTTGATGAATAGTTGTTAGTATTTTCATGTGATGTCTGACATTTTAGGATGCAAACCTATGTCTTCCATGTTCTATCACTAGGTTGTTGGATCACATTTTCTTTTATAATAGAAATAAGCATATATTAACAGTATTTTATCTATACATCCCCTCCTCCCCACCACCCTGGAATTTGGTCCCCTGGCTATTCCAGGATGGACGGTTAGCTGACATAGCATGAGCAAGGCCAGCTTTGATTAGTTTCAGCAGCTCACTACTCTCATCTGCTTGCCATTGCAAACAACAGCTTATGGCTGTGACATGGTGCATTGTGGGGGGAAGCCAGAGGGAGTTGCCTTTGATATGGGGCCAAGTCATGCCAAACTGTTAGTTCATGGTGCAGCCCCTCATAACCGTGATAGTACTTACGGTATATCAAAGGATGACACACCCAAATAGTTTTAATCAATTAGATGAATCAAAATATGAATTGAGCCATTCTGTGTTTTGGTTTATTGAGGATTATTCAAGGGGAAAAACAATGTACTTTTTAGTTTTAATATGACATATACAGATATAATCCTTATTGTTAACAAGGCAGTTCCACACACATTTATCTCGTTTGGTTATTTTCATTTCAGTCCCTTCATTTGGGGATATTTTAATCACGTCTCAATACATCAACTTATCACAAAAATCAATCTCTTTACCATGGCTCACCAAACCAGAAATGACCTACATACTGTTTGTTAGATAGTTATTATTTGGCCGTGTGCGGTGGCTCATGCTTGTAATCCCAGCACTTTGGGAGGCCGAGGAGGGTGGATCACCTGAGGTCAGGAGTTCAAGACCAGTCTGACCAACATGATGCAACCCCATCTCTACTAAAAATACAAAAATTAACCGGTTGTGGTGGCGCATGCCTGTAGTCCCAGCTACTTGGGAGGCTGAGGCAGGAAAATCAGTTGAACCTGGGAGGCAGAGGTTGCAGTGAACCAAGATTGCACGCACTACTGCACTCCGGCCTGGGCGACAGAGCGAGACTGCATCTCAAAAAAAAAAAAAGAAAAAAAAAGATAGTTATTATTATTATTATTAAGAGACAGGGTCTTGCTATGTTGCCCAGGCTGGAGTGCAGTGGCTATTCACAGGCACAATCATAATGTGCTGCAATCTTGAACTTCTGGGCTCAAGTGAGCCTCTCACCTCACCCTCCAAAGTAGCTGGGATTACAGATGCGTGACACTGCACCTGGCCCTGTTTGTTTTCTAATCTGATCTCATAAAACTGCCTCCTTTGTTCACATGGCTTATTTTGTGTTTCCGAAACGTACTAGATGGCTTTCTACTTCAAGATTTTGCACCTGCAGTTTCTCCTGCCTGAAGAGCTCTTTACATGGCTGATTCTTTCTCTCTTTTTTTGAGATGGGGTTTCACTCTGTCACACAGGCTGGAGTGCAGTGGTGCCATCATGGCTCACTGCAGATCGTGGGACTACAGGCTTGAGCCACCATGTCCGGCTTGATTCTTTCTCATTATTCAAGTTTCAGGTAAATGTTACATCCCCAGAGGGGATTTCCCCAACTATCTCTATATTCAGAGAAGGTTCCCATCCCTCACTTTGGCCTTTATCAGCCTAGATTCCTTATCTAAACCACATGACATAGAAGCTGTGTGGAGTGAATTGTCCTCTTAGTTCTTTCAAGGACTGAGTATGACTTGAACTGTTCTGGTTGCTGTTGGGGTCAGGTGAACTTCCTCTTCGCCCTCTGAAGTTTTGCTGAAAAATCAGGTCACAAAAGGCAGATTAATTGGCATATGCATCTGTTTGACAATAGTTTTATGTGACACGGAAGACCAACCCCCCAATGGGGTGCAGAAGCTTATGTACCATCTTGAGGCTACAGAAAAAATGGTGACTTGGATGCTGGCAAAACAGGTTATGGGAGGGTGAAGAAGAGGAATTCTATTGAGGGCAATAAATGATTACTAGGGAGAATTCAATGAACTTGAGGAACTTCCAATGGTCTGGGACAAAGTCTGTTGGGCCTGCAGACCAGACAGTGGTTTGTGACAAAAGTCTGTCCAGGTTTATTGACAGACTTTGGTCTTCTTTCTTGCAATGTGGGTTCAGTTAATTAAAACTCAGGAAAGAGATCAGAGATAATTGTTTTTCTTTGGTAGGTCAGGACTTTGGACAGATAAGGAAACTTCAGAGAATACTATGCTTTGGGAGAGACAGTGAAGAGGGGCAGGTGGGAGGAGGTTGAGAGAGACCTTGAGACTGCTTTTTCAGCTCAACATGTACAAAGCACCCTATTTTAGGGTATTGGTTTCTAAGCCCCAACATTGCATAGGAGAGAAGTTAACTCATTACATACAACAAATGCCTAGGGCACTAGGCTTTAATTCTCTGTGATCTAATCTATCGCATCAGTTGGTTTGTTTCCTTCATAACACTCAACTACACCCCATGATTGTCTGGATTATCATTTGTTTATTTCTTTATTGTCTGTTACCCTACTCTAGAATGTGAGCTCCATGAAGGCAAGGATCTTGTCTGTGTTGGTCAGCCTGAATGCCAAACACCTAGCACAATGCCTGTTACATCACAAATGTACAGTAAGAATTCATTGATAAATGAAAAGTATAAAACCACCTTTGCAAAATTTTAACTGAGGAACTTATGAAGTGAAAGAAAGCAGACCTAACTGACCCCATCTTGCTTCTAACCTTTAAGTTGTCCTCGTTCATTCCTGGGCATAGGCTGAACTAACTTTGGGAAAGAATTCAGTTCATGACTCTGAAACAAAATTGATAATAGCCCTTTGCCAAAAAGACCCCCTTCTTGCCTAGGGACCAGTCTGCCTTTGCAGGACTAACAAATTAGCTACAAGATTAGAAATTACAGTTTAAGGCCGGGAGTGGTGGCTCACACCTGTAATCCCAGAACTTTGGGAGACTGAGGTGGATGGATCACTTGAGGCCAGGAGTTTGAGACCAGCCTGGCCAACAATGTGAAACCTCATCTCTACTAAAAATACAAAAATTAGCTGGACGTGGTGGTGCATGCTTGTAATTTCAGCTACTAGGGAGGCTGAGGCACGAGAATCGCTTCAACTCGGGAGGTGGAGGTTGCAGTGAGCTGAGATTGCACCCCTGCACTCCAGCCTGGGCGGTAGACTAAGACTCCGTCTCAAAAAAAAAAAAAAAAAAAAAAATTACAGTTTAGGGGTCATGCAGCCTCTGACTCCAAGAGCCTGAACCTCCCAAATTGCTCCTGGAATAACATCACTATTTCAAAACCTAAGATCAGTATTTGAGATATTTTGCAGACCCTGCAGTTGATGGATCTGCTGACACCATCCAGACCGGTAATCTGGCTCAACCAGTTCTGCATTGCACCCAGGAGCAGAAAACAGCAAGAAAACCTCATTTTGACCCCCTATGTTTCCATCTCCAACCTGACCAATCAGCACTCCCCACTTCTCAAGACCCCACCAGCCAAATTATCTTTAAAAACTCCACAAGGTCAGGAGATGGAGACAATCCTGGCTAACACGGTGATAGTCCGTTTCTACTACAAAAATACAAAAAAAAAATTAGCCAGGCGTGGTGGCGGGCGCCTGCAGTACCAGCTACTCGGGAGGCTGAGGCAGGAGAATGGCGGGAACCCAGAAGGCGGAGCTTGCAATGAGCCGAGATCACGCCGCTGCACTCAAGCCTGGGAGACGGAGCGAGACTCCGTCTCAAAAAAACAAACAAACAAAAAACTCCGATCCCCAGGCTGGGCGCAGTGGTTCATGCCTGTAATCCCAGTACTTTGGGAGGCCGAGGAGGGTGGATCACCTGAGGTCAGGAGTTCAAGCCCAGCCTGACCAACGTGGCGAAAAAAATAAATAAAACGAAATGCTTGATTTTTCATCTGAATTTCATATGGCATACTTGACTCCAAACAACTTTAGAAAGCTACATCCACAGAAAACAAAATTGTAGGAAACTGAATAATAAGTTATTTTTATTTTGGCTAATAACATTATCCAAAAATAAAGACAATAGATTTGCAATGTTAATTACTTTCTTGAGGAAAGAAAAGTCACTTGTTTTAAAATATTTATTTATTTATTTATTTATTTATTTATTTGAGACGGAGTCTCGCTGTGTCACCACGCTGGAGTGCAGTGGCGCGATCTCAGCTCACTGCAACCTCTACCTCCCGGGTTCAAGCGATTCTCCTGCCTCAGCCTCCCGAGTAGCTGGGACTACAGGCACCCACCACCATGACCAGCTAATTTTTTATTTTTAGTAGAGACAGGGTTTCACCATGTTGACCAGGATGGTCTCGTTCTCTTGACCTCGTGATCCGCCGAAAAGTCACAGTTTTACAGGCAAATGAAGCATTGCTAAGAATTTTAAAGACTCTCCGAACGTTGATATTTTACTACAAAATGTTCTCTTTACAGTGTTAACATGCTTCAAAAAGCAAAGGAAAAAAAAACAGTATGGTGGCTTCTCAAAAAATTAAACACAGAATTACCACATGATCCAGCAATTCTTCTGGATATATACCCAAAAGAATTGAAAGTAGGGACTCAGATATTTGTACACCCATGTTCATTGCAGCATTATTCACCATAGCCTAAAGGTACAAACAACCCAAATGTCCACAGAAAGATGGGATAAACCAAAGATGTTATATACGTACAATTGAGTATTATTCAGCCTTCAAAAGGAAGGATATTCTAACGCATGCTACAACATGGGTGAGCCTTGAAGACATTATGCTAGGTGAAAGAAGCCACTCACAAAAGGACAATATTGTATGATCCCACTTATATGAGGTATCCAGAGTAATCATAGAGACAGAAAGTAGAATGATGGTTACCAGGGGCTGGAGAATGAGGAGTTAGTGTTTAATGGGTACAGTTTCAGTTTGGGAAGATGAAAAAGTTCTGGAGCTGGATGGTGGTGATGGTTGCAGAACAATGTCAATGTACTTAATGCCACTGAACTGTACACTTAAAAAGGATTAAAATGGTAAATTTCATGTGATATATATTTAACCACAAGTTTTTAAAAAGCAAAGGGAAGGAGAAACATATACAGCATGGGATGAGATTTGTGAAATATTTATTTTTGTTGTGCATGCACAGTCATAGACTCGCCGCCTTCTTCAGAATCCTCTAGGTAGATTCCAGAAACGTGAGGCGCAGCAATTCCAGCAACATAGCCAAGCTGTGTAACTTCGTGGTCTTTAAACAAACAACGGGAATACTGCGGGGATTCAGAAACTGAGTCGGAGGAGGAGTTCTGACAGCCCTGCCCAGTTCTTGCTTCTGTCATTTCTTGCTCTCAAATTCTCAAAGATGTCCTGAGAGACTTTCCTCAGAAAAAAATGGGACAGATAGAGGCGAACCCCAGCGAGTATTGTGTGGCATAATAAGGGAAACTGCCTCGGGGTAGCAAAGAGGACAGCATCACACGCAGACAGGAATCGACTTGGACTTCTCTGAATGGAATTTTGACTTTTTTCTAGGTTGGAGGGTGGTGTCGGGAGTGGGGGAACAGCAAGAGTGGAGGAACTTGTCCGCAGCCGGGGCTGCACGTAGGACTGCGTGAGGCCGAGGCCCGACGAGCCGTGTCGGCGCGCTGCGGCGGGGGCGGGCCCCCGTGCCTCAGTTTCCCCGGTGGCCGTTCTGGGAGCGACGCCCCTCTGACGTCGCGAGGCGAGCAGGGCCGGGCCGGCCGCCAGGGGGCGCGAGCGCGGGGCGGGCGCCGGAGAGGTGGGCGCGCGGGCAGCGGAGCTTGGCGCCCCCGGGGCCGCGCGGACCGCGCCGGCAGAGGCGGAAGCCTGAGCGGGAGGCGGGGCGGCGCGCTGACTCACACGGGATCGACCCGCCCGCCGCTTCCAGGGGCGGAGGTGACAGCGGGCTGGGGACTGGCGGCTGCAACTGCCTGCCGCGCCGAGGGACCGCCGGGCGGCGGAAAGCAGGTCAGAGGCCGGGCCAGGCCGGAGCCGGGCGGGGGCCGGGCGGGGAGCGGGGGTCGCGGTCCGGGGCCGCGGGCGGAGGGGACCCGCACCCCGAGAGACGCGCCGCGCCGCGCCGCGCGGCTAGGCCTGTATCGGCCCTTTCCCAGCGGCGGCGCTGTGCTGCGCTCTGTGGGCCAGGAGCCCGCGAGGGACAGTGGGGCGCAGCGGGCCCCCTCGCACTCCTGTAGTCCCCGGGAGTTGGAGGGGTGGTCAGAGCAATGCGAACGTGGGCTTTTCAAGCGGTGTCAAGCCCAGGGCTCTTTCTCTGCACCGCCCTGCCACTCCGGCAATGAGGCGGAATTTTGAGAGCTGGAAAAAGAATTCTGCGTTAGTCCACCCCGCTGATTTTACAGATGTTCGGAGCCTTACGGCATAGGAGGCCGTGATTCTGTGTCAGGGAGACAGGGACAGATGGCTTCCGAAGCAAGGGTTAGACCTGTTCAGCTGGAGATGCAGCTTTGGTCATGGTGGAGTTTTGCAGAAACCCGCGGACACCCGCGTTCCTGCTGCAGGCACAGATGTCCACCGGGCATCTGTGTCTCAAAGGGTGGTGATGCTGTCACTTTAGTAAAGGAATATTGAGGTTACCAAACAGGCCGGGGCCTGATGCAGATGAGGAGTATAGACTTAAATTTTAAGTGCAAAAACAACTTTAAATGCAGTCTCATTATTACTGCCTGTCTCATTTGTACTGTAATGAAGGGTGAATATTTTTGGCACTCACTTATTCTGGAATATGGGTAACTTGCCTTTAGGTCTGTTTTATAGTAATTCTTTTACACAAACATGAAGATCTTGTATTAAAACACTTTCATAACTAATGATGCTGTAGTATGTGGCAGGCGAGTGGTAACGCTAATATTTAGGGTTTGAGCATAGTCTAGCTCTGCTTGTTTACATAGCTGAGTTAAACGGATGAGCAGGACTGATTAATCTGTAGTAGTTTTTGCAAGACTGAAGTACCTGACAGCATTCGGGGATCATTTCTCAGTTGGTGTTCCGTTTATTACTTTCACAGCATGAATACCGACACGGTGATCAGCAAGTTAGTTTATCCTCTACCCATTTTTCTCTAAAATATTGAATTAAAGGATCTCTAAGGTCCTCTTCTGTCTCGAGTTCTCCGATTTTACATGTTAACTTGAAACACGTCACTCATTGTGATAATAAAAATGTTTTAAGAAGAAAAGATTTTTAGAATTCTGCATAATGGGGCATAGCGAATCTTCAAATTCATTATTCTCAGCTCTCTCAGTCACTTTATCAGGGTTGGGCTAAAATAAGTGAAAAGTGACTTTTCAAATTGCAGATACTTACGTGTTAAATTCACTTAAATTCAGAGGCTGCAATGGAGTGATTTCTGGAGGGTGGAGAGTAGCTCAAGTCTGGCTTGGGAACGGGGTTCGTGCAGTGCACTGATAACTTTTGCAATAAGCCAAGAACAGTCTGACTCAGAGAATGTGATAAATTGACTTTTATACAGTGTTCATATTGTGTATTTTTTGGCTGAGATAATAATAATCTTCATAAACGATCTGTTTAAATATGCACCAGTTATTTATTTGTCTTGCAGCCCCAAGGCAGGGCATTTCCCTCAACGTTCCATCAATCTCTTCCTCTTTTCTGGCTCCTGACTTCAGGTGATCCGCCTGCCTCAGCCTCCCAAAATGCTGGGATTACAGGCGTGAGCCACCGAGCCTGGCTTTTGGCTTATTTTCTAGGTTTAGTATTCTGTTGTTTCTAGAGTCAGCTAATGGATTACCTACAACATGGTATTATTACGAGATTATCTCCTGTGAAATTCTCGAATGTGCTTGATCATCTGCCAAAGCATCCTTAGAATTCATTCAGAATACTTCTGGAAAGTTTTGCAACACCAATTCAATTAATATGAAATAGTTTCTTATTATACACACTCTGGAAAACATCTGAATAAGCTAATTTTCAAGATTGGTTAACTTAGTCTTGTTGGTCAGGAGTTAATTATGAGTTATTAGTTTCTTGCCTGGAAAGGCAGAAAGTTCTTAAGTAGCAGCAGTAAAATGAGCTCTTTAATGAAAGAGCCGTTAAACCAAGATGTTAACTTTTAGTTGTGTTCTTTATCCTCCCTGCTATGAAAGGCAGCTGTGGGAGGTGAAATAGAGTAGCTAAAATGTATTATTTCATTTTTAGATTTCTAGATCTTTTCTTCTGACTGAAGGACGTGACCACCAAGAATTGAACCAGCACTTGAGGGCAGGCACATAGGGCATTGTGTGAGGAGTCTGAAGGCATGGCTTTTGGTCCTTACTTGTTTATTCACTGAACACATTCTCACTGAGCACCTGTGTGTGCTGAGAGGGTGGGCACCTGTGTGTGCCGGGAGGAGGAACACCTGTATGTGCTTGTGGGGGGCACCTGTGTGTGCCGGGGTCGTGGTAGCACTTGTGTATGCTGTGGGTGCTGGGAGGGGGAACCAGTTTGAACAAAACAGACTAAGCCCTCGTGGAACAGACACATTCTAATTGGGTGGAAACAGACAAATATGTGAATGAATAGGTCAAAGGATCATAATGCTGTGGAGAACTTTAGAGTCAGGAAAGGGTAAGAGTGTGTGTGTGTGTATGTATATGTGTGGTAGGGGATTTACTTTTTATATAGAGGGGTCAAATAAAGCCTCTACTGAGATAACTTTTTTTTTTTTGGAGACAGAGTCTTGCTCTGTCACCCAGGCTGGAGTGCAGTGGCGTGATCACAGCTCACTGTAGCCTCAACCTCCTGGGCTCAAGTGATCCTCCCATCTCAGCCTCCCGAGTAAGCTGGGACTGCAGGCTTATATCACCACGCTGGGCCAATGTTTGTATTTTTAGTAGACGCGGGGTTTCACTATGTCGCTCAGGCTGGTCTGGAACTCCTGGCCTCAAGCGATCCACCCACCTTGGCCTCCCAAAGTGCTGGGATTACAGGCATGGGCCACCACACCTGGCCTAACTCATGGTGGGAGACTGGAAGGAAATGAGGAAGTGAGCAGGAGGCAGTGGGATGAGCATGTTCCAAACCCTGGTGCAGGAGCATGCTTGGCATGTTAGGGGTGGCAAGGTCATGGTGGCCAGTCAGTGTGGATGTGGGTTGGGGGGAGGTGGCAGCAGATGAGAGGGGGTGGGAGTGGGGAGGACACATCAGTGTAGGTCATTGTAAGGATTTTGGCCTTTACACTGAGTGAGGGGGAAGCCGTTGGAGAGCTTTGAACAGTGAAGTTGATGATGACTTATGTTTTAAAAGGATAACTGGCTGCTGGGTTGAGAATAGACAGGAAGAGGACAAGGGCTGAGTCAGGGAGACCTTTTCAAGCTAGAGCTGTGTGACTCACACCATAATTCTTCCCTGAGTCTTCGTTTCCTCATCTGTAAAATAACTGGGCCCTCTCTAGCTCAAGAATTTTAAGTTTTCAAGTAGTGCAGGGTATTATTTCTACAGGGAGGCAAGAGGATTGCGTGGGAAGAGGTTCTGAAAGTAAATCGCTTCAGATGACCTGAAAACTTGACACCAACCTGCCTGTAGCTGAATCATCCCAAATCAAGAGGTAATCAGGTCTTTTTCAGTCAGATTGTCAGGTCATGAGAACAAAAACACTGTTTCGTAAATATTCTCTGCTCATCCCTTTTGTACTTTGCTGATCCCTGAATTTTCCCTTCCTGATTGAAAAAGGATGAAAAGCTGTTACTCATCAACAGAACTGGCAACCAGAGTAGCTTTTGTTGTTTGGAAAATTGGGAACTTTGGGGAAGGAAACAATTCTGTGTTTATCGTAGGTCATAAGAGTTTTTCTTTTATAACACGCAAGGAATCTAAAAGATTGGTTTTGTTGTAGAATTCCCTTGTCCCATTCATCTCATGTCTCACAGGTGTTCATTCTTAATGCATTGCATGTGCTTCCTTTTGTTTATGTAGGAGCTTGCAAAGTGGGAATGTTTGTTTTATGTGTATGTATCTTGATTTATAATGCTGTAATTCATTTTCCTTTATGTAGTTTGGTTTTTTTTTTTTTTTTTTTTGGAGACTTTTGAGACAAGAGTCTCACTCTGTTGCCCAGGCTGGAGTACAGTGGCGAGATCTCGGCTCACTGCAGCCTCCGCCTCCCGGGTTCAAGCCATTTCCTGCCTCAGCCTCTTGAGTAGCTGGAATTACAGTCATGCGCCACCACGCCCAGCTAATTTTTTTGTATTTTAGTAGAGACGGGGTTTCACCATGTTGGCCAGGCTGGTCTCGAACTCCTGACCTCAGGTGATCCGCCTGCCTTGGCCTCCCAAAGTACTGGGATTACAGGTATGAACCACCATGCCAGGTCTCTGAGTAGTGTTTTTAAGATCCATCCATATTGTTATGTGTCTAATTCTCTGCTTTGGAATGCTGCATTTATACCCCATGCTGTTTGCATCCATTGGTTTTGCTTTATCTGCTCTCTGTGTAGTGAGTGGTTACTCAAGTTGTTCCTACCCCCTAACACCATAAATATTGCTGCAGTGAACATCTTCCTACATGTCTCCTTACAAAGCTGTATAATATTTCTGTGGAATTGCTGGATTATAGGCTTGCAGAGACTGAATTTGATTAAATAGTGCCAGATGCCTCTCCACAGTGGCTGCCCCAGTCTCTGTGCCTCTGGAAGTATTAATATTTGAGGACTCCTGTATCCTCATGTCCCACCAGCACTCGCCTCTTTCCAGCTATCCATGGTTTTCAATCTCGTAAGCACAAAGTGATATCTTGTCGTTTTAATTTATATTTCTTTGATGACTAGAGATTTTGAGTATCTCTTATACAGATAGCTTCCTCTGTAAATTGCTTATTCATGTCTTTGGCATTTTCTGTTGGAGTTGATATCTATTTTGTTGCTGTTGACTTGCAGAAATGATTTTATAATATAGGTATTTATTCCCTGTTATGTTTAGACTTTGCAGATGTCTTCTCATTTGGGCATCTTGACATCTGTTGATCAAATCTTCTCATTTAGTTCTCGTTTTGTCTTTGCCATCCTTTGATCAAGAAATATTTTTAATTTTGATGTAATCAAATAGATAAATTCTTTGACTTGCGGTTTATGTTTTTGGAGTTTTGTTTAAGGAACTCTTCCTGAACCCTAGGTCATGTCTGTGACTTTCATCTCTCTAGGGCCCGCATTTTCATGTGTTAGATAGGAATCCAGCCCTATTTTTCTCCATTTAATGACCCAGTTTTTCTAATAACATGTCAACAAAATCCATGCTTTCCTCTATGAAATTATGGTATCTCTTTCTCATTTGTGGTTTCCATGGATACACTTGTCTGGCCCTAAGCATTTATTTTGTTCCATTAGTCTGTCAGTTCTTACTTCATTTTTTTAATTGCTCTAATTTTATTACAGTGACTTTGTAGTATGTCCTAATGACTGGCACAGCAAGCCATTCATCTTAAAGTTTATTTAGCTCTTCCTGGACCAAAATTTATTTTTTCCATATAAAATTTGGAATAAGTTTACCAGGCTACCCAAACATTATATATACATATATATTTATATATATATATTTTTTCTTTTGAGACCTTGTGTCACTCTGTTACCCAGGCTGGAGTGCAGTGGCACCATCACGGCTCACTGCAGCCTCAACCTCCCAGGCTCAAGTGATCCTCCCATTCTAGCCTCCCAAGTAGCTGAGACCACAGGCATGTGCCACCATCCCTGGCTAATTTTTCTTTTTTTTTTTTGTAATTTTTTTAGAGATAGGGACGCCCTTTGTTGTCCAGGCCGGTCTTGAACTCCCGGGCTCCAGCAATCTTCCTGCCTTGGCCTCCCAAAGTGCTTGGATTACAGGCATGAGCCACTGTGCCTGGCCAAAAAATTATATTTTTGAGGAATTTTTATTGGAGTTTATTGAGTTTATAAATTATTTGAGGAGGGTTAACATCTTATTTTATTTATTTATTTATTTTTTATGTGCCATGTTGCTTTTTTATTTTTTATTTTTCTTTTTAAGACAGGGTCTCCCTCTGTTGCCCAGGCTGGAGTACAGTGGTGCGATGATAGCTCACTGCAGCCACCACACCCAGCTAAATATTTTTATAAGTTTTTTGTTGTTGTTGTTGTTGTTTTAATAGAGATGAGGTCTCACTCTGTTGCCCTGGCTGGGCCCTGGCCAGTAACTCCTGGCCTCAAATGGTCTTCCCACCTCAAAGTGTGCTGGGATTACAAGTGTGAGCCACTGAAATAGTAACTCATTCCATCCAAGAGCATATAATGTGTCTTTCCGTTTATTCAGCTCATTTTTCTGACATTTTTATAATTTTGGAAATAATTTAAAGCTAACAGAAGAGTGCTAAGAGTATGTTTTCTTTGTGTGCTTTTTCCCCTGACCCCTTTAATTGTAGACATCATGTCCCTTTAATCTCTAAATACATGCTTCATCAGTTCTTTTTGTTTGTTTGTTTGTTTTTCTTTTGGAATGGAGTCTCGCTCTGTCGCCCAGGCTGGAGTGCAGTGGCTCGATCTCTGCTCACTGTAACCTCCGCCTCCCAGGTTCAAGCAATTCTCCTGCCTCAGCCTCCTGAGTAGCTGGGGCTACCGGTGTGTGCCACCACGCCTGGCTAATTTTTTTGTATTTTTGGTAAAGATGGGGTTTTACCATGATAGCCAGGATGGTCTCAATGTGACCTTGTGATCCACGTGCCTTGGCCTCCCAAAGTGCTGGGATTACAGGCCTGAGCCACCGTGCCCAGCCCTTTCCCATTCTTATACTTCTTATTCATTTTTCTTTCCTTACAGCATTGGCCAGGACTACTAGAACTGTGTCAAAACAGCTGCTACACTAACGGGCATCTTTGTCTTGTTCTCAGTCTTAAAAAGAGTGAGTCTAAAGATTTCCTATTTCATATAATGTTTGTTTTAGGTTTTGTATGTTACCTTTATCAAGTTTTAAGGTATTACCCTCAATCCTAGTTTACTGAGAGTTTTCATCATAAATAGGTATTAAGCCTTACCAAGTACTTTTTCAGGATCTGTCCTTGAGGAAATAAGATGGCATCAGGAAGGCTGTATACCAAAATCCTAACCCTATGCTGACTTTGTTTCAAGCAGAAGATATTTATTAACCCTACATATATAATTTGTGGAAAGCATCTCAAGATTCCAATACAAGTTTATTTCACCATTAGGTCAGCTTTTTCCTCCTGGCATTACGAGTCAGAATTTAAATAGCTGATGTGAAAAATGAGAGAAAGAGCCATACTCAGGATGATAAGTTTTGTTGTCAGCATGATTGTAAATATAAGATATGTAAAATTATAGTTTCCTTACTCTGTGGATCGGTCTTTACTTCAGGCATAAATCTTACTAAATTATATCTCAAGAAATATTGAGGTGGCTCGTCAGTAGAGCCATAGATAGCTGTTTAGCAGCACTAACTGCTAGGGTGTTGGGCAGTGAATTCTCATGGCCAGCTCTTCTCTCTCTTTCTTTTTCTTTCTTTTTAGACTAGCCATTTTTTTTCCTAATTGTGAAATTATACCTCTTTATTACAGAGCATCTGTAAAATATAGAAAAGCGAATCTATAATCCTGCCTTTTAGCACCAACCCCTGCTAAAACGTTGGTTATTTCTCTGTCTCTGTTTTTTATTGGGGTGGGGGAGCATGTTGAGGAGGAGAGGGCACTTAACATTGCACTATATCATTTTCTATCACCCCTCCTTTTTCAGGGCTAGATCATTAACTCATGTTCATTTTGCTTTGATTGGCTCTCTGGGGAAAAATCGATAGAAAACTTACAATTAACTTGTAGCAGTGGGGTGATAGCTTGCTCCTCTCTTGGAACAGTTTATGCCTGAGGGAGCCTCCGTGCACAAACAGCCCAGAGTCATTGTCAGAACTTGGAGCAATCCTAGCCCTAAGCCCAACAGACCAAAAACTAGCTTAAGGGTGTGGAGGGGAGAAGTACTTTTGAGGTCTCTTTGCTTCAGTTCAGTCCTCCCAGGTTGTCACCTTCCTTATCTAGACCACACTTGCTTTAATCTTTCAGAAAATAAATAGAATGGAGAAAATAGTCATTTATTTTCTTTTGACTCTGAAAACCTAGCACAGGCCACGTACGGTGGCTCACACCTGTAATCCCGGCACTTTGGTAGGCCAAGGCGGGCGGATCACTTGAGCTCAGGAGTTCAAGACCAGCCTGGACAACATGGCCAAACCCCATCACTACCAAAAAATACAAAAACTAGCCGGGCATGGTGGCATGTGCCTGTAGTCCTAGCGACTCAGGATGCTGAGGTGGGAGAATTGCTTGAACCTGGGAGGTGGAGGTTGCAGTGAGTTGTGCTTGCACCACTGCACTCCAGCCTGGGCAACAGAGTGAGACCCTGTCTCAAAAAAAAAAAAAAAACAACAACAACAAAACCCCATCACAATTGTTTTGTTTCCCTAATCACTTTTTGCTAGTGTGGAAGTGACAGAATTCATAGGTGAACATCCCTATGGTGAGGAGATTCAATGTCTACCTGCCTTCCTTTCTCACTCTCTATCCTTTTTTTTTTTTTTTTTTTTTTTTTTTTTTTTTTTTTTTAATGAGACGGAGTCTTGCTCTGTCCTCCAGGCTGGAGTGCAGTGGTGCCATCTCGGCTCACTGCAACCTCCACCTCCTGGGTTCAAGCAATTCTCCTGCCTTAGCCTCCCGAGTAGCTGGGATTACAGGCACGCACCACCACACCTGGCTAATTTTTGTATTCTTTAGTAGAGATGGAGTTTCCCCATGTTGGCCAGGCTGGTCTTGAACTCCTCCCTCGTGATCTGCCCGCCTCGGCCTCCCAAAGTGCTGGGATTACAGGCGTGAGCCACCGTGCCCGGCTCTTTTTTCCCCCAGTGTCCTTTGGTGTTGAAACTGAAATTCCCCATTCCTGTACCCTGCTGGGTTTTTTTTTTTTTTTTTTTTTTTTTTTTGCCATAACAGGTGTCACTTTCTAAAACACAATGGTCTGCCTTCCCAATTCCTCAAGGAGAAAATTCTTCAAGGGCAGGAATCTTTGTTTTGTTCCCTGTTCATAACCCAAGCCCACCTCGAACAGTGCCTGGTACCTGATGTGCCCTCAACAGATGAATCTATAAGATGAATCAACCTGTAAAGAAGCCACACTGTGATCCAGAGAAGGGTCATCTAAGGGAGGGGTGAGAGAAGAAAGCTCTCTTAGCTTCCTTTCAATGCATAGGTTCAGCAGGCTAGTAGAATCCCCATTTTTGTCTTTGACATTGCAAATGAAACCATCCACCCAGACACAGAGAAATTAGCTCTCTGCATCTGTTCTAGCCCCTCCTGCGGAGGCTGCATTTTCCCGAAAGTAGCATGTGAATGTTTGTGTTGCTGACAAACACATGGACTGGGAGAGAATAATCAGCACTGACATTCTAGCTGTGGGTCTGGGCCCAGAGTGCATTCTGCATTGTTTTCATGAGGTGATTCTCTTAGGATAAATGAGCCTGCCCCATCAGCAGAAAATGTTGCAATGGATGTGCCGAGTTATGCTTACCTCCCCAGCCTCACACCCCAGGTCCTCCTGCTTTCTAGTTGGTTCTTTCCTCCCCTCCCCTGCAATGTGGAAACTTTTTAGCTTTTCTGTCATTTCCGAACAATAAGTATTCTGAACGGTAAGTATTCTAATCTGGTTCAGAATTGTTACGATGAACAGTTATGCCTTGCATACCTGGTCACTGTTTTCTAAAGCAAGTCTTCAAATTATATTAATAGCACTATATAAAATGCTAAAAAATTAAAAAGCTGCCACAAATACACCATAATGGTGTTCTTGAGGCCAGTGTCACACACCCAGTCTATCCTGTAGAGGCCATTGCTTGGCTCATATTCCTGAAATACCGCTTTTGTTTATTATTCTACTGCCTGACACTTACCAGTGCCTACCACCTCTCCCAGTAAATTTTAAACTCTGCTGCCTGCCTGGCCCTCAAGTCTGGCCCAAATCCACTTATATAAAGTAGTCCCTGCTTTTCCACAGGGTATACATTCCAAGACCTCCAGTAAATACGTGAAACTGTGGATAGCACCAACCCTACATATACTCTGCATTTTCCTATACGTACCTACCTGCGATCCAGTTTAATTTATAAATTAGGTGCAGTAAGAGATTAACAACAATAATAACAAAATAGAATACTTATAACACTATATTGTAATAAAAGCTATGTGAATGTGGGCTCTCTTGCTATCAAAATGTCTTAGTAGTGTACTCACCTATTTTTAGACTGCAGTTGACCATAGGTAACTGAAACTGTGGAAAGTGAAACCGCGGATAAGGTGGGGACTACTGTGTGTAACAACAACAATAATGTAAAAACAGCAGCTCATATTTTAGCTACCATACTACATGCATTGTCATTTAATTGTAAAATGATTTTACGAGGAAGGTGCTGTTAGAATCTTCATTTTATAGATGGAGAAACTGAGGTACAGATCGTAAGAAACTTGCCCTAAAGTTGTACCACTGTTAAGTGAATAGAATTAAATTCAAACTCATGTCTGTTTACCTCCAAAGCCCGTGCTCTCAACCGTCTTGCCATAGTGGTCCCCAGGTAAATGAGTGCCTGAAGACAGTGAGTGACTTGTACAGTCCAGCAGTTACTGAGGTTGTCCTTTTTCAGGGTATGCGAGACTAACTCACCAGCACTCTGTTAGCTGTGGAGGGAAGGGAGGATTCTGTCTGGAGCTGGAACTGCTCAGGGAGCCCCTCTCTGGATTCTGCACTGACAGCTGCAGACAGAAACCACGTGGCACCTCCGAAAGGAGAAAGCTCTGAAATCATCCAGGTAGCATTCTTTGACTTTTCAATCCTTTTCATAATAAAGTATTTAAAATGTACAAAAATGAATAAAGAATAATACATCTGACGTCCATGTATCCAACACTCAATTTAAAATCTAAAAAGCTAACTTGGTTTCTGTATTTCACCTCCCTTTGCCGTTTTATAGACCTTTTGGTTCTAATGACTTAAAAAAAATAGGATTCCCTTTTATTTATGTATGACAACAATACCATTATTATCACCCCCCAAAACAGCAGTAATTCCTTAATATAATCAACAGTCTAGTCAATGTTCACAATTTCCCACTTACCTCATTTTTCCTTAAACAATTGATTTGTTTGAATCAGCGTTCAAGAAAAGTACATGTATTGTATTTAGTTAATGTGTTTCTTTTTTTTTTTTTTTTTTTGAGACGGAGTCTCACTCTGTCACCCAAACTGGAGTGCAGTGGTGTGATCTTGGCTCACTGCAACCTTTGCCTCCTGGGCTCTAGCGATTCTCCCGCCCCAGCCTCCTGAGTAGCTGGCATTACAGGCGTGTGCCACTATACCCGGCTAATGTTTTTTGTAGTTTAGTAGAGACAGGGTTTCACCATGTTGCCCAGGGTGGTTTCAAACTCCTGAGCTCAGGCAATCCACCCACCTCAGCCTCCCAAAGTGTTGGGATTACAGGCGTGAGCCACTGCGCCCGGCCGTTAATGTGTTTCTTAAGTGGCTTTTAATTTATGAATTTATGGTTTTCCTTTTTTTTTTTTTGAGACGGAGTCTTGCTCTGTCACCAGGCTGGAGTACAGTGGCGCGATCACTGCTCATTGCAACCTCCACCTCCCGGGTTCAAGCGATTCTCCTGCCTCAGCCTCCCGAGAAGCTGGGAATACAGGTGTGCGCCACCACGCCTGGCTAATTTTTTGTATTTTTAGTAGAGATGGGGTTTCACTGTGTTAGCCAGGATGGTCTTGATCTCCTGACCTTGTGATCTGCCCACCTTGGCCTCCCAAAGTGCTGGGGATTACAGGTGTGAGCCACCGCGTCCAGCTTTTTTTTTTTTTTTTTTTTTTTTTTGAGACAGAGTCTCATTCTGTCACCCAGGCTAGAGTGCAGTGGCGTGATCTCAGCTCACTGCAGCCTTTGCCTCCTGGATTCAAGCGATTCTTGTGCCCCACCCACCCAAGTAGCTTGAATTATGGGTGTGAGCCACCATGCCTGGAATAGAGATGGTTTTGCCATGTTGCCCAGGCTGGTCTCGAACTCCTGAGCTCAAGTGATCCATCTGCCTCAGCCTTCCAAAGTGCTGGGATTATAGGCATGAGCCACCGCACCTGGCCTCCTTTTTTAAATTTAAATTTTTTGCTTGTAATTTATTTGTTGAAGAAACTGGTCGTTTATTCTCTAGAGTTTCCCACATTCTGGATTTTTTAAGGGTGTCTGATATAACTTTGCTGTTGTCTCTGTAGTGAGTTAACTTACCCTTTAATCTGTTGGTCACTGCAGGAGGTTCCAAGTTATTCAGGCCTCCATAAATAGAAGGGATTCACTGGCCCTTGTAGTTTGGTCTGGCCCCAAGGTCATTTCTGAGGAGTCTTTCAAAATGTTCCAGGTGTCAGGGAATGACATTATCAACAGCAGGCCATCTCTAGTTGAAAACATTCTGCCTCAGAAGGAATTTTACAACTGCTATGTGGAAGGGCATTTTCGTGTTCCCTAGAGTTAGGGGAGAAAATTGTTAAGAGAATAAGTACCCTGGTTTTCTTCTTTTAGACAGTGCTTGTAGCTTTAAGGATTTCTGAGGCTGAGTGCCAGAAACTCCTTGGGATATTATTGTCTTACAGTTTAGATCTGCTTATCAGGAAACATCTGAGAATCCCTAGAGGGTCAGGGAAGAGGAGGATGAGTTTACATTAAAACCAGACTTTGTTAGTGCCTGTTAGAGTCCCGTATTTTTGAGCAGCTATATGGGCTGTGGAACATAACACTCATCCATGTTTTTCAAACCCATAGTTTTAATTACTTGTTCTTTTTGCTACCAGTGTCTAGATGTTGTTCAATAATTATAACATCTGGACTGCTGTAGACACAAAGAAATCCGTTTTCTTGTATTTTTCTTTTAGTTTTGCTGCCTTGACCTTCTAGTCAGCTGTGATAGTTCTGTGGGATAGTGAGCCAGTATTAAAGTGAAAAGAATGAAAATTGTTGAAGTATGCAGCTGTGTTTGGATTTATTTAGTGATTTGAAGGGTGTAAGAAGAAAGTATCTCAATGTCAATATTTTCATTTAAAGTCAAATGGTTAATAAGTCAAGACTAAAAATCTAAACTAGAAAAAGAAAGACATTCAATAAATTTATTATAACCCTACTTAATACTTTTATTATTATTTTACTAGCTGGTTATTTTAAGTAAGGATTTTGCTTTGATTAAAGATGTTGAAAACAGTTATGAAAATCTTTTGGGTTGAATTTTATTTTTTTAATTTAGTTGGAGTCTCGCTTTGTCACTCAGGCTGGATTGCAGTGGTGCGATTTCGGCTCACTGCAACCGCTGCCTCCTGGTTTCAAGTGATCCTCGTGTCTCAGCCTCCTGAGTAGCTGGGATTACAGGCGGGTGCCACCATGCCTGGCCAATTTTTTATTTTTAGTAGAGACGGGGTTTCGCCATTTTGGCCAGGCTGGTCTCAAACTTCTGACCTCAGGTGATCCACCTGCCTTGGCCTCCCAAAGTTCTGAGATTACAGGTGTGAACCACCGCCCCCAGCCTTTGGGTTGAATTTTACCAACATGTTCAAACGTTATTCTTGTATCCCATAGGTGGGATTCAGGCTTGGTGAATATTCTCTTCTTGTGATTCCAAACGTTTAAAAATTAAAATATAATTATTATTCACAGTAAGTGTTGATGAGAGGTGATTTGCTAGTTTACTGATTGTTTTCCCTGCAGTGATCAGCTAACAATAAAAATAGCACTTCATGTTCACAACTGTTCACAGGTAGCAATAATACATACAGGAGATAATGTATTTGAAAAGCAGTCTGTAAATGTAATTGTACTGTAATAATGTGTCCACGTGGCCTTGCAGAGAACTGCCCATTGTAGATCAATGCCTACTGTGCCTGACGTGGCAGCACCTGGGTGACTCCACTGTCCCTTCTTGAAGACAGACGTGTTTATTATTTTGGCAACAGCCACTGGCCCCAAAAGGCAAAGATAATCAGACAGTGTTTATATAGTTGCTCTTCCAGATTGTTTGTCACATTCTTATAGAATAGCCTGTCTCTCTGTGTATTCACTTTTATTTCTGTCCATCATAAGACACAGGTGCTCCAAGTCACATATCTGCAACCACTCTGGCCCACCAGCACTTCAAAGCTCACCCCATGAAATGCCCCCAACAAGCCTGTTTGGTCATGACTTAAACAAAATTGGATGTCTTTTTCCTAGATTCCCCTGCCAGTATTTTGGTGAGGCTAGAGCTTAGTGTATATGGTAGGTAGAAGGGTGTCAAGAAATGAGGTCAAACTTGTATGCCGGGACTAGCTCATGACAAGCTTTGTATGATCTGCAAACAAGTTTTAGACACTTCCTGCAAGTGATGGATGGGGAAGCCTTAGAGGAACTTCAGGCGGTAAAGATGTATAAGATTTCTGTTTTTGCCAGGTGCCGTGATCATGCCTGTAATCCCAGCAGTTCAGGAGGCTAAGGTGGGTGGATGGCTTGAGCCCAGGAAGAGACCAACCTGGGCAACATGGGGAAATCCATCTCTACAAAAAATACAAAAATTAGCTGAGCGTGATGGCCCACGTCTGCCGTCCCAGCTACTTGGGAGGCTGAGATGGGAGGATTGCTTGAGACTGGGAGGTCAAGGCTGCAGTGAGCTGTCATCGCACCACCGCACTCCAGTCTGGGCAACAGAGTGAGACTGTCTCAAAAAAAAAAAAAAAATTGTTTTCAAGCTGGGCACAGTGGCGCATGCCCAGCTGCTTGGGAGGCTGAAGCCATAGGATCACTTGAGTAGGAGTTTGAGTCCAGCCTGGGCAACATAGCAAGACCCTGTCTCTTTAAACAAACAAACAAAACCATTTTTAAGAAGATAATCCTAGTTGGGTGTGGAAAATAGGACAAAGGCAGATAAGATTGGTAGGTAGCCATTTAGGAAGCTATTGCAGGAGCCCCAAAGAAAAGATGATGAGAATCATAGTTTGATGTGTTTAAAGGATTTAACAGTAATGCCAATGTTTTTCCTAGAAGTACAGGATATGTTTTAGAACAGTCAGTAAATTGATTTCATATCCCTCTTCTATTCCTGGAAGGCATTTGGCAAAGGCTTTCCTGGACCCATATGCAGGGATCTCATTTATAAACTTCTGCCAAATCCTTGTGGGTCTGCTGTGAAGACACAGCTCATTTTAGAGCTTAGAGTAGAGGGGCACGTCAATTGCGTTGTCCTGGTGACCAGTAACCACAGAGTCACATGACTCCCCCTTCCTCTCAAGAAGACAGCAGCAGTTTTGAGAAGTTGGCCCCGCCTAGAGCCTGCTGTCTCATCCCTATTATTTATGTTCCCCTCCGCCTGGGTGATGATGGTCATAATCGTCATCACCCGCCATTGTCATCACTGTTCTCATTGCTGACATTTACTGAGTACTGTATGTACCATTTGCCAGGAAATGTATTAAATGTTTTACCTACATTATCAAATTTAATCCTTATACGCCCTATGAAATAAATTACTGTTATTATCTTCCATTACAGATGAGGAAACTAAAGTTCAGAGGGGTTTAAGTAACTTGCCCAAGGTCACATAGCTTGATAAATGGCAGAGCCAGAAATTGAAACTAAATTCTGTCTGACTGGAGTCTGGGCTCCTAACTGTTATGTAGTTATTACTTAATACAATTCAGTAGCAAATATGACTTCTCTTTAAATTTGCTCTTTTATGTAGCATCATCCACCCAGTGAAAGTTCACTTAATCAAACACTGTGTTTGTTACCTACCCTCCATGCCCATCCTATAACAGGCATAAAACACAAGTTTAAAGTATCTATTAAAACATTAAGTGTAGGAAAAACTTTGTAGGGGAGGGGAGGTGGATGTGGGTGGCAGAATAGGGAAGCTATTTAAATTTCTAGCTTTTTTCAAGGCAGAATATTCATGTATGCCTTCTCTATTTTTTTTCTACCTTCACAGTTTTTTTAAAGACAGGGTCTTGCTTTGTTGCCCAGGCTGGAATGCAGTGGCATGATCACAGCTCACTGCAGCCTCAAATCTCCCAGGCTTAAGCGATCCTTCCACCTCAGCCTCCCAAGTAGCTAGGACTACAGGTGCACACCAGCATGCCCAGCTAATTTTTAATAAATTTTTGTAGAGACAGTCTCACTATGTTGCCCAGACTGGTCTTGAACTCCTGGCCTCAAGTGATCCAACCCCCTTGGCCTCCCAAAATGCTGGGATTACAGGCATGAGCCAACATGCCTGGCCTGCCTTCACTATTTTGTGTGAAGTATAGAGATTTCGGAAAGAGGAGAGACACTTACTTTTAAAAATTGAGATACAATTCACATACCATAAAATTCACCTTTTAAAAGTATATAATTCAGTGGTTTTTAGTATATCCACAAAGTTGTACACCCATTCACCACTAATTCCAGAGCATTTTCATTACCCCCAAAAGAAACTTCATACCCAGTAGCAGTCAGTGCTCATTTTCCATTCCTGAGACATTCATTTTCAAACATATTAAATACCAGAATACATCCCAATGCTATGAAAAAGGTTTTGGGAGTGTCTATCTACAATTCCTCTCTCTTTAATGCAGATAATGATAATAGCTGACACTGGTGTAATGCTTACTATTTGTGAGGTACTATTTTCAGTGCTTTACATATATTAATTTCATTACAACCCTATGAGCAGGTTTTATTTTTATTTTTATGTTGAATCTTTATTTTTATTTTTATGTTGAGTCAGGGTCTTGCTCTGTAGCCCAGATTAGAGGGTGCAATCACCACTCACTGCAGCCTTGACCTCCTGGGCTCAAGTGATCCTCCCACCTCAGCCTCCTGACTAGCTGGGGCTACAGTTGCACACCACCATGCCCAGCTAATTTTTTGTATTTTTTGTAGAGACCAGATTTCACCATGTTGCCCAGTCTGGTCTTAAAACTCCTAGACTCGGCCGGATGCGGTGTCTTATGCCTGTAATCCCAGCACTTTGGGAGGCCCAGGCGAGTAGATCACGAGGTCATGAGATCGAGACCATCCTGGCTAACACGGTGAAACCCCATCTCTACTAAAAACACAAAAAATTAGCCGGGCTTAGTGGCGGGCGCCTATAGTCCCAGCTACTCGGGAGGCTAAGGCAGGAGAATGGCGTGAACCCAGGAGGTGGAGCTTGCAGTGAGCCGAGATCACGCCACCGCACTCCAGCCTGGGTGACAGAGCCAGACTCCGTCTCAAAAAAAAAAAAAAAAAACTCCTAGATTCAGGCAATCTACCTGCCTCAGCCTCCCAGAGTGCTGGGATTACAGGCGTGAGCCACTTTACCCAGCCAGGTTCTATTATTAAACCCATTTTACAGATAAGAAAGTTAAGACACAGAGAATTAACTTGCTCCAAAGAAGCAAGTAAGTAATTAAGTAATTGTTTTAATAAAAAGTTAAGTAATTGCTGTAATAAGGGATGGAGCTGCCATATAGATCTAGGTAGTCTGGCTCTATAGTCTGTGCTCTTAACTATTACATTTTGTTTTGTTTTGTTTTTGAGACGGGATCTTGCTCTGTCACCCAGGCTGGAGTGCAGTGGTGTGATCTCAGCTCACTGCAGCCTCAACATCCTGGACTCAAGCAGTCCTCCCACTTTAGCCTCCCAAGTAGCTGGGACAATAGGCACATGCCACCTCACCCGCCCAATTTTTGGATTTTTTGTTTTAGAGATGGGGTCTCACTATGTTGCCCAGGCTGGTCTTGAACTCCTGAGCTCAAGCCATCTGCCCCCTTGGCCTCCTAAAGTGGTGAGATTACAGGCATGTGCTACTGCTCCCAGCTTAACTTACATACGCTCTAAGCTGATCATATTTCTTTTTTTTTTTTTTTTTGAGGTGGAGTCTCGCTCTGTCACCCAGGTAGGAGTGCAGTGGTGCAATCTCGGCTCACTGCAAACTTCGCCTCCTGGGTTCACACCATTCTCCTGCCTCAGCCTCCCGAGTAGCTGGGACTACAGGCGCCTGCCACCACGCCTGGCTAACTTTTTGTATTTTTAGTAGAGATGGGGTTTCACCATGTTAGCCAGGATGGTCTCGATCTCCTGACCTTGTGATCCGCCTGCCTTGGCCTCCCAGAGTATATGGGGTCTTTTGTGATTGGCTTCTTAGCACAATGTTTTCAAGGTCTTCATGATGAAGCTGATCATATTTCTATTTT